>NC_000016.10:62441288-62744318 GCF_000001405.40 Homo sapiens
TACACCATAAATATGTATAGTTGTTATGCATCAATTAAAAATTAAATGAATGCAACTGAATTACACTCTCTCATCTAAAGACATAGATTGGGGGAATATTTTAAAAAACCAGAATCCAATTATATGTTATGTACAAGGGATCTATGTTAGACTGAAGAACACAATAGGCTAAAAATGAAAATTGGAAAAAGATATTTCCTGCAAAGAGGAACCTAAGGAGAGCAGAAGTACCTATACTTTTATTAGGCAAAGTAGACTTTAAAACAAAAAGTGTCACAAAAGACAAGGTAAAACGTTATATGAACATAAAAGGGTCAATGCACCAGGTACACATAATAATTATAAATATATATGCACATAACATTAATAATCTCAAATATATTAAGCACAAATTGACAGAATGAAAGAGAAAGGTTGGCAACATAGTAATAGGAATATCCCATTTTCAGTTATGGATAGAACGACAAGACCGAAGATCAGTAAGGAAACAGAGAACTTGAACCATGCTACAGAGCAATTAGACCTAATAGACATATAAAACCACACATGGAACATTCTACAATCTAGAACACAAGGTAGGTAGCAAAACAAATCTTAATGATTTAAGAGGATTGAAATCATACAAAGTATTTTTTTTTCAATGAGTGTTATGTAACTAGAAATAAATAGCATAAAGAAAACAAACAATAAATATATAGAAATGAAACAGCATACTCTTAAGTATCCAATAGGTAAGATAAGAAATCATAAAGAACATTAGAAATACCTTGAGACAAATGAAAACAAAATATTACATACCAAAACTTACAGAATGCAGCAAAAGCAGTGCTAAGAGGGAAGTTAATACCAGAAAAAACTTACACCAAAATTGAAAAAAGGCCTTAAATCAACAACCTAACTTTATACCTCAAGGAAGCAGAAAAACAACAAACTAAATCCAAATTTAGTAGATGAAGTAAGTAATAAAATTAAAATAGAAATAAAATGGAGAATTAAAAAACAATAGGACAATTTAAGAAGAACAAGAGTTTGCTTTTTACAAACATTAACAAAATTTATAAACCTTAAGATACATTAACTAAGAAAACAGAAGAATACTCAACCAAAATCAGAGATAAAGTATTACAGCTGATGATACAGAAATATAAAAGCTTATAAGAAATGTTGATAAAGAATTATATGCCAAAAATTGTATAACCTATAACGGATGAGTAAACTTATGGAAGTATACGATCTACCAAGGCTGAATCATTTTTAAAAATTTAAAAATATGAACAAATCTATAATCAGTTAAGTTGAATCAGTAATCAAAAACCTGGCAACAAATAAAAGCCCAGGACCGAGTAGCTTCACTGAATATACCAAACATTTACTGAATAATTAACAGCAGTCTTCCTCAAATGCTTCACTGAAATAGAAGAGGAAGGAACACTTCAAACTCATTTTATGTGACCAGCATTGCCCTGATACCAAAGCTAGAAAAAGATACTATAAGAAAACTATAGACTAAGGTACCTGATAAGTATTGATGCAAAATCCTCAATAAAATACAAGCAGATTGAATTCTACAGCAGAGTAAAAGAATTATGCACCATGTCCAAGTAGGATTTATTCTTGGAATGCAAGGATGGTTCAACATAGAAAAAACATCCAGTGTAATACACCACATTAACAGAATGATGAATGAATACTGAATTATCTCATTTGATGAAGAAAAAGCATTAAACAAAATTAAAAAACTTTCATAATGAAAATATTTAACTCATTTTAAATATAAGGAAGCTACCTCAACATAATTAAGGTCATATATCGAAAGTCCACAACTGGGCTGGGCACAGAGGTTCATGCCTGTAATCCCAGCCCTTTGGGAGGCCGAGGCTGGCAGATCACTTGAGGTCAGGAGCTAAGAGAGACAAGCCTGGCCACCATGGTGAAATCCCATCTCTACTGAAAATACAAAAAGTAGCAGGGTGTGGTGGCATATGCCTGTAGTCCCAACTACTAGAGAAGCTAAGGCAGGAGAATTGCTTGAACTTGGGAGGTGGAGGTTGCAGTGAGCCCAGATCATGCCACTGCACTCCAGTCTGGTTAATAGAGTGAAACTCCATATTGAAAAAAAAAAAAAAAAAAAAAGCCACCACTAACATCATACTCAATGGTAGAAATCTGAACTATTTTTTCTTTAAGAGCAGGAACAAGGCAAAATGCCCATTCTTGCCTCTTCTATTAAAAGTAGTAATTGAAGTCCCAGTCAGAGCAATTAGGCAATAAAAAAGTCATTTAAATTGTACAGAAAGAAGGAAAGTAAGCTCTTTTCACAGATGACATGTTATATGTATAAAATGCATATGTAGAATCTTTAGATTGTATACACACACTTATTAGAACTATTAAATGAATTCAGTAAAGTTTTCAGGATACAAAATCAACACACAAAAATCAGTCGTGTTTTTTCCTACACTAACAATGAGCAATCTGAAAAAGTTATAAGAAAACAATTCTATTTACAATAGTATTCGAAGTATTCTACAATAGGATCCAGTAGGATCCAATAGTACCCAAAATAACCGGGAAGAAACTTAATCAAGTAGACAAAATCAAGTAGTCACTAAGACTACAAAATGTTGCTGAAAGAAATTAAAGAAGACACATGTCTAAATGGAAAGACACACATCTTCATGGGTTAGAATGGACATTCATGGTTCATGAAAGTTAACAATGTTACAATTCAATATAAACCCAAGCAGTCTACAGACTCAATGCACTCTTCATCAAAGTTCCAATGGCATTTTTTTTTTCAGAAATAGCAAAAAAGTCCTAAAATTTATATGGAATCTCAAGGGACATCAAGTAATCAAAACAATTTTGAAAA
This sequence comes from Homo sapiens, assembly GCF_000001405.40. Lineage (NCBI taxonomy): Eukaryota > Metazoa > Chordata > Mammalia > Primates > Hominidae > Homo > Homo sapiens. Next base: position 62,444,161 of record NC_000016.10, read on the forward strand.
GGAACAATTTTGGTGGCCCCACACATTCAGAATAAAAAAAAAATCACAAAACTACAATAATCAAACCAGTTTGGTGTTGTCATATAAACACATATAGACAAATGAAAATAATGAAAAGCTCAGACCTAAACCATCACACATACATTCAAGTGATTTGCAGCCGGGGGTGCCCAGACCACACAAAGGGAAATGACAGTCTTATGAACAAATGGCAAAAAATAAAGTTGGATCCATAATTTTCATCATATTTAAAAACTAACAAACATTAATTCAAATAAACATCAGACTTAAGCTATAGAATTTCTAGAAAAAAAATATTGGGGAAAAGCTTCATGACATTGAAATTGGCAATAATTTCCTTAACATGATACCAAAAGCACAGGCAATAAAAAAAAAAATAGACAAATGGGACTATATCGAACTTAAAATCTTTGCACATCAAAGAAAACAATCACCAGAACCTAAAGGCAACCTGTGGGATGGTAGGAAATATTTGCAAATATGTACCTGATGAGGGGTTAATATCCAAAATATATAAAAAACTACAACTCACCAGCCACAACAAAAATAATCTAATTTAAAAATGCATAAAGGACTTGAATGAATATTTCTTTAAAGAAAATGTACAAATTACCAACGGACATATGAAAGGATGCTAAGAATAACTTATTATTAGAGAAATACAAATCAAAACTGCAATGAAAAATCACCCCATAACCTTTAGAATGGCCTCTAATACAAAAGCAGAAAATAACAAGTGTTGTTGAAAATGTAAAAAAATTGTCACCCTTGTTCACTGCTGGTGGGAATGTAAAATAGTACAGCTACTATAAAACATAGTGTGGAGTTTTCTCAAAACATTAGAAACATAATTATCATATTGAGGATTAAGCTATGATTTTTTTTTATCTTGCCCAAATTCCTATCTAAGGAGTCTGGGAAGCCATGCCCTACAAACCATAAATTCTCATCAGATGGGTTTTATTTAACCCTGTATATCATGACTTACTTTCCAAGGTGACTCTGGCATGGCAAGGAAGAAAATCAAAATGTTTTACCCCAAAATATATTTCCTTGCCACACCTTGATATTGCTCTGCAAAGTCTCTTGTGGGAAAAATCCACAGTCTATAGAGAATCCCCTTTCCCCTTTGTTTTTCTTCCTTCCTTTCCAGATCCAGGAGATAATCAACTAAGAGCCAGGCACCCTTTTAGGGTCCAATAAGAGGCATTTTACAACCTGCTCGCTCTCTGAAGTCTGCTATCTGCGAGCTTCCTCTGCACAATAAATCTTGGTCTTCACAATCCTTTATCTTAACCTGAACATTTCCTTTGATCCCAGGTCTTCAGATAAAAGTCAACCAATTGTCAACCAGAAAATGTTTAAATTTATGTATAACCTGGGAGCCCACACTTTGAATTGTCTCGCCTTTCTGAACAAAAACAAGGTATTTCTTAAATGTATTTGATTGATGTCTCATGCCTCCCTAAAATATATAAAACTAAGCTGTACCCCGACCACCTTGGGCACATGTTGTCAGGACCTCCTGAGGGCTGTGTCATGGGCCATGGTCACTCCTATTTGGCTCAGAATGAATCTCTTTAAATATTTTACAGAGTTTGACTCTTTTCATCAACAATATGATCTAAAAATCATGCTTCTTGGTATACTGTGTATCCAAAAATACTTAAAAGCAGGATCCTAAAGAGATATTTGCATACTCATGTTTATTGTAGCATTGTTCCCAGTAGCCAAGAGGTGCTGGCAATCCGAATATCTGTTAATGGAGAAACAGATAAAAACAAATGTGCCTATACGTGCAATGGAACATGATGCAGCCTTGAAAAAACAAAGGAACAAGAAATCCTGCTGCATGCTAGGACATGAATGAACCTTGAGGACATTATGCTAAGTAAGATAAGCCAGTCACAAAAAGACAAACACCAGATGATTTCAATTTTATGATATATGTAAAGTAGTCAAGCAAATAGAAACAAAGTAGAGTGGTGGTTGCCAGGAGCTGGAGGTAGAAGAAAATGGAAAATTGTTTTTCAATGAGTAAGCATCAGTGTTGCAAGTTATAAGAAAATTTTAGAGATATGTTGCACAACAATGTGAATGCAGTTAATACTGCTATACACTTAAATCAATAAATGCTATGCTATGTGTATTTTACCACAGTTAAAATAATAAATAAATAAATGAAAATCTAATGATCAGGCTTGGGAAATTGCACTTTAAAGAAACTTTCCATCCTGTCATTATGTCAGCATCTTAGGCATAGATTAAATATGAGGAAGAAAAATTTAACAGTCTACACAGATGAAATAACTCCATTTCTTTTTGTTACCATATTATGTAAAAATGGAAGAATTTTTTCTACTATAGATGGTTTGATTTTCTGACTTTAAAAATTTGATGTCTGGAAAAGGCAGTTGCAAGAAAAGCACAAAGACCTGAAACTTATTTACAAAGAAAGTCTGGCATCAGGTGCATCCTGGATATATTCCACATGTATGAAGATGACAGTAATAAAGAAAACAGATTAGTGGTTTCAGATACAACTCTAAATATGAAATCAAAAAGTCAGAACCTTGATTTGCAATTGAGTTTTCCTGATATAGATAATTCTTATTGAAAAGATTGTTCTAGAGTGAATAGCATCAAGGTTTAGTTATTTAATTATGATTGATGATTTCCCCCTGCAAAATCTGTTTAACTCAGCTATTCAAGAATGAGTCAAGATTGAATTGGCTAAGTAGTTCAGTACTAAAGCCATGAAAGTGAAAATGATTGTTGAACTACTTGCTAATAATAACTAACAAATTTTATGCAGGTGGAATCTTAATGACTTAAGAAGATGTTTCATAGATAAATAAAATTAAACTACAGTGCTAATGCAGGGTTATACACACATATATTTTTAAGGACACTTAAACGTTTCTAAAATTGTCCCTGACTACAATTATCATTATTTCTAAAGCAGAGGACATCTTAACACCAGAAAAGTAGAAAGAGTATAATCTCAGGAAAAAAACTTCTTTTAATTGACTCATTTTTATTAAATATTTTAATATCCTTTACTTATAGGTCCAATTTTGAAACACTGGAAACTTTGCCTATTTTGGCATGCTTCCTTGGAGTCAAAGATTGTCAAATAACAATCCAAGAAGTTATGACATTTTTTAATAAAGTAAAATAATTTTGTGAAAGCTCAGACAGGAGAATTTAAGTTCCAAAGGTGGTTTCATTTCACTGAATCGGAAGTTACCTATAAATCATTATTAATAAACATGTACTGCACATATTTATTAATATGAAAATATGCATAGAATTAATTCATTTCTTTACTCATTCATTTATCTATTCAAAAACACACAGTAAATACTTAATACAGCACAAGAATTCTGTTAGGCACTGGTAGAAAATAGTTGAAGAGACTCATCTAGTTCATGTCTTCATGAAACATAATCTTCTAGGGAAGACAGCCATTGAACGAGTAGTCTCAAGTGCTCTGGAGAAAGTTTTGATCTGTATCAGAGAATTTCCAATTTACAAGGGTAGCGATTTTAAATATGTTCTATTTTCCTCTGCAACAACCATAGGCTTTGTTTTAAGATTTGTGGTTTTTGTTAGGGTGTTGTTTGAGTATTGCCCATAATTTACTAATTGCCATAACAATTTATATTAGTTCAGTAATCCCCTCATTCATTAAACATTTATAGAATAATAATTGTGTAAAAGGGCCCTAGTTAGACACAGTGAGGGAAAGGGACATTATTAGTCATGAGCATTACTATTTAGAAATTCTAGATGAATTGGAGGAAGCTGTAGGGAGAAAGGATGAACATCATTGAAAAGATAAAAGTTGCAAGAACCAAATGTCAGGCACTGACAGGTCTCAAGAAAATCAGATGAAAAGAAAGAAAGAAAGGGCTTCTGACTAGAGAAAACAAAGAAAGAATCCTGCCTTGGAGACATGAGTCCTCTCTTCCTGGACATCTCTGCTTGTTTCTCAGTTTGTCCAAAACAAGGGTGAAAATCTTAAACTTCTTTAAATGAGAAAACACTAATTTTGCTTCTTTAACCAGAAAATATTAACTATAGCAGGAATGGGATCCATGTTGGATCGCTTATGCACAGTTTTAATATGGCTATCTATTACTTACTCTAAATCTTGGAATGACCCTGGAAGAGGAATTATCAGTGCTCATGCCTCCAATGTGGTCATCACACTGACTTTCTTAGGTAACGCTGAAGAGTCTCCGTGTGGCTCCTTTTTAGTTCCTGTGACAATGAAAGACATTACTGTCTAGGACTTTAAACATTGTCAGAATCAAAAGAGACCCCATTATTGGCTACATTTGCAACTTTGGACAGCATCAGATTTTGAGAAGAAGAAGGTCAGCAAGAAAGAAAATGTGTTCTTAATTGGATGTGACATCTCCTGGAGGAAGAAAAAGATGGAGGAGTCATCAGAATGAAAGAACACATGATGATGAACAAAAAAATAGAAAATTCTAGAGAGAATGTCAATATAAGTCTAATACAATAGCCAATATACCTTCCATTCAAGCTAGGAAAAAAACCTGCATAACGTAAGCAGAAAAGGTAACTTACTAGTTCATGTTGTCAGAGGTGCTCAGACAAGAGTGACTCCATCTTGAATAGCTGCTGGGTAAAATGAGTGACACCTACTGCCTGCATTCCCAGAAGGTTAAGCATTCTTAGTCACGGGATATCTGCAGGTAAGGGAACAAGTTAATAATATTTACTGAACAGACCCAGGACTTATCAGGCCCAGGAAATAATAGACTTGGAAATGTCCTCATATTCCAATGTCTTAAGGACAAAAGCATTTTTTTAGTTTAAGTTTCACTTTAAAAATAATAATATAGATTCTTGAAGAAGACAGTAATTACAAAAAGATTAGCAATCCTGTCACAAGCTGTTGTAGCAGAGCACTTCTCCCCTGTGATTTTATTTTGCTTTGTTATATATAAAAAAGCACTGGACCTAAGGTGGACATGTTTCTCCTCTTGCGTTTGGAAATGCCCTGATCTGTTTATGGAGTAGCTAGTCTTTCATTCCTTTCACTGTACTCTGTGGACTCGTTCCAAATTCTTTATTTTTATTTTTATTTTTTTTCAAATTCTTTATTGTGAGAGATCCAAGAACCCTCTCTCAGGATGTGGATCGGTACCCCTTTCTGATAACGTAACTGACGCTTGTAAAGACTAGTCTTCCTTCAATCATAGCTAAGCCAAATGGTTCACATTAACTTATCAGGCTTTCTCCCATCCTCTCTCCCTTCCTCACTCTATCCTTCCTTCTCCATCTTCCACTTCCTCTCCTCCCTCTCAGATCGATCAAATGATCTATCTCTCTATCTATCTATCATTCTAACACAGAACAATGCAAAAACAACGAAGCCAAAAAATAGAACAAAGGCAAGAACAAAGGCTACCAAAACTCCCAAGGCTATATTTTACTGCTTGTAATTCTAAAGAAGAGACATCAGTTATTTCTTTAAATTTCCCAGTATGAAATTGTAAGGAAGGTTTTCTGGCCTATTTTTGATAATCTTAACACTAGTAACTGTATAGAGGTAGATCAGTTACCATGATTAGTTTATGGAATTTGATAATTTGATGGATTGGATTCCATCATTGAATGGAAAAACAGGAACATATTGATATCTCCACCAGAACCATTTTTAATAGGGAACAATGCTTTTTTCAAAGAACTTTTGCTGGCCAGTAAAATCAGCATGCCACTCCTGGCCTCTTCTCTCTTTGATGCTGAAAGCTAGTTAGTTTTCTCTTATTACAGGGTCTATTTTCTTACTAGTGTTATAAAAGAAATGTGTATTTGTATTGAAGTAGAGGCACACAGAAAAAGGAGTCTCGGTCTACTACAGAGAAGGATGGAAAATAATGTGAATAAGATGAGAACAATCTGTCAAGCTTGTGATTTGCAGAGATTTGCCAAAGCTGTTCAAACCCCTATACATTTAACAGGTGTGAAAATTACTCTTACTTAGTTAACTCAGATATTTCTCTTTTTTCCTCTTGCACCCACTGACACAGGCCTGAAAGTTTCCTTTTTACTTTCTAATTGATTTTCTGCACTATATTTTCTGCAGACCCCCATGTCAACATTTAGGAAAGTGAAATGCCAGTGCTATTGCAAATTGGGGAATAAAGTGTAGCTTGGACATTTTTATAATAATCACATTAGACAAAAAACGCATTCCAGGGTGTTTTTAATGGGTCTAATAGAGGCCCAGAGACTCAGGGGAGCATAAGGCTATAGGCCAAAGAATTTCAACCACCCGAGAAGAAAACTAATGGCCCATTAAAGCACACCCTGGAGTGCTTTATCGTTGTCATTGGAATTAGAATATATGTCTTTGTTTAAAATAGAATGCTACTTCGATGACATTTTAACATGTCGCCTACTTTTTCTCCATTGACTATCAGTACCTTAAAAAGTCAAGCAGAAATTAGGCTACAACAGAAGCAAATTAAACCTTTGGTTTCACAGAGAAACTAGAGGTGTTATGACAATTAAATTATTTTACAGAACTATGAAGTTATTCTATAATCCAATTATTTTACCAAGGAATTTGGAGAGTAGGTATTTGAATGGTGGGAGAAAACAGAATGTTAACGCAGTCCTAAGAAATATGACATCTGGAATAACTTTCTATTGACTAACATCAGATTCTTAAATTAATATATATTCAAGTATCTCTGAAATCTTTTTCTTTCGTTAGGTGGGTTTTAGCATTTAAATTGATCCATAAAACTTGTGTGTGGTAACATACATGTGGAAATTACAAAACTGGTAACATTTTTTAAAGAAAACTACGTTTAGATTCCTGAAACTGCATCTTTTCCTCTGTTATATAAGTTGAAAAAAATGTCCCTCTGCATTTGGTAACTATAAGACACTACTAAATCAAATGAGTTTTATTAATGGATTTGCATACTTGTATAGAAACATCTTTCATGAAAGCCTACTGACAAGAGCTAATCATCAACTTATATTTATTAAATGTTAATAGAAAACTCAGAAAGCTCAAAGAACAGTAAAAGTGACTCCTGGAAAAGATACTTTAAAAACTAAGGTAGGCATAATATTATCTGATCATCTTGCGTGGTGAGTTCATATGTCATTACATCATTTTATACTTAAGTGTATGAAGAATGTATTTTATAGTCTGTGACCAGTTAGATATATTGTCCAGAAGAGATACCTCAAAATGCAGCAGGAAATAATAAATTGATTAAGAATTAAATTCTAAGACCACATATATTAATTAGCCAGTCTTACTAGAAAGAATAGTGTGGTAAGGAGTTAATGAGAGACTGCTTACGACACAGAATAATTTTCACATGTTAAGGATCAGTGTGTACTACTTCCACTCATTCTTAATGGGCAAGATGTGTGTGTGTGTATGTTCATGTAGGTGTTTTTAAATAATTAAATGAAAAAGGGGGTAAAATTGTTACCGGTGGAAGAGATCCAAATTACCCCGAGTAACCATCAGCTAATCCATACAGGTCCACAGCAACTTCAGTTCTTCCCTCCTCAGAAAAAAAAATTCGTCCAAGAGGCATAAAGCAGAAAAAAAGAGACTGAGGCAAGTTTCAGAGCAAGAGTGGAAATTTAAAAGGCTTTAGAACAGGTAACAAAGGAAAGAACATCTGGAAGAGATCCAAGTGGGTGCCTGAAGGTCCAAGAGAAGAAAAGGGCAGAGAAAAAGATCCTTTAATCTTGATCCTAGGACGTTATGGGCTCGCCTTTTTCTCCGCATGCCGGGTGCCCTCCTAGCCCTTGGGAACTGAGCACATGCAGTGTGTTTAGGGAGTCATACGCATGCCCATCTGAGGCTTTCTTCACTTTTCCGGTGGAATGTGCCCCTGGAAGATCATACTTTGCCATTTTTTCATTTTTGTCTCTTAACACGCATGCCCAGGAAGTTGCTTCTCCCTGGTGTCTTCATTCAATTAACTTTTTTTTTTCGAGACGGAGCCTTGCTTTGTCACCCAGGCTGGAGTGCAGGGGCGTAATCTTGGTTCACTGCAACCGCCGCCTCCGGAGTTCGAGCGATTCTCCTGCCTCAGCCTCCGGAGTAGCTGGGGTCACAGGAGTGCGCCGCCATGCCTGGCTAAGTTTTGTATTTTTAGTAGAGACGGGGTTTCACCATGTTGGCCAGGCTGGTCTTGAACTCCTGACCTCAGGTGATCCACCTACCTCGGCCTCCCAAAGTGCTAGGATTACAGGCGTGAGCCACTGCACCCAGCCTCAATTAACATTTTTAATGTTAACATGTGTGGACAATCAGGAGATTGTCTCTCCGTGGCTACTGAATTATCATTTTTAGAGAGGCAATGCGGTAATTGACGAACCATCACAGGACATTCCTAGTGGGTGGCAGGGACAGCCCTCTCCTGCCCTGCTTATTGCCTATCTAACTACCTGTAACAAAATCACTAACTAAGGAGAGGTCAGACTTACATATGTGCACATAGACCCAAGTTACAAAGATAGGCAGCATCTACTTGCTTTAGTCTGAACATATATACTCCTAAGGAAAGTGGCCTTGTGAGCTGTGTGTATTGACCAGCTCTATCATCCAGGTGCCTATGTATGTATGTAGCGTAACCTTGACCAAATGCATTTCTCTTTAGTACAATATTCAACAAAGAGAGCTGCCCAGCCACAAATACATATGCAAAAAAGGAAGAAGAAAACAAACAAACAAAAAAAAACAAACAAAAAAAGATTATCCCACTACTTAGTGAAAACAGTTGAAATTTTTTCTTGTTATATTATTTTCAAAGCAACCAGCCCCAAGTCAGGCTGTGCTCCAAAGTTATAGATTTCCTGGAATATTTTGTTAAATCAAATTCTTAATTCATTCCTATATGGTGCTCTGGATGACAAAGGAAATTCAGTTTGTGCTGTAAATCCCAGATATGGATAGGATGGCTTACAGTTATGGATAGGGTGGCTCACAAGAATATCAAAAGGTGAAAATGACAGAAGAAGAAATTAAAAAAAAATCCTGCAACTATAGTTAATATAGAAGCATCAGTGATTGACAGCAGCAAGTAGCCATTTCTGGTCTTTGAACAGCACCAAATACTGCTACATTCCTCAGGCAAAAGTTGATCCTTTTAGGACAATTACACTTTTTACTTTATATGTAATACATATATATATATATATATATATATTTAAAATATAAATATAATATGGTCTGAAAGTCAAATAAAGATGAATGACCCTTGAAAAAAAGAATTTTGGAGAGCAGTACAGAAGAACATTTTCAATTTACAAAATTAATTGCATTTAGATTTCTAATTAGACTTGCTTAACCACATTGGTAGCTAATTTTGCCCAATAAACTTGAATTTTACTTCACCTTAACATAGAAGAAACTGAGAAAAAGAGCCATTTACTCATATTTATTTGAGATGCCCGTGAGTCTTCATTTTTTCCTTAGACAATAATCTGAAGTTTATGCAAATGAATTAGTTAGAAAAGGAGAATTTGGTAAGCTTGTAACACAGATATATTACTAAAATAAATATAGCTCATGTAGCTCTCAGTTGATAATTAATCTTTTAGTAGTTGTAGGTAATGGAATTTGTTTGGTACAAAAGTGGTGACTAAACCCATTCATTTTTCCTATTTATTTCAAGTGACTTACAAGAATGCAATTAAACGTAGGCTTTCAAATTCATTCCCTTAATTGGTGATTTGATATTGTTAACTGTCCTTTGATGCAAAAGGAGAAGTTGGTAGTTTTTTTAATATACATTTTCTAAATTTTTTGAACATAAAGAACAGCATAATAAATTGTTTCCTTTATTAATAAGTGTTGATAACATCCTTCTACTCTTCATAATAGTGTCCATGCAGGAGATAGGTGAAAGGATGATAGGCGGGTGATAGGAGGAATTGAAGCAAGCAAGTCTAAACTGATATTCCAGAATCCATTTCCATGGTCATCATGGTAAGAGGTAGGGATTGGGAAAAGGCTTAAAATCAGTTGCTTTGAGGTGGCTGATGAGTGGAGCTAACTCATGAAACCAATTTGAAGAGTCATTCAGGCTTGATGAAATGGGAAGACTATTGCATTTGGAATCCAAAGACTCTGGTGCTGTTTTTGGATCTATCATCTATAAACCATGAAGATAATCAGAATATGCCACCCCAAAATATGCCATTTTAGCATAAGGATTATTTTGAGCTGAAGGCAATGTAGAAAAAAAAAAAGACACAGAAGTACCCTCTACCCTTCCCTTATCTGCCTGAAAGCAGGGCATAAATTTTCTTTGTGAATGTGTTTCCCTCTCTTGTATCAGAAAGGGAAGAATTTTTATCGGTAGAGATGGGAACAGTACCGAGATGAGACTGCATAAACAACATCTTACAGAGTAACCCTATCTTTCTTTACTTTCCCTCATATAATTACAATCCGATAATGTACCACCATGAGAGACCAAAACTTTTTTCCCTTGGTCTTTTCTTACAACGTTTTGCCTTTTGCTAGAATGGTATATAAGCCCCCAGGTTTGAATGCTTCTTTGGGTCTTCATTTCTTCCCTATATACTCCTCTGTGCATGTAAAAAAAAAAAAAAAAGCAAATAATATTTATATACCTTTTGATATAGTTTTGATATTTGTCACCTGGAGTCTCCCGTTGAACTATAACCCCCAATGATGGAGGTGGGTCTTGGTGTGAAGCGATTAGGTCATGGGGGCAGATCCTTCATGGCATGGTAGTGTCTTCATGATAGTGAATTATAGCGAGATCTGATTATTTAAAAGTGGGTGGTACCTCACCCCTCCTCCCTTGGTCCTGCCCTTGTCGTATGATACTCCAGTGCCTGCTTCTCCTTCCCTCGTGAGAAAAGCTCTCTGAGGCTTCCCTAGAAGCTGAACAGATGCCAGCACCATGCTTGTACAGCCTGCAAAACCATGAGCCAATTAAACTTCTTTTCTTTATAAATTACTCAGTGTCAGGTACTTCTTTGTAGTAACGCAATAACAGCCCAACACACCCTTTCTTCCATTGATTGGCAATTTTTCAGTTTAACTTGCATGTTGTATCTACTGATGCTAAGAGGGTTAAAAAAAAGTGTTTGTTTTTTTCTTCCATATACCATATTATCCGTGTCCCTGCAAAGAACATGATCTTATTCTTTTTATGACTGCTCAGACATGGATAGTTTGGTTCTCTTTAGGCACTATTTTCAGAATACAGCAAGTTGCCCTAAAATATGTGAATTTGTGTAGCTTCAGAAATTTACCTTAAAATACACCAAATCTAGATCTCCAGAAAGATTAAAAAAAACATCAATTTCTTAAAAGAAAATACCCACAATTAATTGCCTGTGATCCCATAGATCATTGAATTACATTTAATCCATATATTGTATTTCAATCTGATTGGTTAGAGATTAGTCTTATCTCTTTTCTAAATCCTTTAAAAAATTATAGAACTGGCCAGGTGTGGTGGCTTATGCCTGTAATCCCAGCACTTTGGGAGGCGAGGCAGGTGAATCACCTGAGGTCAGGAGTTTGAGACCAGCCTGACCAATATGGTGAAACCCCGTTTCTATTAAAAATACAAAAGTTAGCAGGGTGTGGTGGTGTGAGTCTGTAGTTCCAGCTACTTGGGAGTCTGAGACAGGTGAATTGTGAATTGCTTGAACCTGGGAGGCAGAAGTTGCAGTGAGCCAAGATGGTGCCATTGTACTCCAGCCTGGGCGACAAAGCAAGAATTCGTCTCAAAAAAAAAAAAATTGTATAAATTATTTGTCTTGTTGAACATCCTGAAACTTCGGGCCTTTTGACCAACATCTTGCTATTCTCTGCTCTCCATCTCCTCAAACCTCAGTTCCTGGCAACAACAATTCTATTCTCTGTTTCTTTGAGTTCAACTTTTTGAAATTCTACATATAAGTGAAATAATGTGATAGATATTTGTCTTTCTGTTTCTTGTTTATTGCACTTAACATAATGTCCTCCTGGTTCATCTTGCTGTTAAAAAGGACACTATTTTCTTCTTTTTAGAGGCTGAATAATATGCCATTGTACAGACATGCCACATTATGTTTATTTATTCACTAATTGATGGAATTTAGGTTGTTTTCATATCTTGCTATTGTGAATAATTGCAGCATTATTCATGATAGCAATAACGCAGATATCTCTCCATGATAGTGATTTTATTTCTCTGGACATGTACCAAGTGGGAATGTTGAATTGTATGGTAGTCCTATTTTTAATTTTTTGGGGGAACCTCTGTACCATTTTCCAAAATGGTTGTATAAATTTACATTCCCACTAAAAAGTGTACAAGGGTTCCCTTTTCTCCACATCTTTGCCAAAACTTATTATCTTGCATCTTTTTGATAATAGTCATTCAATCAGATGTGAGGGAATATCTTATTGTGGTTCTGATTAGCATTTTCCTGATGATTAGTGACGTTGAGCATATTTATATATATTTATTGGCCATTTGTATGTCTTATTTTGAGAAATATTTGTTCAGATCCTTTGCTTATTTTTAAAATTAAACTTAAAATTGAAAAGTAATAAAATTAATTAATCAAACTTGGCAAAATATCAATTCCCCTTCCCCCACGAAGGAAGAAAATATAAAAACCCTAGACTGCACCAGAGTCTGTTTTCTTGCTATTGATTTGAGTTCCTTCTATATTTTGGATATTAATGCCTTACCAGATAGATGGTTTACAAATATTTTCTCTCATTTTGTAGATTGTCTCTTCACCTTGTTGAAGGATTCCTATGCTGTGCTAAAGCCATTTATTTTGATGCAATCCCGTTTGTCTATTTTTGCTTTTTGTCATCTGTGCTACTGGGGTCATATCCAAACATCACTGCTCAGATCAATGTCGAGAATCTTTTTCTCTATGTTTTCTCTTAGTAGTTTTACAGTCTCTCACATTTAAATGGTTAGTCCCTTTTGAGTTTATTTTGGTACGTGATGTGAGGAAAGAGTCTAATTTTATTCTTTTGGAATTGGATATTCAGTTTTTCCATCACCATTTTTTGAAGAGACTTTTCTTTCCCCCATTGTGTATTTTTGACACTTTTGTCAAAGATCAAGTAATTGTAAAATGCATGGAATGCATTAGGGTTTTTTGTTGAAGAGTCATTTGTCTATGGAGAAGGGCTCTTTTATGATTTCATATACATTTTAGAATTACCTTATCTATTTCTGTGAAAAATATCATTTGAAATTTGCTAGTAATTGTGGTGAATCTAGATGGATTTGGGTATTAAGGATACTTTAACGATGTTAATTCATCCAATTTATGAGTATGGTATATCTTTCCATTTATTTTTGTCCCCTATAATTTCTTTATCAATGTTTTGTAGTTTCCACTGTAAAGATATTTCACTTACTTGGATAAAATTATTCCTAAATATTTTTAATGCTATCATAAATGGAACAGTTTTTCTGATTTTTTTTGAATGGTTAGTACTGATTTTTGTATGTTCATTTTCTATCTTGCAACTTTACTGAATTTGTTTGTTCTTTACAGTTTTTTGGTGGGGTCTAGGGTATTTTTTATTTCTTTTTGTAATTGATATTTTACTAACTTTAATTAACTTATTTACTGTATTACTTTTTAAACTTTTAAGTTCAGGGGTACATGTGCAGGTTCGTAACATAGGTAAACTTGTGTCATGGGAGTTGGTTATACATATTATTTTATCACCCGGGTATTAAACCTAGTACCTATTAGTTATTTTTCCTGATCTACCTCCTCCTCCTCCTCTCCACCTTTTGACAGGCCCTAATGTGTGTTGTTCCCCTCTATGTGTCTACATGTTCTTATAATTTAGCTCGCACTTATAAAGAGAACATTCAGTATTTGTTTTTTTGTTCCTGTGTTAGTTTGCTAAGAATAATGACCTTCAGCTCCATCCGTGTCCCTGCAAAGGACATGATCTCTTTCTTTTTCGTGGCTGCATAGTATTTCATGGTGTATATGCACCACATTTTCTTTATGCAGTCTATCATTGATGAACATTTAGGTTGATTCTATCTCTTTGTTATTGTGACTAGCACTGCAATGAACATATGTGTGCATGCCTGTGTCTTTATAATAGAATAATTTATATTCCTTGGGGAAAAACCCAAAGAGAATATAAAGTCATGGGAATGCTGGGTTAAATGTTAGTTCTAATTTAAGTTATCTGAGAAATCTCCAAACTGCTCTCCATGGTTGTAGAACTAATTTACATTCGAACCAAACATTTATAAGAGTTCCCTTTTCTCAAATGCTTCACCAGCATTTGTTGTTCATGCCATTTTAATTAAAGCCATTCGGACTAGTGTGAGATGGTATCTCATTTTTTAAAAAAATTATTTATTTATTTAGAAACAGAGTCTCTCTCTGTTGCCCAGGGTAAGAACAGTGGCACGATGATGACTCACTGCCGCCTTGACCGCCTGAACTCAGACAATCCTCCTGCCTCAGCCTCCCAAGTAGCTGGGACCACAGACATGTGCCATCACATCTGGCTGATTTTTCCTTTTCTTTCTTTCTGTTTTGTTTTTTTTTTTTTTTTTTTGGAGACAGAGTTTTTCCCTCATACCCCAGGCTAGAGTGCAATGGTGTGATCTTGGCTCACTGCAACCTCCACCTCCTGGGTTCAAGCAATTCTCCTGCCTCAGCCTCCTGAGTAGCTGGGATTACAGGAATGTGTCATCATGCCAGGCTAATTTTTGTATTTTCAGTAGAGACGGCATTCCACCATGCTGGCCAGGCTGGTCTCAATCTCCCGACCTCAAGTGATCCGCCCACCTCAGCCTCCTAAACTACTAGGATTACAGGCATGAGCCACCATATACGGCAATTTTCCTTTTTTTTTTAGTAGACATGGGTACGCTCTAAGTAGCCCAGGCTGGTCTCAAACTGCCGGAGTCAAGCAATCTTCCTGCTTCAGTCTCCCAAAGTGCTGAGATTACAGGCATGAACTACTATAACTAGCCTCATTGTGGCTTTAATTTGCATTTCCCTGATGATTAGTAATGCAGAGCATTTGTTTATATGCTTCTTGGTCATTAGTATGCCTTCTTTTGAGAAGTTTTTGTTCATATTGTTTTAATATTGTCATTTATTTTGTGCTCATTGAATTATTTAAGTTTCTTACATATTCTGGATATTAGACCTTTGTCAGATGCATAGTTTGCAAATATTTTATTTCAAACTATAGATTATATGTTTACTCTATTGGTAGATATTTTTGTTGTTGTACAGAAGCCCTTCAGTTTAATTAGGTCTGACTTGTCAATTTTTGTTTTTTTTTAAATTGCTTTTGAGGAATTAGTCATAAATTATTTCCCAAGACTAATGTCCAGAATAGTGTTTCCTAGGGGTTCTGCAGGGATTAGAATATTTTGAAGCTTTTTATTTAAATAATTAATCCATCATAAGTTAATTTTTGTATATGGTGGAAGGTAGGGATCCAGTTTCATTCTTCTACATATGACTAGCCAACTATCTGAGAACCATTTTTTAAATAAGAAACCCCTTTCTCACTGTTTATTTTTGGTGACTTCGTTGAACATCTGACGGCTAGAGGTATGTGGCTTTATTTCTGAGTTTTCTGTTCTGTTTCATTGTTCTGTGTCTACTTTTGTACCACTACCATGCTGTTATGGTTACTGTAGCCTTCGAGTATAGTTTGAAATCAGGTAATGTGATGGCTCTAGCTTTCTCCTTTTTGTATAGGATTGCTTCAATTATTTGGCATCTTCTTTAGTACCATGTGAATTTTAGCATCGTTTTTTATAATTGTTGAAAAATGACATTGCTAGTTCAGTAGGAATAGCATTGAATCTGAAGATTGTTTTGAGCAATATTAATTCCTTGTATCCATGAACATGGAGCGTTTTTCTATTTGCTAGTGTCATCTGTGATTTCTTTTAGCAGTATTTTGGAGCTCTCCTTGTAGAGAATTTTCACATCCTTTGAGTTTTTCTATTTGCTAGTGTCATCTGTGATTTCTTTTAGCAGTATTTTGGAGCTCTCCTTGTAGAGAATTTTCACATCCTTTGTTAGATATAGTCCTAGGTAATAATTTTTTGGCTATTGTAAATAAAATTGCATTCATGGCTTAGCTCTCAGTCTGAACGTTATTGGTGTATAGAAATTCTGCACATTTTTGTACATGGATTTTGTGTCCTAAAATTTGCTGAAGTCATTTATCAGTTGTAGGAGCCTTTTGGCAAAGTGTTTAGGGCTTTCTACGTAGAATTATATTATCGGTGAAAAGAGATAGTTTGACTTCTTCTATTCCTATTTTTATGCTTTTCATTTCATTATTTTGCCTGAATGATCTAGCTAGAATTTCCAGTATTATGTTAAATAGGAGTGGTGAGAGTGGGCGTCCTTGTCATGTTTCAGTTCTCAAGGATAATGCTTCCAGCTTTTTCTCATTCAGTATGATGTTGGCTGTGCGTTTGTCATAAATGGCTCTTATTATTTTGAGGTATGTTCCTTTGATGCCTAGATTGTTAAATTTTATCATGAAGGGATGTTGGATTTTATTTAAGAGTCTTTCTGTGTCTATGGAGATGATCATGTGGCTTTTGTTTTTAATGCTGTTTATGTGTAAATCACATATATTGATTTGTGTTTCTTAAATCAGCCTTGGATCCCAAGAATGAAGCCTACTTAATTGTGTTGTATTAACTTGTTGAGGTGCTGTCAGATTCAGTTTTCTACTATTTTATTGATTATATTAGCATCTATGTTTATCAGGGATATTATCTGTAGTTTTCTTTATTTGTTATGTCCTTGCCATATTTTGTTAACAGAGTGATTCTGGCTTCATAGAATGAGTTTGGGAGGAGTCCTCCATCTTTGATTTTTTGAAATAGTTTTTGAAGAATAGGTGCCAGCAGTTCTTTATTCATCCAGCATACTTCAGCTGTGAATCCATCTGGTTCAGGGCAATTTTTGGTTGACAGGTTTTCATTACTGATTCAATTTCAGAACTGAATATTGGTCTATTTATTACTTCAGTTTCTTCCTGGTTCAATCTTCAGAGGTTTTGTGTTTCCAGGTATTTATCCATTTCCTCTAGACTTTCTAATTTTTGTGCATGGAAGTAGTCAAAATAGTCTCTGAAGATCTTTTGTATTTCTGCCAGATCGGCTTTAATATCACCTTTGTTGTTTCTGATTGTTCTTATTTAGATCTTCTCTATTTTTTATTCACTAATTTATCTAGTAGTCTATCAATCTTTTTTATTCTTTCAAAAGCAAACTTTTAGTTTCATTGACTCTTCATATGGATTATTGAGTTTCGATTTTACCAAGTTTTGTTCTAATTATAGTTATTTCTTTTATTCTGCTAGCTTTGGGGTTATTTTGTTCTTATTTTTCTAGTTCCTCAAGGTGCAATGTTAGATTGTTAATTTGAAATCTTTCTGAATTTTTGAGGTAAACATTCAGTGCTATAAGCTTTCCTCTTAGTACTGCTTTTGCTGTATCCTAGAGGTTTTGCTATGTTATACCTCTACTCACATTTGTTTCAAATAATTGTTTAGTTTCTTTCTTAATTTTATTGATTATTCAAAATCATTCAGGACAAAGTTATTTCATTTCCATTTAATTGTGTTATTTTGAGAAATCCTGGCATTGATTTCTATCTGTTTTTATTCCACAGTGGTAAAAGAGTATAGTTGATATAATTTCAACTGTTTTTTAATTTGTTGAGACCTGCTTCATGGTTGAGAATGTGGTTGATCTTGGAGTATGCTCCATGTGCAGATTAGAAAAATGTATATCCTGCGGTTGACGGGTAAAGTATCCTGTAGATGTCTATTAGATCCAGAAAATGAAGGAGTAGATAAACATCTTAAAAAGAAACCCAGCAGAATTCTAGAACTGATAATTCACTTAAGAAATTAACAAATATATTTAAAAGCTTTATCAATAGACTTGAGCAAGCAGAAAAAATAATTTTAGATTTTGAAGACTGGTCTTTTGAATTAAGCCAGTCAGTCATAAATAAAGAACAAATAATTTTTACTATAATATACAACATTTTTGAGAAATAAGGGATTACGTAAGGCAACCAAACCTACAAATTATTGTCATTCCTGAATAAAGGAGTAAAAGTAAAGAAGCAAAAAACATATTGGAGGAAAAAATACAGAAAAATTTTTCTAATCTTGCTGGAGAGGTAGACATCCAGATACAAGAAATCCAGAAAACACCTGTGAGATATACTATACAAAACGGACATCACCAAGGCATATAGTCACCAGACTGTCAAAAGTTAATGCTAAAGCAAAGATATTTTCTTTTTTAAAGGTTAGAAAAGTTTTTAATGTATCCACTGTTAGTTCAGAACAGTATGGAGAGGAGAAAACCCCAAAACACTATAGTTAATACTGAATCTGTTGAGGCTTCAAGTTAGTTAAAGAGTCTCAATTTAATGGGAAGTTGCTGAAAATATTTGCTGTGGTTAGTTGTATCAAACCACAGCCAAGTTAGGGTCATTGTTACTATAAATCGTGACAAACAATCAAGAAATCACATCACATAGTCTAAATAAAACAAGATGATTATACCGATTTGAGAATGAATTGTTTCAGTTCATATTCTTGGCAAACAATTTCAAAAAACCTGTATGCATTGATAGATCACTTTGATTAGAGAATAAAATAAATATTTTAAAAATTTGAAGCATATATGGAAATATAATAATTTATGTTACAGTAACAGTTGCAAAATATTTTGAATATCATTCTTTCTTCATGAATGTCCAATGCTACATCTGGAAACTGAATGAGACAAGGAATAATGCTGCATTGTGTGGATATATTTTGCATATGGTTAAGACATTTGCGTCCCTGGACCAAGACTTCCAAGAGCCAGAATGATGCCCAGTAATGGTGACAACCGAAATCATCCCCTACATTCCAGAATCCTCCCTGGGGTCCCTATAGTTTTTTTGTGAACCATCTGTGTGTTCAATAATTAAAAGCAGATGCTTGGTTATTAGAATCAGATTTTGAATGTCTTAGCTGCAGGAGAGTTGGCCAAGCATTTATATTTTCTTCCTGGTCTATTAAGCCTCCTCCTTCAAGGAATGTACATTTCTGCAAAATTATTAATCCCCTCAATTTACAGATTTAGAGAGACAGTGACTTGCTTAAGATCACAAAGAAAGTAAGCGCACATACCAGGATTCAAATCCAGCCTGATTCCTGAATCCCTCACTATGAACATATTCCTGTGGGAGTAATACCATTGTTTCCAACTCCCAGATGCAAAGCAGAGGCATAGACACACAAAGTCACCATAGGGTCATGTTCATACTAGGAAAGAAAAACCGTTAAAGGCAGCTAGAGTAAAAAGGTCGATTGCTTACAAAGGAAATCCATTTGCCAATAGCAGACCTCTCAGCAGAAATTTTATAAGCCAGGAGAGATTGGGGGCCTATTTTCAGCCTTCTTAAAGTAAAGAAATTCCAACAAAGAATTTCACATCCCATCACACTAAGCTTCATAAGTGAAGGAGAATAAATTTTTTTTCCAGACAAGCAAGCTAAGGGAATTTGTTACCACTAGACCATACTTACAAGAGATCTTTAAGAGAGTTCTAAACATGGAAACAAAAGAACAATATCTGCTACCACAAAAAATACAAGTACAGAGCCCACAGACCCTACAATGCAGCATCACAAGAGAAACTACAAAGCAACCAGCTGACAACTCCATGATAGAATCAAACGCTTACTTATCAATATTAATCTTGAATATAAGTGATCTAAATCCCTCACTTAAAAGGTACAGTTTCAAGTTGTATATGTATAGAAAAAAGAAGACCCATCCATTTGTTGTCTTCAATAGCCTTATCTCACACATAATAAAGCTCATGGGCTTGAAATAGAGTTGGAGAAAGATGTGTCACACAAATGGGAACAAAAAGAACCAGGGTCACTATTCCTTTATCAGATAAAATAGATTTTAAAAAAACAAAAGTTTAAAAAAAATGACAAAGAAAGACATTACATAATAATAAATTGTTTAATTCAATAGGAAAACTTAACTATGTTAAATATATATGCCCCCAACATTGGAACACCCAGATTTAAAAAAAAACTACTTCTAGATCTTATAAAGTACATAGCCACATAGTAATAGTGGGGGACTTTAACACTGCACTGATAGTATTAGACAGAACATCAAGGCAAAAAAAAAAAAATAGAAATTCTGAACTTAATTTGACACTTGACCAATTGTACCTAATACCAGGATTTTCTAAATGTGAGATTACGTTATCTGAAAACTCAGACAGTTTTGCTTTTTTCTTTGAAGTATGTATACTTGTTATATTTTTTCTTGCCTAATTGCTCTGGCTAGGACTTGTGGTACTATTGAATTTCTATTAAAAATTGTGGTACTATTTTGAATAGAATTTGCAAGAGTAAGCATCCTTGCCTGGTTCTTGATCTTATAGAAATGACTTTCAGCTTTTCGCCACTGAGTATAATCTCACCCATGGGCTTGTTATATATGGCCTTTATTATGCGAAGGTACCTTCCTTCTATACCTAATTTTTTGAGTCTAAATCTCTTTAATAATAGTATAAAAGATAAGAAAATAGGTCAGATTATGGGTTTGAAATCTACCTCTGCCCTTTATATGATAGTTGTATGATTCTAAGTGAGTTTCTTAGCTCTCTATTCCTCAGAATTCTCATATAAAAATTGAGATCATAACGGAACAAACTCAGTATGGTTGTTATTTAAAATCAGTGAGTACTTGGCAATTAGTAGGTACTCAGCAACTTTACTATTTTTTTAACTTATTATATCAACCTATCTTTATTTCCAGCTCAGTGTAGGCTATTAATAAAGACATTAAAACTGGATGAAACTTCCATGAAGAAAAGTAATTTACTAAATGATTTATTCATTCTATAATTTTTAATTGATAGCCTAGTATATGGCAGACATGTTTTAGACAATGGGGCTAGAAAAAATTATAAATTTATAAAGCTTATATTCTAATGAGAATTCAAGCAATAAACACTTTTATATAAAAGAGATGGAAATACAGAGAGAGAGATTTTAAGTTCTATGGAGAATAATTAGGAAAAACAAGTTATAGAGTGAATGGGAGAGAGAGCAATTTGTGAAGAATATTTTCAATAAAGGTCTCATTGGGAGGACTCAGGAAAGACTTTAATGAGGTGATAAAGTTATGTTAACCATGTATATGTATCTGGAAATTAAAGAAGATCTTACAATCAAAGGAGTAATTATGCATTTAAATGTGCTGCAGTCTCTAAGTAAATCACCTCTGCTACTTTTTTGTAACTCTAGTTATAGAATATTTTCTTTTGTAAATTTTTCTACATAAGATTAAAACAATCAAGACAATTAAATGAACTGGGGAAAAGTCAAATCACCTGACAACCCAATCCAGGACAAAAGGGCAGATTGAGTCACTTCTACCCTCAATCATTCTCACTCAGCTACAGTCTATGAGAGAACACCCAAGGTATAGCAATTTATGCCAAGTTGTAATGTCACTATATAAATGAAATAAGCATCACCTAGTGTGTTCTAGGCCCTAAGAAAAACCCAAGAAAGCAATGAAGGCTTAACATGATATTTTCTAATTTAACATCTTATATGGGAACATCTTAAAATGGAAAAGAAACAACAACAGCAGAAGGTTCTTTTTTTTACCCAAATTTTGTTTTAGGTTGTAGGGGTAAGTGTGCAGGTTTATTCCATGGGTAAATTGCATGTCATGGGGGTTTGGTAAACAGATAACTTTGTCACCTAGGTAATCAGCATCATATCTAATAGGTAATTTTTCAATTCTCACCTCAGTGCAGTGTAGACCCCTGCTTTTGTGTCCATGTGTACTCAATGTTTAGCTCTCATTTATAAGTAAGAGCATGTGGTATTTGGTTCTCTGTTCTTCTGTTAATTCACTTAAAGGGATAATGTCCTCCATCTCAATCCAGGTTACTGCAAAGGTCATAATCTCTTTGTTTGAAAAAATAAACTTTTATTTTAGGTACACGGGTACATGTGCAGGTTTGTTATATACATAAACTCATGTCACAGGGGTTTGTTGTATTTTTTCTGCTCCTCTCTCTCCTTCTACTCTTCATCCACAGGTAGTCCCCATTGTCTGTTGTTCCCCTCTTTGTATCCATGTGTTTTCATCATTAAACTCTAACTTATAAGTGAGAACATGTGGTATTATTATTCTGTTCCTGTGTTAGATTGCTAAAGATAATGGCCTTCAGCTCTATTCATGTTCTTGCTCCTTTTCATGGTTGCATAGTATTTTGTGGTGTATATGTATCACATTTTCTTTACCCAGTCTTCCATTGATTGTTGGCATTTAGGTTGATTCTATGTCTTTGCTATTGTGAATAGTGCTGCAGTGAGCATACACATGCATGTGTCTTTATGATGGAACAATTTGTATTCTTTTAGGTATATACCCAGTAATGAAATTGCTGGGTCAAGTGGTAGCTCTGTTTTTAGTTCCTCAAGAAATCATCACACTACTTTCCACAATGGTTGATCTAATTTATACTCCTGCCGACAGTGTATAAATGATCCTTTTTTTCCCCACAACCATGACTGCACCTGTTATTTTTTGAGTTTTTATAATAGCCATTCTGACTGGTGTGAGATGGTATCTTATTGTGGGTTTGATTTGCATTTCTCTAATGATCAGTGCTGTTAAGCATATATATATATATATATATATACACACACACACATATATATATACACACACACATATATATATACACACACACGTCATATCATATATATTATATATATAAGGTCACATCATATATAATATATATTATATACTATATATATATATATAATATACATATATATATATATCCTTGTTGGCTGTGTGCATGTCTTCCTCAGAAAAGTGCCTGTTCATGTCCTTTGCCCACTTTTTAATAAGGTTGTTAGTTTAATAAGTTTTTTTTTTTTGTAAATTTGTTTAAGTTTCTTATAGATGCTGAATATTAGACCTTTGTCAATTAATAGTTTCAAATATTTTCTCTCATTCTGCAGGTTGTCTATTTACTCTGTTGATAGTTTCTTTTGCTGTGCAGAAACTCTTTAGTTTAGTCAGCTCTCATTTGTCAATTTTTGCTATTGTTGCAATTGCTTTTGGTGTTTTCATCATGAAATCTTTGCCCATTCCAATGTCCAGAATAGTATTGCCTCGGTTGTGTTCTGGGTGCTTACAGTTTTGAGCCTTACATTTAAGTTTTTAATTCATGTTGAATTGATTTTTGTATGTGGTGTAAGGAAAGGGTCCAGTTTCAATCTTCTACATATGGCTAGCCAGTTATCCCAGCACCCTTTATTGAATAAGGAGTCTTTTCCCAATTGCCTGTTTTTGTCAGCTTTGTTAAAAATCAGATGGCTGTAGGTGTTTGGCCTTATTTCTCAGCTATCTGTTCCATTGGTCTATGTGTCTGTTTTTGTACTAGTACCATGCTGTTGGGTTTCTGTAGCACTGTAGTGTAGTCTGAAGTGGAGTAACATGATGCCTCCACCTTTGTTCTTTTTGCTTAGGATTGCCTTGGCCCTTCAGGCTCACTTTTGGTTCCATATGAATTTGAAAATAGTTTTTTATATGTTTGTGAAGTATGACATTTGTCATTTGATAGGAATAGCATTGAATCTGTAAATTGCTTTGGGCAGCATGGCCATTTTAATGATATTAATTCTTCCTGTCTATGAGCTTGCAGTGTTTTTCCATTTGTTTGTGTCATCTCTGATTTCTTTGAGCAGTGTTTTGTAATTCTCATTGTACAAATTTTTTACCTACCTGGTCAACCATATTCTTAATTATTTTATTAATTTTGTGGCAGTTGTAAATGGGATTGTGTTTCTGATTCAGCTATTGGTTTCACTTCTGTTGGTGTATAGGAATACTAGTGATTTTTGTACAAAATGGTTCTGTATTCTGAGACTTTGGTTAAGTTTTTTTATCAGCTTAGGAACTTTTGAATAGAGACTATGGGGTTTTGTAGATATAGACTTATGTCATTTGCAAATAGGGATAGTTTGACTTCCTCTTTTCCTATTTGAATGTACTTTATTTTTTTCTCTTGCCTGATTGCTCTGGCCTGAACTTCCAATACTATGTTGAAGGGGAATGCTTTCAGGTTTTGCCCATTCTGTATGATGTTGGCTTTGGGTTTGCAATAGATGACTCTTATTATCTTGAGGTATTTCTTTCAATACCTAGTTTATTAAGAGTTTTTAACATAAATGTTGAATTTTATCAAAAGCCTTTTTTGAATCTATTGAGATAATCATGTGGTTTTTGTATTTCATTCTGTTTATGTGATGAATCACATTTATATTTGAGCCAACTTTACATCCTAGGAATGAATCCTGCTTAATTGTGGTGGATAGGTTTTTTGATGTACTTCTGGATTTAGTTGGCCAGTATTTTGTTGAGGACTTTTTACATCAATGTTCATCAGGGATATTTGGCCCAAAGTTTTCTTTTTTTGTTGCATCTCTGCCAGGTTTTGTTATCAGGATGACACTGACCTCATAGAATGAGTTAGATAAAATATTTTCCTCCTCAATTTTTTGAAATAGTTTCGGTAGCAATGGTACCAGCACTTATTTGTACATCTGGTAGAATTTGACTATGAATCTGTCTGTTCCTGGGCATTTTTTTTTTTTTTTGGTTGGCAGGCTATTACTGACTCAATTTGAGTTTCTTATTGGTCTGTTCAGGGGATCAATTTCTTACTGGTTCAGTCTGGGAAGGGTGTACGAGTCCAGGAATGCATCCATCTTTTATCCGTTTCTTTTAGGTTTTCTAGTTTGTGTACATGGATGTGTTCATTGTAGTCTCTGATTGTTATTTATATTTCTGTGGGGTAGTGGTGACATCCTCTTTGTCATTTATAATTGTTTTTATTTGGATCATCTCTCTTTCCTTCTTTATTAGACCAGCTAGTAGTCTATCTATCTGATTTATTTATTTTTTGGAAACAAACTGCTGGATTTGTTGATTTTTTGAATAATTTCATGTTTTGATCTCCTGCAGTTCAGCTTGGATTTTTGTTATTTTTGTCTTCTATTAGCTTTAGAGTTGGTTTGCTCTTGCTTCTCTCATTATTTTAGTTGTGATGTTAGGTTGTTAATTTGAGATCTTTCTGACCTTTCAATGTGGCCTTTTAGTGCTATAAATTTCCCTCTTAACACTGCCTTAGCTGTGTCCCAGAGATTCTGGCATATTTTGTATTTATTCTCATTAGTGTCAATGAACTTCTTGACTTCTGCTTTAATTTCATTATTTACCCAAAAGTCATTCAGGAGCAGTTTGTTTAATTTTTATGGCATTGCATGGTTTTGAGTGATTTTTAAACTCTTGATTTCTATTTTAACTCTGCTATGGTTTGAGAATTTGGTTTTTCTTCCTTTTTTGCATTTGCTAAGGATTTTTTTTATGTACAATTATATGGCTGATTTTAAAGTATGTCCCATGTGATGATGAGAAGAATGTATATTCTGTTTTAGGGTGAAGAGTTCTGTAGTGGTCTATAAGATCAGTTTGGTCCAATGTTGAATTCAGGTTTGATATCTTTGTTAATTTTCTGCCTTGATGACCTGTCTAATACTGTAAGTGGGGTGTTGAAGTTTCCCAGTACTATTGTATGGGAGTCAAGTCTGTTTGTAGGTCTCTAAGAACTTGCTTTATGATTCTGAATGCGCCTGTGTTGAGTGCATATACATTTAGGATAATGAAGTCTTCTTGTTGATTTTAACCCTTTACTATTATGTAATGTATTCTGTATGTAAACCCTTTGTCTTTTTTGATATGCTTTGGTTTAAAGTCTGCTTTGTGTAAAATTAGGACTGCAACTCCTGCTTCTTTGGATTTCCATTTGTTTGGTTGATTTTCCTCCATCTCTTTATTTTGAGCCTATAGGTGTCACTGAACATGAGATAAGTCTCTTGAAGACAGCATATCATTGGGTCTTTCTTTTTATCTAGATTACCACTTTGTGCCTTTTAATGGGAACATTTAGCCTGTTTACCCTAAAGGTTAGTATTGATATGTATGGATTTAATCCTGTCACTTTATTGTTAGCTGTTTATAATGCCAGAGTGTTTGTGTGGTTGCTTTATAGTGTCACTGGTCTGTGTACATAAGTGTGTTCTTATAATGGCTGGTAATGATCTTTCCATCTTTAGTCCTCCTTTCAAGAGCTCTTGTAAGGTGGGTCTGGTGGTAACGGATTCCTTCAGCATGTAGTTACCTGAAAAGGTTATTTCTCCTTCTACTAGGAAGTTTAGTTTGGCTAGATACGAAATTCTTGGTTGAAGATTTTTTCTTTAAGAATGTTGAATATAGGCCTCCAATCTTTTCTGGCATGTAGGGTTTCTGCTGGGAGGTCCACTGTTGGCCTGATGGGGTTCCCTTTATAGGTTACCTGCTCTTTCTCTTTAGCTGCCTTTAACATTCTTCCTTTCATTTCAGCCTTGAAAACTCTGATGACTATGTGTCTTGTAGATGATCTTCTTGTGTAGAATCTTGCAGGAGTTCTCTGTATTTCTGAATTTGATTATTGGCCTTTCTAGTGAGGTTGGGGAAATTTTTCATGAACAATATCCTGAAATATATCTCCCAAGTTGTTTGCTTACTCTCTGTCCCTTTCAGGGATGCCAGTGATTCATAGATTTGGCCTCTTCATATAATCCCACATTTTTCAAATATTTTCTTCATTTCTTTTTATTCTTTTTTCTTAATTTTTGTCATTGTCTTATTTCAGAGCCAGTTCAAGTTCTGAGATTATTTCCTCAGTTTGCTCTATTCTACTGCTAATACTTGTGATTGCATTGTAAAATTATTATGGTGTGTTTTTCATCTCTATCATATCAATTGGGTTCTTTTTTCATACTGGCTATTTTTTTCTGTATTGTTATATTGCAATTCCTAGTTTCCTTGGATTGAGTTTTGCCATTCTCCTGAATCTTCATGATTTTCTTTTCTATACATATTGTGAATTCTATTTCTGTCATTTCAGCCAGCTCAGCCTGGTTAAGAACTCTTGTCAGCAAACTAGTGCTATCACGTTGAAAATATAAGAAACTGGCCATTTGAATTGCTGCAGTTCTTGCATTGCTTCTTTCTCATCTCTGTGTGTTAGTGTTCCTTTAACTGTGATGTAGATTGAGTACAGTCAGTAGTCTTCTTTTCTAGATGTTTTCACAAGGCTGAGGCTTTGTGCAGGGTCTTCATTTGTAGCTGACTTCTAGTCTTTGGTTTCACAGGAAGGCATGTAAGTGAGGTATTTTGGTGTTGAAGCTTTGGGGTGTGATCTATTAGGAGGTGCTTAGGTGTAGTGGTCAGTTAGTAGGCTCTTGCTCAGTCATGTGAATCCCCTAATTTTTCTCAAATTTGCAGCTGTGCTCCTTCTCAATGCTCTCAAAGAGTGGCCTCCTCTCCCACTTGAGTGTTGGCTACAGACCATGGCTTGGCACTCCTGGATTGCTCATCACAGCTTTGGGATAATCTCCAGGTTTATGTTTCCCCCACAACTTGGAGGCAGCAGAGGAAGGAAACATAGCAGTACTTGTGGCCAAGGGTCTTTTACTTGTCTACTGGAGGTTCTACTCAAGAGAGGTGCAGGTCAGCAATTGCTCAGTATGATCACTCCTGGGATGGGGTATCTGTGCTGTGGGCCCAAGACAGTGGTTTGCTGCCTGCTGATGAGCAGAGGGGGTGAGTGAGACCTATGGGAGACAGCTTGGCCTCTTCTCCTTGGGTTGACTGCTGCTTACTGAAGATGTAAATGAGGCACTTAGGGTCTTTGCTCCTTTGTTAGTCCAAAGGTAGCAGGGGTAGTACCACTGCAACGGCAGTGGCAGAGTGAGTTTCAGTTGCCCCTTGGGGCTCCACCTTCAAGAAATGTGGAACAGCTGCTACGAGGAGTGTTCAGCCAGTGGGGTGGGGTTGCTGCACTGCTGGTGTGAGCTTGGAGCTCACCTTGTTGGGGAGGTGGGGTCAAAGGCTCACTGGGAGGACAGACTGGTTTTCTCTTTGGATGGTGACTGTGGCATGTTGTAAGCTTGGGCATAGCCCTCAAGCTCTTTGTTTTATCCCCAGGCCAAGAACAGCAGGGGATAGAATCACTGCTGATGTAGTGGCAGAGGAGTTGTCAGATGCCTCTGGGAGCCTCTCTCCAGGGAGACTCTGAGCCACTATCAATGGATATGCTCAGCAGTGGGTGGAGCAACTGTTCTGCAGTCATGGCTGGAGGCCCTGCCTGGTGAAGATTGAGGGGAAGGTATTCCCAGGAAAGAGGGGTTGGACTCTTCTCTGTGTGGTGACTGCAGTGTGCTGGAAGTGCCAGTATAGTGACTAGGCCCTTTGTCTTTCCATAGCTCAAGTGCCGTTAGGGCATGATATGGTTTGGCTCTGTGTTTCAACCCAAATTTCATGTCAAGTTGTAATCCCCATGTGTCAGGGGAGGGATGTGGTATGAGGTGATTGGATCATGGGGGCAGATTTCCCCCTTGCTGTTCTCATGATAGTGAGTGCGTTCTCACAAGACCTAGTTGTTTAAAAGTGTGTGGCACACTACACTCCCCACTCCCTCTCTCTCCTGCCACCATGTACAGAAGGTGCTTTCTCCCACTTCACCTTCCACAATGATTGTAAGTTTCCTGAGCCCTCCCAGCCATGCTTCCTGTTAAGCTTATGGAAGTGTGAGTCAACTAAACCTCTTTTCTTCATAAATTACTCAGTCTCAGGTAGTTCTTTTTAGCAGTGTTAGAATGAACTCATACAGAAAATTGGTACCAGAAGTGGAGTACTGCTACAAAGGTACCTGAAAATCTGGAAGCAACTTTGAAACTAGGTAATGGGCAGATGTAACAGTTTGGAGGGCTCAGAAGAAGACAGAAAGGTGGGAAACTTTGGAACTTCCTAGAGACTTGTTGAATGGTTTTTACCAAAATGCTGATAGTGATATAGATAATGAAGTCCAGGCTGAGGTGGTCTTAGATGGAGATGAGGAACTTATGAGGAATTGGAATAAAGGTTGCTCTTGCTATTCTGTAGCAAAGAGACTAGCAGAATTTTGCCCTTGCTGTAGAGATCTGTGGAACTTTAAATTTGAGAGTGATAATTTAGTGTATATTATGGAAGAAATTTCTAGCAGTAAAACATTCAAAAGGTGACCTGTATGTTTATAAAAGTATACACTCATATTCATGAAAGAAGAGGTGGTCTGAAGTTGGAACTTATATTTAAAAGGGAAGTAGAGTATAAAAGTTTAGAAAAGGCTGGGCACATTGCTCACACCTGTAATCCCAGCACTTTGGGAGGCCAAGGGGGGCAGAACACGAAGTCAAGAGATCAAGACCATCCTGGCCAACATGGTAAAACCCTGTCTCTACTGAAAATACAAAAAATTAGCTGGGCGTGGTGGCATGTACCTATAGTCCCAGCTACATAGGAGGCTGAGGCAGGAGAATTGCTTGAACCCGAGAGGCAGGGGTTGCAGTGAGCTGAGATTGCACCACTGCACTCCATCATGGCAACAGGGTGAGACTCCATCTCAAAAAAAAAAAAAAAAGTTTGGAAAATTTGTAGCCCAACCATGTGATACAAGGGAAAAACCATTTTCTGTGGAGAAATTCAAGCTGGCTGAAGAAATTTGCACAAGTAAAGAGAATCCAAATATTAAAGACAAGACAATGGGGAAAATGTCTCTAGGGCATGTCAGAGACCTTCATGGCAGTCCCTCCCATCACAGGCCTGGAGGTCTAGGAGAGAAAAATGGTTCTGAGGGCCAGGTCCAGGGCCCGGCTGCTCTGTGCAGCCTCAAGAGATGGTGCTGTGCATCCCAGCTGCTTCAGCTCCAACTGTGGCTTTAAAAGGGGCCAAGGTACAGCTCAAGCCATGGCTTCAGAGGGTGCAAGTCATAGCCTTGGCAACCTTCATATGGTGTTGTGCCTGCAGGTGCACAAAAGTCAAGAATTGAGGTTTGGGAACCTTTGCCTAGATTTCAGAGGATGTATGGAAATGCCTGGATGTCCAGGGAAAAGTCTGCTGCAGGGGTGCACCGCTCATGGAGAACATCTACTAGGACAGTGCAGAGGGGAAATGTGGGGTTGGAGACCCCACACAGAGTCTCCACTGAGGCTCCAGGAGTGTGTCACCACCTGCAGCTTGGCAAGCTGGACAGGAATGTGTTACAGAGCTGTGAGAAGAAGGCCACCATCCTCCAGATCCCAGAACTGTAGATTCACTGACAGGTTGCACTGGGCACCTTGAAAAGTGGCAGGCACTCAACACCAGCCTGTGAAAGTAGCTGTAGGGACTGTTTCCAGCAGAACCACAGAGACAGAGCTGTACAAGGCCTTAGGAGTCCACCTCTTGCATCAGCATGCCCTGAATATGAAACATGGAGCCAAAGAAGATTATTTTGGAACCTTAAGATTTAATGACTGCCTTGCTGGGTTTCAGACTTGCATGGGTGTGTGCACCCTTA
Source organism: Homo sapiens (assembly GCF_000001405.40). Taxonomy (NCBI): domain Eukaryota; kingdom Metazoa; phylum Chordata; class Mammalia; order Primates; family Hominidae; genus Homo; species Homo sapiens. The sequence goes on from NC_000016.10 coordinate 62,474,778, forward strand.
GTTTTGGCCAATTTCTTCCTTTTGCAATGGAAACATTTACCCAATGTCTGTATTCCCATTGTATCTTGGGAGTAACTAACTTGTTTTTGATTTTACAGACTCATAGGTGGAAGGCACTTGCCTTGTCTCAGATGAGACTTTGGACTTGAACTTTTGAGTTAATGTAGTAATCAGTTAAGACTTTGGGGTGTTCTGTGGCAAGGCATGATTGGCTTTAAAATGTGAGAATTACATGACATTTTGGAGGGGTCAAAGGCATACTGACATGGTTTGCCTCTGGGTCCCAACCCAAATCTCATATCAAATTATAATTCCCATGTGTCAGGGGAGAATCCTGGTGGGAAGTGATTGGATCACAGGGGCAGATTTCCCCTTTTCTGTTCTTGTGATAGTGAGTGTTTTCTCACAATATCTGATTGCTTAAAAGAGTGTGACCCTTCTCCCCTTTCTCTCTCTCTGTCTCCTGCCACCATGTGAAGAAGGTGCTTGCTTCTCCTTTGCTTTCTGCCATAATTGCAAGTTTCCTGAGACCTCCCAGTCATTCTTCCTGTTAAGCCTTCAGAACTGTGAGTAAATTAAGCCTCTTTTCTCCACACATTACCCAGTCTCAGGTCTTTGTAGCAGAGCAAGAATGGACTAATACAGGGTGGTACCATTGCAACGGCAGTGGCAAAAGGGTTGTGGGTTGACTCTTGGAACTCCTCCTCAGGGTAATGCTGGACTGATTCTTATTGAAGTAGTCAGGTAGGGACAGGGTGGTTGTGCTGAAGTCTCAAGTCAGGCAGCTATGCCCAGTGAGGAGGAGTGACTACCAGGACCTGTGTGGAGAATAGCCTGGCCACTTTTTCATGAGGTGAGTGCTCTCTGCTGGGAATCCTGAGCAGCCCTGGTCCTGCATACTTTCCAGAGCCTGGAGACAGCAACAGCATGGGCTGTGAGACAGCAAAGAGAGCATCCCACTCCTCCCACTAGGAGCTCTGTCCCAGGGAGTTGCAGAGCTGCTACTGGGTTGATAGCCACAGCAGGAGTTGGCTGGATACCAAGAGCAGGAGGACTCACTCAGTGAGGAGATAAGGGGACCCACATAACAAACAGTCTGGTCACTTTTCTATAGGGCTGCTGCAGTATGCTGGGTGCCTGCTCCAGTCCCTAGTTACCCCAGATTTGTCAGTACCTGAAGGCATCAACAGTGAAGACTGCTAAACAGCAAAAATGGCAACCTGATCCTCCCTCTTGGTGCTCTATTTAAGGGAGGTTTGAAACTTCTGCCTGCAGGAAAACACCGGCATGTGTGGCTGGTGACCCTAGTTGGGAAGTTTGGCCTAGTTATGAGGAGCAAGATCAGGGATCTGCATTAAAAAAGCAGTCTGGCCACTCTTTTATAGAGCAGCTGTGCTGTGTTGGGTGTCCAATCCAGCCCCAGGTCTCTTTGCACTCTCCAAAGACTGATGGCAACAAAGGCTAAGGCTGTGAAACAGCAAAGATGGTGGCCCGTGAGCTCTGTCCCAGGGAGATTTGAAACTGCTGCCAGCTGGAAAACACCAGTGGGCGTGGTTATAGACCTGGGTCAGGAGGTTCCACCCAGCGAAGAGAAATAGGATCTGGGACCAGCATGAGAAAGCAGTCTGGTTGCTTCTTTGTAGAGCTGCTGGGCTGTGCCAGGGGATCACTTCACTCCCTAGTAACTTCAGACTCCCTAGAGTCCAAAGGCAACAATCGCTAAGGCTGTGAAACAGCAAAGATGGCAGCCTGCCCCTCCCTCTAGAAGCTCCATTCCAGGGAGATGTAATGCTGCTACTCGTAGCTGGCTGGATTTCCAAGCCAGTGGGACTTATTCTGCAAGGTACCATGGAAGCAGGGCCTGCAGACTATCCCTTCTAAGCCCCCTGGATTCCTTTTCTTAGGGGTACGTATACAGGTCTAACCTCCTGCTTTGCCAAAGTTGCAGCTGCTTTTGCCAGGAAGCCCAGGTATCTAAAGCTCCTGGGGCTCCACATGTGCCTGAGTGGGTGCTCTGCCAAGACTCCACATAGCTCTCTGCATGTCAGACTGCAGGCCCTGGTGGGGTGAATTCACAGGGAAATTTTCTGACCAGAGAGTTTCAAAGATTTGTGGGAGAAGTGTGAGTCCTAGGGTTGCTCACTCACTCACCACTTCCCTGGGCAGGAGAGGCTCCCCTAGCTCCGTGTCACTCCTGAGTGGGTGGTCATTCTGCCTTGCTTTTCTTCATGCTGTGTGGGTTGAACTGTTTTTTTGATGAATCCCAATGTGCATACCTGGATGTTTCAGTTGAAGGTGCTGTATATACTTGCCCCCTCTATTTCTCTCTGTGAGAGTGGGTACAGTATCTGCTTCTAGCTGACTATCTTTGTCGATTCCCAATCTCATTCTTTTTTATGGCTGCATAGTATTTCTTTTCTTTTCCTTTTTTTGAGACAGAGTTTTGCTCTTGTTGTCCAGGCTGGAGTGCAATGGTGCCACCTTGGCTCACTGCAACCTCTGCCTCCTGGGTTCAAGCGATTCTCCTGCCTCATCCTCCTGAGCAGCTGGGATTACAGGTGACCGCCAACACACCCAACTATTTTTTTGTATTTTTAGTAGAAACAGGGTTTCACCATGTTAGCCAGGCTGGTCTTGAAATTCTGACCTAAGGTGATCTGCCTGCCTTGGCCTCCCAAAGTTCTGAGATTACAGGCATCAGCTACCATGCCCAGCCCAGCTGCATAGTATTTCATGGTGTATATATACCACATTTTCTTTAACCAGTCCACCATTGATAGGCATCTAGGTTGATTCCAATGGGACTGGCTGACCATCTGGAGTGGCTGCAGCCATGATGCCAGCTGCAGCAGGGGAGGTGTGTCCAGGGCTATACACTCTGTGGAGCTGATGGGGGCTAGAAACAGGTAATCCCAGTGGGAGCCCCACCCCCTACTGAGTTGGGTGGGGCAGGAGCCTACGCTCCTGACTGCAGCTGCAGCTGCCCAGCTGGGGCTCCAGATCCAGGCATCCCTGTGCTCTCAGGGGATCAGGAAGCCCTGCAGGCTTGTAAGTGCCTGCTCCTGCTCCCTGGACTCTCCCTGCTCCCAGTGCCAGCTCTGGTGTGGAGCAAAGTTGTGGCTGAGCCCAGGTGCTGTTGTGATTTGGCCGGGTGTGTGCATGTTCAAGGTAGTGCTGATATGCCAGCCCCCTGCCTCCTTGGCCCCCTCTAGACTTTGGGCACTGACAAGTGCAGAAGGAGGCCCTGGGGCTGAGGGTGGCTTTGCGTGAACATGCAGGTGCCCCATGGCACAGATATAGTCTGGGCACCATGGATGGCATGTTGACGGTGGTGGGAGACAGACAGGTCCCTAGGCAAGAAGGGGTGAGTTCCTGGTGAAACCACACCTTCAAGCCAGAGACAGCCTGAAGCCTTTGGGGCTGGGCTGTCACTTCTGTGTGGAGTCTGCAACCTGGAGTAAGAACTTCATTGATGCCTTTTGGCCAGTGGTATGGTGCTTTTTTCAGGCCTGCCGATGGATGCCCATGGACCAATCAGCATGCGCTTCCTCCCTTCTGAGCCCATAAAAACCCCTGACTCAGTCAGATTTAGACACTTGCCTGCAGATAGTAACTACCAACTTCAGGTCTCCTGAGAGCCATTTTGTCACTCAGTAAAGCACCTCTCCACCTTGCTCACCCTGCAGTTGTCCACATAACCTCATTCTTCCTCAACGTGGGACAAGAACTTTGGATCCACCAAATGGCGGGAGTCAAAGGAGCTGTAACATATTCCTGGCCAGCTTGCCAACCTGCAGGTGGTGACACACTCCACAGTGGGAGCAAAGAGTGTCAACCCTGCTGGGGCACCAGACCTTGGGATTTCCCAAGCCAGAGATGCTCTAACACCATAGCCCTCCTGCCCTTTTCCAGCGCTAGGCAGCTGCCCCATGTGACAGGAGCAGTGGTATGGCTGGGCCAACCCAGGAGCTGCAGGCTGGAGCAGGGTGGTGGGACTGAAGGAGCTTAACACAAATGGGCTGAAACATGACCCCCCGAAACACTCCCCAACCTCTCACAGCACTGTGGGCAATGAGAAGGAGAGAAGAGCTGTGGCCCTTCTGGGAGCCTAGACCTTGGGACTCCCCAAGATACACTCTAACACCCTCTTTGGGATTATGCAGTTCTTGGCATCTCTGTACTTTTGGGTGTCACTGCGTTCACCTCATCTAGATGCTGGTGGCCACAGCGAAAGCCACTTGAGTTATGTCTGGTCCAGCCACAGCCTTGCATGAAGCTGGCACCTGTGTCAGCATCTGGAGCTGCCTGCCCTGCCACAGCAGCCGGTGTGCCTCACTGTGTGCTGTGGCCAGACCCCATGCTCGCTCACTCACACACTCCTTGCCACTCCACACCTGGCTTGCATTGGCAGGCATAAGCTTGGGGCTGATAGTGTAAGCCAAAGGCAGCCTGCTGGACTCAGTGAGTGGAATGATCCCAGTGGGTGTGAGCAAAACTCAAGCAGAGGTGCTGCTGGCCACAGAGGTTTCTGGCTGGCAAAGCCACAAGCTAAGTGTCCTGTGACATTTGGAGGGGCTCGTCGGGGATCTGCAGAAGGGTGAGTTAAAGCAGACTTGCCACTCTCTGTCCTTTTTTCGGAGTCCCTAAACTCCACAATAGTCAAAATGAAAGAAAAACACAGGGCCTCTGTCGGCCTGTTAAAAGAACTATCTCAGCTGCTGAACTTAAGACACCGAGAATAAGCTTGCTGGGGAGGAAACTGGCAATCCTCCATCACCCTTGGGTGTTGGAAATGTTGGCTTTGTTCCAATCCAGTTGGTACTTGGACCTCCAGTCCTTCCCGTTGCACTTTCTTTCTGTCTTTCAAGACTGTGGTGGTGTTATCCTGTCTTTACATACAATGTTAAGGATGTTGTTGCAAAGCACAGAGACAATATTATACCGTAATGGGCTTTTGGGGACTGGAGCCAGTCTAGGAGCCTTCACGCAATGCCAAGGTGTGGCCTCAGCCAGATGCCTTCAGTTACCCCAGGACCTTACTCCAATCCTGTGCAACAGCTAGATCTCCATGAAAGGAAACTGGATTGGAACAAAGCCAATATTTCCATTTCCATGCCTTCTTAAAATATTTTACCAAAAACACATTTTACTTTCCTTACACGCCTTGCAAGTACACTTATTTTCAGTTATCTCAATTACATGTTATAATGGTAACTATTAGCAATGTTTAATTTTGGTGTAAACCCTGGTAAGTTATTTTAATTATGTACTAGAAGCAGATAAGGTCTCACTTTTTCCAGCGTAGTTAAGATTGTGGTTAACTCCATATATCCCCAAGACTTACCAAACTGTAAAGTGTGTGTGTCAAACAATTTTCAAAAGCCAAAGAAGCAGTTTATGACCTTAAAGCATTTAGCCAGCCTAATACTTGACCTGCATAATTTATAAGAAGGCATGGGATGTAAATTTTTACCTTGTTTAGAGGGTTAAATAATTGTTTTAAATTAGTTAAGATAAAGCTAAAGGTTTAAATAAGTTGTGGAAGGTTTATAGAAATTAATCTTGTAAAAGAAATTCTATATATGCACTTACTGACTAAATTCAAAAGGGTATTATTTGGTTTTTCCATAAATTGAACATGGAAATAAAAGCACAACAGAGTTTTCTTAAGTCACTGATCTTCTATTTAACAAAAATTTGTAAAGGGCTATAAAAGTGTTATAAGAATCTCACCTCATGGTCAAACTGATTAAGGTTGGATAGATTTTTCTGTAAGGTTTTATTAAAAATTGGGGTTGATATTAATAGCAGACTAATGCAACGTTGAAATTTTGCTTTCTGTCTTCTTGAATAAGGTTTTCATGTCATAGTAAAGGATAATGAAAGATTTTTGTTTGCCTTTTGAATAAGCTACTGAAAAAAGAAGCAAAAGACAGGTTGTTTGGAAAGTTAAGTCTTCCCTCTTAATGAGTTAAGGTTTTTGATTTTTAAAAAAAAAAAATCGAGTCATCAGTTTGGCTAAATAAATAACTTATGGTAATCTGGAATTATTTTCCATAATATCTAGTGTTTTAAACCTTTAACATATTTGATAGGCTTTCCAAAATCAAATTGCAGCTAAAAATTGTCTTTTCTGACCCCTAACTTTAGGATGCTACAGAGGGCCCCCAAAGCATCCAAAAGAAAGGGAAACAAGATTATTTGGCATGTTAAGTTACATAGGATTGTCAAAATAAAAATAATACCAAAATTTGTATCAATATTTTAGTTCTGAGCAATTATCCTGCAAATCCTGCCAGGTAATGGGGGTAAACATGGTGCCAATAACCCAGAGGTTCCTTATTTGGAAAAAAAAAAAAAGATCAAGGGAGCTAACCAAAGCCAAGCCCCATGCATCCAAGTCTTAGCAGGCATAACTATAGCCACCAGTTATCTGGGTGTGTAAGCAGCCTCAGGATTTTTAAGCTGTCTTTACCCCTTTGTTTTGTTTTGATACATGTCTTTTAAGAACTCGCTGTCTTCTCTTCTTGCCTTCAGGCCATCAAACTCCAAATGGTATTGCAAACAGAGCCTTGGACAATGGCTCCCTTTTCATGGAGACCCTTGACAGGCCTCTGAGAGAGATCTGACTGTCTTTTTCCCAAAACAGCGTGCCCCCTGTCAACATGAGGCAGTTAAGAGCAGTCATCGTCGCTATCTTAATGGCAGTTAGATGTATCTCTTCTGAGGGGTGATTGATGGCAGCGGTGGTTCATGGTGGCACCTGGAAGCTGCCCACTCTGCCACAGCAGCCAGAGTTCTTGGCTGTGCACAGTGGCCAGGCCCCATGCTCACTCACTCTCACATCCCTTGCCATTCCATGCTTGGCTTTTCCTTGGCAAGTGTGGGATTGGGACTAGTAGAAAAAGCCAAATGCAACCTGCTGGGCTGAGTGGGTGGAAGCAAAATTCAAGCAGAGGTGCCACCAGCCACAGAGGTTTCCAGCTGGCAAAGGGACATCCTAAGGATCCCATATCAATTTCATGCCTTTGCTGTTGTGATAATGCTGTAATAAATATACACATGCATGTATCTTTATGGTCAAACGATGTATATTCCTTTGGGTATATTCTTAGTAATGGGATTGCTGTGTCAAATGGTAGTTCTATTTTAAGTTCTTTGAGAAATCTCCAGACTGCTTTCCGCAGCAGCAGAACTAATTTACATTCTTGCCAACTGTGTATAAGCATTACTTTTTCTCTTCAACCTCACCAGCCTCTGTTATTTTTACTTTTTCACAATAGCCATTCTGACTGGTGTGAGATGGTATCTTGCTGTGGTTTTGATTTGAATTTCCCTCATGATTAGTGATATTGAGCATTTTTTATATGTTTGTTGGCCTCATGTATGTCTCCTTTTGAGAAGTGTCTCTTCATGTTCTTTATCCAGTTTATTAATGGGGTTGTTATTTCTTCTTGAGGTCCTTACATATTCTGGCTATTCAGCTTTTGCTGGATGCATAGTTTGCAAATATTTTCTCTCATTCTGTAGGTTGTCTGTTTACTCTGTTGATAGTTTCTTTTGTTGTCCAGAAACTCTTTAGTTTAATTGGGGTTAATCTGTTATTTTTTTGTTTTGTGGCAATTGCTTTTGGAGTCTTCATCATGAAGACTTTGCCAGGACCGATGTCCAGAATGGTATTTCCCAGGTTTTTTTCTAGTGTTTTTTCTAGTTTTGGGTTTTACATAAATCTTTTATCCATCTTAAGTTGATTTTAGCATACGTTGAAAGGCAGAGGTCCAGTTTCAATCTTCTGTATATGGCTAGCCAGTTATCCCAGCACCATTTATTGAAAAGGAAGTTCTTTCCTTATTGTTTGTTATTTCCAGCTTTCTCAAACAACAGATTGTTGTAGATCTGCAGGTTTATTTCTGGGTTATCTAACCTGTTCCATTGGTATATGTTTCTGTTTTTGTACCAATACCATGCTGTTTTAGTTACTTTTCCCTTGTAGTATTGTTTGAAGTTGGGTAGTGTAATGCTCTAGCTTTGTTCTTTTTGCTTAGGATCGCTTTGGCTATTAGGGCTCTTTTTGGTTTCAAATAAATTTTAGAATTTTTTTTTCGATTCTATGAAAAATGTCATTGGTCATAGGAATATCAAACATTTGGTTTGGTTGGTGGTTTGCAATGAATCTATAAATTGCTTTGGGCACTATGGCCATTTTAATAATATTGATGCTTCCTATTCATGAGCATGGAATGTATTTCCACTTGTTTGTGTTATCTCTGATTTTTTTTTCAGCAGTGTTTTGTAATTTTTGTTGTAGGGGTCTTTCACCTCCATAGTTAGTTGTATTTCTCTGTATTTTATTTGTTTTGTGGCTATTGTGAACAGGATTGCATTCTTGATTTGGCTCTCAGCTAGGACATTCTTGGTGTTTTCCTAGATATAGAATTATACTGTCTGTGAAGAGAGATAGTTTGACCTTCTCTCTTCCTATTTGGATGCTTTTTATTTCTTTCTCTTGCCTGATGGCTCTTGCTAGGACTTTCAGGACTATGTTGCATAGAAGGATTGAGAGTGGGCATGCTTGCTTTGTTCCCGTTTTCAAGGGGAATGCTTCCAGCTTTTGCTCATTCAGTATGATGTTGGCTGTGGATTTGTCATAGATGGCTTTTATTATTTTGAGGTACGTACCTTTGATGCCTAGTTTTTTGAGGATTTTTAACATGAAACATTATTGAATTTTATCAAAGCCTTTCTGCATGTATTGAGATAGTCATGTGGTTTTTGTCTTTAGTTCTGTTTATGTGATGAATCACATTTATTGATTTACATATGTTGAACCAATCTTGTGTTCCAGAAATAAAAGCTACTTGAGCAAGGTAGACTAGCTTTTTGATATGCTGCTGGATTTGATTTGCCATTATTTTGTTGATGATTTTTGCATTTATGTTCATCAGGAATATTGGCCTGAAGTTTTTTGTTGTTGTTGTTTTTTCTTGAACAACACTAGGTTCTATGTATTCTCTGTCCAGTCATTAGGTAGAGATATTCCATGCTGGATACTCCATAATATTCTTTGACATTATTCTCTTATGATTTTCCTCAAGTCTGAAAATTTAAAAACAAAAATCTCCCTAAGCTAACCAAATCCTGAAAACCCTGGGCTGGTACCCATTTCCTAAATAATACAGTCAAGTATCAAATGTTCTCATTTTGACTGCTTCCCACATACCTGTATTGACCAAATTCTGCTTCACACATTCTGCATAAAAACTCTGAGCACACTGTGCATTTTTTTGCTTCCGTATTCACAAACTCTTTTCCATTTTTGTCCTTTTCTCTTTATTTTCTATTTCTTATCCTTCAAGATTCAACTAAAATGTCATCTCTTCTAGGAAAACTTCCATAACTTTTTCCCCTAAGCTGGTGAAATTTATTCACCCTGGTTCTGAGTAAATTTCACTGCTATTTTTTTCATTTTATTTGATATTGTTACAAAGTTTCCTGTTCATGCATGAGTCTCACTAAAGAAAAAAATAAAACTTTTTCATACATATTCTTTGTATCACTTTACTTCTGACATCAAAGTGTGATAGACTCCCACACTAACCAATTCTCCAAATTTCAATGGACACCAAGTGAGTGTCCTACAATTTAACTAAATTCTGACACTACATGTTGAGTCAGTGCAGATCCTGTAAGTTAAAGTCTCAGTCCCATAAGACTGCCCCCCTCCTACTTCAGATGTCAATCACAAGTCCCAGGTTGTCAACTATACTTTTGACCAAATTGCTACAAATTGGCAATTCTAGTAATTCCCCTTCTCCAGGTTCCGTAACTTGCTATAATGGCTCATACATCTCAGGGAAACATTTTTCTGGCTTATAATAAAGGATATTACAAAGCCTACAAAGACATAGCCAGATAAAGGGGGACATAAAGTAAGGTCCAGAAGAGCCCCAAGCACAATAGCTTCTGTCCCTATGAAACTGGGTTGTGCAGCCTCCTAGCACACGGATGTGTTCACCAAGCTGGAAGATCTCTGGATCCCATTATAGTTTAGGGATTTTTATGGAGGTTTCATCATCTAGGCACCACAGATTTTCAACTCAATATTCAGCCCCCTTCCCTCCCTGGAAAGGGCAGTGGCAGTTGAGGCCAAAAGTTCCAATCTGAACATGGCTTGAACCTTCTGGTAACTAGCTCCCATCCTGAAGCTATCCAGGAACTCACCAAGAGTTGTGTCACTAGAACAAAACATCCTCCTTATTACCCAAGAAATTCTAAGGAATGTAAGACCTCCATGTCAGTAACAGGGGCAGAGACCAAATATATATTTATTATGCCACATTCACCTAGCAATCTTAAAGCTCTATGAGAGCAAAGCCCATGTCTTAATTACTGAACAGCTGTTATAATAGATGTTAGTGTTGTAAAAATATGTGTCTGTTGAATAGCAGGATTCATAAACGAGTCATCCTTCCTCAATAATCCTACATTTTCACGCTACAAAGAGGCTAATAGCCTTTACTCAAAACTTCTCCCAATGAATAGTAATAGGATCACAGGTACTTCTGAAGAAAAAAATACATTCTGTAGCTATAATACTGCTTATCACATAGCAAATTTAATCATACATAAAAAATACATTATCAATAACTACTGCCTAACGAGGGAAAGCAGTTCTAAATAGTGTCTTCATATAAAACTCTTACAAATTGATTGAATTCACTATTGATCATTCTTTGGAAATTCTCTCTTGAAGTTATTTAGGAGTCAGAGGTAATACATGCTGAGAATATAATTAGGATTAATACAGAGAGAAAGACATGATTAACAGACCATCACCTCATAGATGCAGCTGGAGGCCATTATCCTGAGTGAATTAATGCAGGAACAGAAAACCAAATACTGCATATTCTCTCTTATAAGTGGGAGCTAAACATTGAGTGCTGATACAGACATAAAGATGACAACAATAGACCTCGGGGGCTACTAGAAGAAGGAGACAGGGAAGAGGGCAAAGGTTGAAAAACTAACTGTTGGGTACTATGCTCAGTACCTGGGTAATAGAATCAATTGCACATCAAACCTCAGCATCGTACAGTATACCCACAAACAAACCTGCACAAGCACCTTCTGAATCTAAAATATAAATAGAAATTATAAACAAACAAACAAACCATTTAAAAATGTTTAAGTGGGCATCAGACGATTAGGATGCAAGGTTACAGTAAAAACCTTAAATAACTGAATACTGGCTGGGTGCAGTGGCTCACACCTGTAATCCCAGCACTTTGGGAGGCTGAGGCAGGCGGATCATGAGGTCAGGAGATCGAGACCATCCTGGCCAACATGGTGAAACCCTGTCTCTACCAAAAATACACTAATTAGCTGGACGTGGTGGTGTGTGCCTGTAGTCCCAGCTACTCAGAAGGCTGAGGCAGCAGAATTGCTTGAACCAGGGAGGCAGAGGTTGCAGTGAGCCGAGATCACACCACTGCACTCCAGCCTAGCAACAGAGCAAGACTCTCTCTACATATGAATACATTCGTGCTTTATCCTTATAATTGCCTAGATTATAAATAGTTAACCCCTTCCCCCAAAATAAATAAGTAGCTTTTAAAATGGGGAAATTTTAAATATTCCAAATGTAGCATGTAAAAACAAAACACATAGGAGTTTAGATTTTGATGAATAAATAATACTGTTAGAAATTAAAACGTGTAATGCACTAAAAATATTTTAAAACATTGCATGTAATCTGTACTGTTATTTGACTAGCTAATCCATACAAAAAATTTTTTTTTATAAAACTACACTGGTATGCTTTCAGAGAACCTAAACAGTTGCCTGGAAATACTGATTTTAGATTTTACTGTGCCTACATTTTTTTGTATACACGATTATATGACATTTGACTGAGAATATTGAAAACATATTCTAAGAAGTTACATCTATCTCTTTTAGAGTAAATTTGATAAATATCTCTTCAAAAAAGCATCATTTAATGGTACCAAACATGGAAAATTTATACTTGTAGTATATTCAGTGTTTATTTCTCTCTCTCTCTCTCTCTCTCTCTCTCTATATATATATATATATATATATATATGCATTTACTCTTCATCAAAAATCCATGAAATAATTATTTTTATCCTGTTTTTATGAAGAAAGGAAAAGAAACAAACTCAAATTGGTTGAAACTTGAAAAAAAGGGATTCAGGTCTAGGACTTTCCTTCACTCACTTTCTTTTTCGCTTTAACTTATTATCTGATCTTGTAAAAGGATAAGGTAGCACGCTCTCTTTATCTGCCATTCTCTCCGTTTCCTTCCTGCCATCCCTCCATGATATGTTATTTCTGCATATATACCCTAGTCTCTTATTTGGAGAACCTATCCCAATGTGAGGTGCTTTATTTTCTCTTCTCCATAACAATTTATGGAATATGTCTTGGTACTATATTGCTGACTCTGGTCCTAACTCTCTGATATTTAAATTTTCACCACCTATCAATAATTAATAACCTCCCAAAAAGGAAAATACTAGGCCCATATGGTTGTACTAATATGAATTTTACCAAACACACAAGAAAGAAATAATGTCAATTCTCTATCATTGTTCCAGAAAACAGAAGCAGAGTGGACACTTCCTAACTCATTTTATGTAGCCAAGATTATCCTAATATCAAAACCAGATAAAGGCATTATAAGAAAGAAACATTACTGACCAATATCTCTCATGAACATAAAACAAATCTCCTCATATTGACAAATCAAATCCACGTATTTATAAATAGATAATTATATAATTATAATTTATAATTATATACCACAATCAAATGGGATTTATTTCACATATGTAAGACTAGTTCAAAATTCAAAAGTCAGTCAATGTAATCCGCCGCATTTACAGGCTAAAGAAGAAAATCATACAGTTGTATTAATTGATGCAGAAGACACATTTCACAAAATGTGACACCCACCTATGATAAAAACTCTCAGCAAATAAGGAATAGAAAAGAATTTGTTCAATTGATAAGAACATCTAAACAAAACTCTACAGTTAACATCATACTCAATGATGAGATACTGGATATTTCTGCCTGAGACTGGAAAGTAAGAAAACAATGACTAAATAGTCCATTAAAAAAAAAAGGTATGTAAATAAAATGAAGAGGTAAAACTGTCTCTTTAGCAAAATGGCATAATTATCTGTGTAGAACACAGCGGTGGATCTACAAGAACAACAACAGCAAAATCCTGAAACTAATGAGTGAAGATAGTAAGGTCAAAAAATATATGGTCAATATACAATAGTTAATTCCTCTTTTGCATGGCATGAATTGATCATTATAATTTGAAATTTAGAATAAAAATAATAATAACATTTAAAATTGTACCACAAATTTGAAATAGGTATAAATATAACAAAATATGACCAATACTAACATTTTGAAAACTACAAAACTCTGAAGAAATAAATAAAATGAGAGCAAAATAAAGAGACAGATATTCTGTATTCCAGGATTGGATGACTAGATATTTTTAAGGTATCAGTTTTTCTCAACTTTATAGAGTCCATGTAATCCTAAGCAAAATCCTGAAAAGTAAATTGTAGATAAACTAATTCTAACATTTATATGGAAAGGCAAAAAACCAAGAATATCCAGCACAATACTGAAGGAGAACAAAATTAGAATACACACCCAATTTCTTTTTTATTTCTTTTTTATTTTTTTATTTTATTATTATTATATTTTAAGTTTTAGGGTACATGTGCACAATGTGCAGGTTAGTTACATATGTATACATGTGCCATGCTGGTGTGCTGCACCCATTAACTCGTCATTTAGCATTAGGTATATCTCCTACTGCTATCCCTCCCCCCTCCCCCCACCCCAAAACGGTCCCCAGAGTGTGATGTTCCCCTTCCTGTATCCATGTGTTCTCATGGTTCAATTCCCACCTATGAGTGAGAATATGCGGTGTTTGGTTTTTTGTTCTTGCGATAGTTTACTGAGAATGATGATTTGCAATTTCATCCATGTCCCTACAAAGGACATGAACTCATCATTTTTTATGGCTGCATAGTATTCCATGGTGTATATGTGCCACATTTTCTTAATCCAGTCTATCATTATTGGACATTTGGGTTGGTTCCAAGTCTTTGCTATTGTGAATAGAGCTGCAATAAACATACATGTGCATGTGTCTTTATAGCAGCATGATTTATAGTCCTTTGGGTATATACCCAGTAATGGGATGGCTGGGTCAAATGGTATTTCTAGTTCTAGATCCCTGAGGAATCACCACACTGACTTCCACAATGGTTGAACTAGTTTACAGTCCCACCAACAGTGTAAAAGTGTTCCTATTTCTCCACATCCTCTCCAGCACCTGTTGTTTCCTGACTTTTTAATGATTGCCATTCTAACTGGTGTGAGATGGTATCTCATTGTGGTTTTGAATTGCATTTCTCTGATGGCCAGTGATGGTGAGCATTTTTTCATGTGTTTTTTGGCTGCATAAATGTCTTCTTTTGAGAAGTGTCTGTTCATGTCCTTCGCCCACTTTTTGATGAGGTTTTTTTTTTTCTTGTAAATTTGTTTGAGTTCATTGTAGATTCTGGATATTAGCCCTTTGTCAGATGAGTAGGTTGCGAAAATTTTCTCCCATTTTGTAGGTTGCCTGTTCACTCTGATGGTAGTTTCTTTTGCTGTGCAGAAGCTCTTTAGTTTAATTAGATCCCATTTGTCAATTTTGGCTTTAGTTGCCATTGCTTTTGGTGTTTTAGACATGAAGTCCTTGCCCATGCCTATGTCCTGAATGGTAATGCCTAGGTTTTCTTCTAGGGTTTTTATGGTTTTAGGTCTAACGTTTAAGTCTTTAATCCATCTTGAATTAATTTTTGTATAAGGTGTAAGGAAGGGATCCAGTTTCAGCTTTCTACATATGGCTAGCCAGTTTTCCCAGCACCATTTATTAAATAGGGAATGCTTTCCCCATTGCTTGTTTTTCTCAGGTTTGTCAAAGATCAGATAGTTGTAGATATGCAGCATTATTTCTGAGGGCTCTGTTCTATTCCATTGATCTATATCTCTGTTTTGGTACCAGTACCATGCTGTTTTGGTTACTGTAGCCTTGTAGTATAGTTTGAAGTCAGGTAGCAATACACACCCAATTTCAAGAGGTGGTATAAAACTATAGAAATCAAGACACTGTGGTAATTGGCAAAATAAGAGAAAAACACATCAATGGAACCGAATAGAGAGCTGAGAAATAGACTCACACATATATAGTCAATTTACCTTTGACAAAGGACAAAGGTAATTCAGTAGAGAAAGGATAGCTGTGATGGTTAATATTAGGTGTCGACTTGACTGGATTGAGGGATGCCTAGATGGCAGTGCAGATGGCTGGTAAAGTATTGTTTCTGGACATGTCTGTTAGGGTGTTGCCAGAGGACTTTAACATTTCAGTCAGTGGACTGGGAGAGGCAGACCCACCCTCACCACCCAGTGTGGGAGGGCACCATCCAAATTGGCTGCCATCACAGCTGGAACAAAGCAAGGATGAGAAAGGCTGTAAGTTTGCTTGCTGAGTCTTCTCCAGCTCTCTCTTTTCCTGTGCCTGAGCCTTGCTTCTTCTTCTGCCCTTGGATATCAGACTCATAGCTTCAGCCTTTGTACTCTGGGACTTGCACCAGCAGCCTCCTGGGGGCTCTCAGACCTTTGGCCTCAGACTGAGGGCTGCACTCTCGGCTTCCCTGGTTTTGAGGCTTTCGACTTGGACTGAGCCACTACTGGCTTTTCTCTTTCCCCAGCCTGCAGATGGCCTATTGTGGGAGTTCACCTTGTAATACTGTGAGCCAATTCTTCCTAATAAAATCCCTTTTATTTATGCATATATCCTAATGCTTCTGTCCCTCTGGAGAACTGTGACTAATAAAAGTCTTTTCAACAAATTGTGTTGGACCAATTGATGTCTAAATTCCAAAAATTCTAACTAGACAGAGATTTACACTTCTCAGAAAAATTAGCGTAAAATGAATCATATACTTAAATATATGAAATAATGACACTTTTAGAAGACAGTATAGGAGAAAATCTACATGACCATTGGTTTGGTGATGTTTTCAGATGCGATACCAAAAGCACAATCCATGAAAGGGATAAAAAGGGATAAGTTGCAATTTATTAAAATTTAAAACTTCTATGTTGTGAAAGACATTTTTAAGACAATGAAAAGACAATTTAAAGGCAATAAAACTTGTATCAAAAAATATAAGAACAGTTAAAACTCAACAATAAGAAAACAACCCATTTTAAAAATGAGCAAAAGATCTGAACAGATATTTCAGCAAAAAAGATATGCAAGTGGCAAATGAGTATGTGAAAAGATGTTCAACATGACTTGTCATTAGGGAATTTTAAGACAAACAAACAATGAAATAAAATTATGTAACAATTAGAATGCCTAGAATTTAAAAAAATGACTTTATCAATTAATTGCTGGTGAGGATGCAAGGCAACAGGAACTCTCATTCATTGTTGCTGGATGCAGCCACTTGGAAGGTAGTTGTCAGTTTCTTACAACACTAAATAATTACATGACACAGTCCAGCAATCACACTCCTAGTTATTTACCCAAGTAGTTAAAAAATTTATGTCCCCACAAACACCTGCACACAAATGTTTAGAGTATCTTTATTCATTATTGCCAACACTTGGAGGTAACCAAGATATTTTTCAATAGGTGAATGGTCAATAAACAAACTTTGGAACACTCATATAGTGGAATATTATTCAGTAATAAAGATGTAAGCTTTCAAGTTACAAAAAGGCCTGGATTAATCTAAAATGCATATTGCTATGTGAAAAAAAGGCAGTAAGAAGAAGCTACATACTGTATAATTCCTATTATATGACCTTCTGGAAAAGGAATAATCTAAGAGACAGCAAAAATATTAGTGGGTTCTATTGGTTCATTGGGAGGAGAGAAGGGATAAAAGGTAAAGCACTGTGGATATTTTAGGATAGTGCAATTATTCTGAATTATATTTAATTTATGCATACATGACACAATGCATCTCTCATAACCCATTGAACTTTACAATACAAAGAGTGAAATGTAATATATGCAATTTTTTAAAATATAAGGGGTTGAAAAATAGATAGAATGCACAATATGACAAAACAATCTAACAGTATTTCAAATGTATAAAACAACCTAATTGAGTGGATTGGGAAAAAATGATGCTTACCTGAGTAACTTTGGAAATGAGTGGAATCTCTAAAACTAAATATAAAGTAAACTTAAGCATTGTAACCTACTTTATAAAAACTATTTTCCCACAGGGATGTAGGCAACAATTCTGATATTGCTATGCTTACATACTAGAGCTAAATAATTAAACAAACAGATGGTGGATGGTAAGAGCCATGTTTTTCACTGTTATAGTAGAAGTTTACAGGTAAAGAAGGGGGAAAAGACTAGAATGATCCATGTGGTATGGATTAAAGTTGGAGACATCAGTATAAACTCATTTTTAGCTGAATATAGGAACAGATACATATAGAAATATTTGTAGATATTTGTATATATGAATTAGTATACACACATATATCTCCTTTTTCTCTCTCAGCAGGGAGGGCCTAAAATGAACTATACCCCAGTAACAATGGGCCCATCTAGGGCCCGGATTGTGGTTACTAACCCTGGTCTCTTCAAGAAAAGGAATCATAGATCCTTGAAGAAATGGCTGACTCTGGAATTATGGCAGGGAATACACAAGATAGAACATCTTGTGGTGTCAGGAAATAAGGATGTGTTCAAAACCAACCAACCAACCAACCAACAACACTCAATGTTGCGGGTACACCACCAGGACACAGGCACCAATTGAAAACAGGAACAATTTGGGCAATAAAATAATTTGGGCAAAGCTGGAACAATTTGGGCAACAAAATAAAGAAGTATTATATTATAACATAAAGCATCAAATCGATATTCATGAGCCCATACTGATATAAATAAATGATTACATAAACAAATGGGAGAAAGAGACAAATATCCCATGCAGAGAATTGCAATGCAGAATAGTGCATGTAGTTACTCTACCCTCAAGGAAAGAAAGCATACCTCCTAGATGTGAGCTTCAGAGAGTGTCTTTCTTCCAAAAAGTACAGCACAGAAAGGGGCAAAAGTGAATAACTTTGCAGTGAAAAACCCTGACACACACTGTCTCAACCAGGTGATCAAGTTCAACATCAACAGTGATAAGTCACGTTGCTAGTATGTACCCTTGATATGAAGTGATGAAAATAGCAATTTATCTCTGTGGTCTTTCCCCTGCAAAGAAAATCCATAACCCCAATCTAATGAGAAAAGCATCAGACAAATCCCAGTAGAGTGACGTTCCACAAAATACTTGGCCAGTGCTACCTCAAAAATATCAAGCTTATCATAAGCAAGAAAAATCTAAGAAACTCTCATAGCCAAGAGAAGCCTAAGGACGCATGACAACTAATGGGATGTTGTATCCTAAATAGGACCCTGAAACAGCAAACAGACATTAAGTAAAAACAAAGGAAAATTAAATAAAGTATGGACTACAGTTAACACTAATTAATCAATATTGGTTCATTAATTGTAATAAATATACCATATTGTAAGATTTTAATAATACAGAAAATAAGGTGTGGAGTTGAGGGAAACTATATCTGTACTTATCTTTACAATTTTTCTGTAAATGCAAACTTGTTCTAACAATTACATTTTGTTAAAAATATTCTAGTATTCAACACTTGCTAATTAAGTCAGCATGTCTCTATTTCAGATCACAAGAGAATATCTGACTGAACCAGTAAGATATTGCAATATCATGGTGCAATCTGGTTTCAATCAAAGTTATAGGTTTGTGGATACATAAGCATGTATATCACATAAGCATGCAAATCCTGGTTTTGTAGGACCTGAGGCTTATGCACATTGAGAGATTGCCTTTAAAAAATGAATGCGAAGCTGTAAATACAAATTTAAATTTGTACATAGGTTAGGGTCCATTGGGTGCTAGTAAGGTCTGTGCACGTGAGAGGTCCTGAAGCTTCATCTTCACTAGCATAATGGTAAATATACCTCCACAAGTGAAGCTGCTCTAATAGGGATTTGTACAAAGGTGTGAGGGTGTGAAGAATATTAGTATTAGAGAAAATGATTGATATTCCTACTTTTTGTTGGTATCTCTCTTCATACACTTTTCTGTATTCTTTTTATAAAATGGTCAGCCATCAGGTGTGGCCACAGGAGAAGAGTCTCAGGAAAACAAAGTTTATGAAACTCACAGGTCCTAGAGACGTGAGGCACTCCACACCACGAAGGGTGATACAGTTTGGATGTCTGTCCCCTTCAAGTCTCATGTTGAACTGTGATCCGTGATCTTGGAGGTGGGACCTGGTGGGAAGTGTTTGGGTCATGGGGGTGAATCACTCATGAATGGCTGGGCGCCCTCTCCTCACTGTATTAGTTACCACAAGATCTGATAGTTTAAAGGAGCCTGGCATCTCTCTTGCTCCCTCTCTCTTGCCAGGTGATGTGTCTGCTCTTCCTTTGTCCTCTACCATGAGTGAAAGCTTCCTGAGGCCTCACCAGAAGCTGAGCAGATGCTGGTGTCAGGCTTGTATAGCCTGCAGAAATGTGAGCCAAATAAACCTCTTTTCTTTATAAATTCTCCAGTCTCAGATATTCCTTTATAGCAACACAAAACAGACTAACACAGAGGGCATCATGAAAAAGATAACAGGATGGTTCACAGGCAGAAGACAGCAGAGAGGGGAAGGGTCAGGCAACTGCTCTTATTGGGGTTTTTGTGAAAAAGGCAATGAGGATGGGATGAACAGGATAGGATTGGCTAGAGTGAATAATTTTGGCAGAATTTGAGCTTTAAGGGTAAGCTCTAGTTGCCTGGCACCTGGCCCTGGGATGATTAAGACAGAGAAATATTGCCTCCTAAAGTATAGGAGACAAATAGAAGATCTGTGTCTCTGCATTGGTTAGTTTGCACATCAAAGACACGCTCCCAGCTGGACCTGTTGCTATCCCTAAAAACAGATTAGCCACAGGAATGGCAGTTTCTCTCCATCCAGAAAGGTATTTTAAGACGTTAAATCATAATATACAGGAAATTAAGAAAACTAATTACAATACACAGATGCACGAACACACACACACCCAGAAATACCCACACACAACTAGACACGTCTAATTTTTTTTCATTATAAGTTGATTTGGACTACTGCTGAGTGCCTGGTTCCTGATATTTAGCAAATATTCAGTACCTATTCACCCAACTTGGTATAAAGAGTTTCTCTTTGAATCCATGGGAATGTAAAACTCAGAGCATCGTGGAGGGGTTGGCTTTTGATGAAGTTTTCAATGGAGATCTTCCATTCAAAGAAACAGAAGGGAGGGCAACAAACTCCAGTACAGAACATGTTGGTTGTTTATGGGGTGCAAATAGAAGGAAATTTCTCTTTGTCTCTATTTTATTAGTGGATTATGACTTAAATGGTTAGCTGAGAGTTAGGATAAGAAGATTGGTGTAGGAGTTTTGAGGAGTGATGGAAATGTTTGAAGTAATTAAGGAGAGGGGGATGGGAAAAAATAATAGAAGTGTATAGTCGGATTGCTGAGCGATATTGTATTCATTTGGCATTTATGATCACAAAATTAAAGAAAGACTATCACACTTGTGCTTCTCTGCAGGGAAAATCATTGCTTAGTGCAGTCATGAGGTGCATTCTAGGTAGGGATATTTACCAAATGAGTATAATAGAAAGAAAGCAAGTCAAAGGGTTTAACGTGTTTGTGAAGGAGTAGATACAATGACAGATCTTACTGAGCTACTAGGACTTCCACTCACTCTCCAGTTTTTCTGAACCTCTTAGCTTTAATCTTGCTATTTATTTCTCCTTGCAATAATTCCTTGTTTCTTTGAAAAAGTGGTGCTTAAAGACTCAGGTTAAATGTCACAATTTCTTTGTTTGCTTTTCTACAGTCCCACAGCCTCTTGTGTTTCCTTCATCACAACATATATAATAAAAATTCATTGTAATGATCACATTATATATATATTTCTTATACATAGTCAATGTTAATTATAATTATATCCTCACTCTCAGTATTTCTGGGTCATTAGTTCCAGCACATCCTGAGGATACCAAAATCCATGAATGCTCAAGTCCCTTATATAACAAGGCATCGTATTTGCATACAATCCATGTATACCTCCTATAAGCTTTAAATCATATATATAGTATTTATAATACCTAAAACAATGTAAATAATTGTTATAGTCTATGTTTAGAGACTAGCAATAAGAAAAAAGTGTGTACATGTTCAGTACAGATGCAACCATCCATTATTATTATTATTTTAATTAACTAATTTTTTTAGATGGCATCTCACTCTTGTTGCCCAGGCTGGAGTGCGGTGGCACAATATTGGCTCACTGCAACATTCGCCTCCTGGATTCAAAAGATTCTCCTGCCTCAGCCTCCCCAGTAGCTGGGATTAGAGGTGCTCATCGCCATGCCTAGCTAATTTTTGTATTTTTGGTAGAGACGGGGTTTCGCCATGTTGGCCAGGCTGGTCTTGAACTCCTGACCTCAGGTGATCCACCCACCTCGGCCTCCCAAAGTGGCGGGATTACAGGCGTGAGTCACCGCACCCAGCCATCATCTATTATTTAAAAAAATTTTTGATTCCCTATTAGTTGAATCTGTGGATATGAAGCCCATGGATACAGAGAGCCAACTATATATTATTATTGTTGTTATAATTATTAAAACTATTGTCATTCACTATGGAGGAGACACTTTTACTTCATATATTTATTTTTCATTTATAGCCCCTTTTATTAGAATGAAACTCTATTTCCAGTAGTACTTTTTGTCTTGCTCACCAAAATAGTGCCTGCCTCTGTAGTAGCAGTCACTCAATTCATTCTAAACAAAATGGTTAATATATGAGCGTGTGAATGAGTATATGCGGGGAATGAGTTTCTTTCTTACCATTTGTGAATTACTGAAGCTTAGTATAGTTTCTGTTATTTTGAAAGCTCATAATATATGCTTGCTTAATAAAAAATGAACTTGTTAATCTTGTACTGTACATAAAACTTGACATTGCTGATATGTATTGATGAGCCTTTCCTAAGCACACCAACAATGAATTTCTTTTCTGGTAATCCATTCAATGTAATAATATAGGTTTAACTCTCTTGATGTTGTAGATTGTTGTTTTTGAAAAAGTATTAAGGCATTCTCAATAACCGTTCATGCTCAAGCACTATTCTTTGAGGTGTTTAGGGATTAAATATGAGGACCTACAATATCAAATGTAGTATTTCTCTTTAGAAAGACTTATTCTTGGTTTGCTGAAAACACCTGGTGAGGGGAATTGTAACTTTTTCTCAAATCCTCTTTCAGAGTAATCTAAGTACAATTCAAATTTCAGTTGTCATTTTAGTCATTATCTTGAGGAGGTAGGCACACTTTAAAGTCTGTGTGCAGAATAAGAATACGTGAATAGGGAATACTGCAGAGAGAGTAGCAGTACTCACAAACTAAACATCTCTAATGAATGACCAACGTTTATTATCTCTGTGAAGGCTGCATAAATGATACTTCAGATCTGATATATAATCTTTCCATTAGGTCCCTTATCCCCACTTGGAGTGCGTAGGGTACCTCACTGGGAAAACCTGCAATGGGAATGACCTTTACGTTACCTAGAATTGATCTCATGGATAATTGTCTTAATTATTCTGGAAAGTACATTTCTACTGTTGGCCATAACTACTCCTGTAGACATAAAAGTGCCTTTATTGTTAATCTCCAACATTGTGAGTACCTCACAGGCAGTGCAGAAAAGCTCTAAAAGCCTGATAAGAATTCTTGACAGTGAGCATTTAATGGTGATGTGTACTTAATGAGGAAGTAAGAACTCTCTTGCAAATTGGATTCTGGTGTCCTTAATCAATCAGTGGAGACCACAACACTTGTATCTTGAAATCTGGGAAGAAACGTGTTTTCCGGACAGATGAGCATCTTCAGCAAAAAGAGGTAAAGAATTGAAGTGATGAAGATTCTGTGAAGTTTGATCAACTAAAGATTGAAGATTCTCTTTTGTTTGAAGATTTAGAGATTGGTTTGATATGTTTTCAAACATATATATTTTATAACATTTCTCCCCTCATTTATTTTTATTTTTTTCTGCATTTTTTTTCCTCTTCCATCTCTGTAGTTGGTAGACCTTGTTTCAAACAACCACTTCATAAATTACCCAGTATATAACCTTGAGGTAGTTTTTTAATCTTAATAAAATTTAGTTTTCATACTTTCAATGAACAAGGTTATTAACTTTCCCAAGTTCCCAAAATTCAGAAAGAGAAAAACCTAATCTTGTTCAGGTACTGAACACAGCAGTGGGTATACAAAAAATGAAAAAGGTGTGGTATTTTTCCTAAGGGGAGAAATGGATGTGCAGAAGGTCATATATTGTGGGATATGAGTGATTTCATTGTGCGTAGAATAATGCTACATTCGGTTTGAATTCTGCCAGTGTACAAGCTCTCAACCTCTGTAAGTTTCATTTGGCATATGAGAAGACTAGCCATACTTCACAGGGCCTTTAGGAAAATTAAACTAGTCAACATATAGGAAAACATAAATCATTATAAAAATGCAGGGGATTATTGTGATAGAAACATAAATACACATAAAATTGTGTGAAAGTGCGAAGAAGGTGTTGCAGATTCATGTAGTTTTCCCAGGAGACAGCCTACAAGATGGAGATTAGCACCCAGGATATTTACTAAGGAGTGTTTTGAAGATTAACGACTGTGGAAAGGAAAGTGCAAAAGCCATATCAGGTTAAAGCTGCTGTGCTGCAATGCATCCCCAACATAGACCAAACTCATAGGGAAGTCTGGAGCTGGGATGTTCCTTCAGAGTTGGGGTGAGGAGGTGCTTTTTTTTTTTTTTTTTTTTTTTTTTTTTAAGACAGAGTCTCACTTTATTGGCAGGCTAGAGTGCAGCGGCGTGATCTCGGCTCATTGCAACCTCCGCCTCCCAGATTCAAGCAATTCTCCTGCCTCAGCCTCCTGAGTAGCTGGGACTACAGGTGTGCACCACCATGCCCGGCTAATTTGTTTTTTTATTTTTAGTAGAGACGGGGTTTCACCATGTTGGTCAGGATGGTCTCGATCTCTTGACCTTGTGATCCACCCACCTCGGCCTCCCAAAGTGCTGGGATTGCAGGCGTGAGCCACCACGCCCAGCCAGGAGGTGCTTTTTATACCCACATTTTGATTGGTTGTTAATATGGTGTCCCCACCCAAAATCTCATCTTGAATTGTAATCCTCATAATCTCCATAATCCCCATGTGTGAAGGGAGAGACCGGGTGGAGAGTAATTGGATTATGGGGGCAGTTTCCCCCATGCTGTTCTCGTGATAGTGAGCGAGTTCTCACGAGATCTGATAGTTTTATATGCGGGCTCAACCCCCTTCGCTCTGCACTTTTCCTTCCTGCCGCCTTGTAAAGAGGGTGTCTTGCTTCACCTTCACCTTCCACCACGATTATAAGTTTCCTGAGGCCTCCCCAGCCATGCTGAACTGTGAGTCAATTAAACCTCTTTCCTTTATATATTACTCACTCTCCGGCAGCTCTTTATAGCAGTATGAAAATGGACTATTACAGTCTTTTGATGCAGGCTGCCTCTGAAAGGAGGCATAAATGTGGGCAAAATTTTTTTCTTTAAACTAAGTCGACCCTCCAGTGAGTGCTGAAAACTGACAGACATCTTCACTTAGCACTCCTAGAAGCTGGGAAAATAATTTTAAATTCCAGGCAGCAGATAGAGATGGTCCAGCATATAAGGAAAGGTGTTTGACTGTTCTTATTAGGAAAAGGAGGTTGTAAAAAAGGCTATGGAGAAGAGGGAAGTGTTTAATTTTTGCCTTAAATTTAGACTTGATAAATACTACAACTTCTATTTACACACACACAGGAACACATAAAGAATCAAACCCCTAAAAAGCAGATATTGTATGTTTGATCTTCTATTTCTTATTAAGGAAAGAGAGAGTTCAGAGATGAAACATTGCCTTTGAGTACTTTTTCTCTTCTGAAGAGGTAATTTCAACTGATAGGATGATAGCTTTTTATGATATATCTGTGTTGCTTCTCTGACATCACTTAGACTTGCAAGTGTGAAGTGTTTTCTGAAGGAAATTGCTATTAGCTCATCGACATACCCAGAGGTCACTGATAAATACTGAATGTAACCATTTTTGGAAGAGTTAGCACAACAGTGTGTTTTTATCCAAGGGCAACTGCAGAAATTTGCTTTGGTGTTGACTTAACTGCTTCTTGATTTCTCTTTTTTTTTTTCTTTCAAATGACCCTGTAACAGATGATCTCAAATTTCTATCCACCTGTGGTTTGCAGAAGCTAAGCTTCCCACAGCTTTTTCTAATACAAGTTTCTATCGCAAACTTATCTTTACAAACTGTTAGGCCACGTGAGCACTATGCCCTCGTGCTTTATAGGAAACTTGATTCCAAGGAAGGAATCCATTCAACCTATCTTATCAATGGCATTCTATAGGATTTCACAGCATTTCTGTTTTTCACTGACATACCTATTTTATTAGCATGTATATAATAATGTGGGTACTACTTCATTAACTTGAGGTTAGCCAGGACCCATTTCACTTGGCACTTAATGAACAGGAGAAACAGTTTCACTTCATTAAAAAACCTACACTTAACTGCTGTTATACCATAATGGTTTCTGACACTGAGATACCTTGTTTGAGTCACTAGAAATGTTCACTCACATTAGAGGACCCAGAATACAGACCTGATTAAGCGTAACAACAACAACAAAAAGACATTGGAGACATACCATCTAGGAAAAACCCAATGGATTAAACTCTTATTTTAGCAGAAACAGGCCAATTTATTTAAAGGTGGGTCTTAGCTTATCTAAATTGGAATAAATAATGACAACTCAATTATATTCACAGATTAGTGTTCTGTGGCTCCCTCCATTCTAGGGAATTCTAGCCTTTCTCTAGTTTATCTCAAGGCTGTACGACATATTATTGTAATATTAGTAATACAGCTACTATCTTTAGAGCACTAGTTTATAAAGCACACAGCCCAGCGGCCGAGATTTCATAATCTTCACTAGTGCCCTATGTATTTGATGACACAAAGGTGAGAATACTGAGAGAAAAAGCAGTTTGGTAACTTTTCTAAAATCCTTAGCATGGCTTGCATTTTACAGTCAAATACACAAAAATGTGGGTCTCAGCTTTATACTTTCCTGCTGTACACAGATCATTCCTTTTGGCTAACCTGTTTCTCATTTATGTTCTGATTATTCACAATGACCTTTTTTTTAAAAAAAATCACTGTTAATGCTAAACATAGAAGTTATATATCCAATGCAATTTGAAGGCACCCCTGCAGCTGGGACCCATCAATGTTGTCACAACTGCTAATGCCTGGGGTCATGAGAATTGATGGTAGTAAGAATGTCACCATTTCTTCCCTGGAAGGACTCACTAGCTCTGTCCAGCAGAGATAGTTTTTACTTTTGTTGCTCAGAATGATTAAAAATATGCTATTTAGGTTTTTTGCATTTGAGTTTCCTCTTGTATGGAACTAAGAGTGAGGTCTACCAGAGTACTCTTCACCAAGACAATCCATAATCAAGTTATATCTGGAAGCGGAGGAAGCTTAGATAAATCAAGGCATTCTAAATTTGTCCTATAAATATGGTCTCTACTGGTCTGCTCCGAGTCATCTCAATTTCAGTTGCATCTCTTTAGGTCTTTAATAATGTAGCCTGTTACAGTGGCCAAATATGAAGATGATACACTCACTGGTATCCAGCAAACTGAATTAATTAGCTAATATCCTCTTATTTTTAAAATCAAGACATCAAATCAGGGCAAAGCTAAAGAATCTGCAGATTTACTGCTGAGGACCTAACACTGTAGAAATTTGTCTCTAGGTCTGTGAAATATAAAATAAAAGAGTTAGTTTGGCTATTCCTTTCCAGTCTAAGGCCCCTTGCACCAACTATGTATTTATGACTAAATTGTCAAAAATAAATTTACTCTTCTAATGCTGCTGTCTCCATCTTGACTACAAAGAAAAATGGTCCTTCTATGATTATTGATCTTTTAAGTAATGCATTGTGGGGTGTGTGTGTGTGTGTGTGTGTGTGTATGTGTTGGAGGAGACAGGAAAGAAAGATGATCTTTGAAAAAAAATATGGACTTTGAAATTAGACAGACTTGATTATTCTCAACGTGAACTTGATAGGACATAGATATCAATATATAGACAGAAACCTAAAATCCATAATTCTTTCCCAGATGTCTATCTAACTAGCTCTATGATTTTGGGAAAACTATATCACCTTTCTAAGTCTCATCTGTAATATTGAAATAAATAATCATACCTAAATTGGAAAGTTATTGTGAGATCAGAGGGTTAAACAAGATAAATATTTAGCAGTAAGCATTTAAACTCACTCAATAAATAGTTACTGGGAATGTCTGCACTGCTTCTTAAGAAACAGCAGGCTGGACCCTTCGCTGACAGTTTAGCCTTGTCCCCAAGTACCTATGTGAAGCTTTTCTTTATGTTAAGATGTGCTGAACCACTCTATTCACATTAGCCAGGATATGGAATAAACTAAGTGTATATCAACAGATGAATGAAAATGATATATGTGCATACAGAATGGATATTATTAATCTGTAAAAGAATGAAATTCTGTCATTCTCAACAACATGGATGAGCCTGGAGGATATTAGGTTAAATAAGTCAAGTACAGAAAGATAAATATCACGTGTTTTCATATGTGAGAGCTAAAAAAAATTGAGCTCATATAAGTAGAAAGTAGAATTGTGATTATGGGAGATTGGGAAAGGTTGGGGATTGGAGAGGATTGGAAGAGATTGGTTAATGGGTACACAATTTACAGTTATATGGGAAGAAGTATTTCTAGTGTTTTTGTAGCACTTTTGGGTGAATATGGTTAACAATAATTGAGTGTACATTTTCGAAAAGCTAGAAGAAAGGATTTTGAATGTTCACAACACAAAGTTATAAATGTTTGAGGTGATGGACATGCTAATTATCCCAATTTGATCATTACGCATTGTATGCATGTATCAAAATATCATTCTGTATTTCATAACTATGTACAATCCTTACATGGCAACTAAAAGTAAAAGGCGAAAAATGTGGTGAATCAATCTTTAGCATTTTTTTCTTGTCCAAAAACCAGTATTAGATTACCAAACCAGTCAAGTAAACATGCTTAGTACATCAAAAAAGCAGGTGAAAGATATATCCAGAAAGTTGACAGAAGCCTATTAACCCATCATATTTTATTCATGACACTGCTGTTTAAACTGCATAGCAACATCATCTGGGAAGCCGAGAACCCCCAAGAGAAAGTGTGGAGTTCCACTCCAGGTCAGGAAAAAGATATAATCCAATAGAAAACCACTTTGAGAATTCTTCTTTCACATTTTCTTACGTTGTCTTATTAAGGTACCCTAGCTGTAGAAAACTGACTATCCTAGGTGTGGGAGGGATTAGATAATTAGTCATTGGAATTTTCTGTGTTGTACTCATAACCTACAGGGTAAAAAGGGCATAGAAAGAAAATTACTTATAGGGAGCACAGATAAAACCATTATGCATTGACTTTGAAAGAATTATAATACAATCAGAGCTAACAGATAATTATAGTACCATTAAGCTAATGAGTTAATTACTATATTAATTGGCAGGTTAATGGGACTCCAATATGGAATTTTAAAGTCTGCACTTAAATTTCAGAGAAATAATATGTTACATTAAGAATTTTCTCCAGATAACGTATCTGTACAAAAATACAATTTGTTTTCCCCACGGAGAATTCCTGATTGAATTTTGATTCCCCTTTGATCAGTATGTTGGAAACACTTAAATAAGAAAGCATAATAGACAACAATATGTCATAATTACAAATAATTTTTAGTAAGTAAACATGGGATTTGAGATATAACATCACATGTGTTTTAACTTGATTTTTGTTTATCAAAACATAATTTAAGTAAAGGTGTCATTTGTCTCTTTTTGATATTTGTTGCCTTTTGCATTTCTTTTGAAGACAAATCACATTCAGCTCAGCATGGGACAAGTCATTCCAACATGCATTATATTTGTTCTCCTCCTTCCAGCTGGTTTACAGAGAATGCAAACTTGTATAAATAAATTCTGGGCTAACAATGTTGGAAGTATGATTAGTTAGAAAAATTATAGGCTCTGTAGTTTCAGAATCAAAATTTTATATTTCAATTTAATTAGAAATATTTCATTTTCATAATTTCCAGGTAGATATTTTCAGAATTGAATTAAGTTGTAGGACACCAGCTACTGTTGCAAAATTGATTAGTATAGGGAAATAACCCCTATACATTTGATGTCCTATGCCTTTTGTGAATGGAGATATTTCATAGTACCATTATCACCAAAAATTTATATGTTGCAACCCTAATTCTAATGCAGCAGTATTTGGACATGGAGTTTTTGGGATCTAATTTGTTCATGAGGATGGGACCCTCATAAATGGGATTAGCAGTTTTCTAAGGAGAGGACAGAGAGATAGCTAGCTTTCTTTCTGCCATGTGAGAATAGAATGAGAAGCTGGCTGTCGGCAAATCAGGAAGTGGGCACTCACCAGATACTAGTTCTACTAGCACCTTGATCTTGAAGTTCTTAGACTTTACAGTCTTCAGAATTGTGAGAAATAGATGTACTCTGTTTAAGTTACGCAGTCTATAGCACTTTGTTACAGCAGCCTAAACTGACTAAGACAGAAATTGCTACTGAGCCATGGGGTTCTACTGCAACAAATACCTAAAAATGTGGAAGTGGCTTTGGGACTAGGAATGGATAGAGACTGGAAGAGTTTTGAAATAAATGATAGAAGAAGCTGAGATTGTCATGAAGGGAATTTTAAAAGCAATTCTGAAAAGGGCTCAGAAACGGAAGAGAGATCTGTAGGAAAAGCTCTGTGTTTGTAGAGAATACAGAAATAGTCCTGCACAGAATGCTGGTAGAAATGTGGACAGTGAAGGCCATTCTGATGAGGTTTCAGACAGAAATGAGGAGCATACTATTAATGAAGGAAAGGTGATCCTTGTTATAATGTGGCACATAACTTGTCTGAATTGCATTTGTCTTCTAGTGCTGTGGCAGGTAGAACTTGCCAGCAGAAAAATTGTATATTTATCTTAAGAACATTCTAAGCAAAGTGTTTTCGGAGCAGCTCGGTTCCTCCTGGCTGATTAGGGTAAAATGCAAGGAGAGAGAAATGATTTGAATTTGGAATTATTAAGCAAAAGAAATCAGAACTTAACAATTTAGACATTTATCAGCCTGTCTGTATTGGCAAAAGTCAGAAAACATGTTTGAAAGAGAACACTAAGGCCGTGACCAAGCAACAGTTTGACAAGGAGTTTAGTGTGGATGTGAACTATGGACTTAGATTATCCGCTATCCCAGCAGGAACACTGCTAGTTTGAACTAAAGGGGAAGGAGACTGGGAAAAATCAAGGAAGGTTTTTGAGGTTTTTGTACTTACTTGATTTATAGAGCAGGACCATAGAGCTATTCAACTGAGGACATGTTCTATTCTGCAAAGCAATGGAAGAATAACCTTGAGGATAATTCAGAAATTATCTGGCCTGACTTTTGGGTTTCAATAGCAGGGAGGGTGAAATTGCCTTGCTTTCAGCAGGCTAGGTAACCTCTGCCTAAAGCCAGGAGGGAGGTGCTAACCAAAACTGTGGGGCTTAAGCCCTGCCTGACAGAACATGAGAAACAGGACCCCTACCAAGCTGAGCTGTGGGTATGGGGCCACTTCTCCAGTGAGTGTGGAAGGTGGGATCAGAAGCACCTTCTCCAGTAGTCCTGGAGAGCTGAGAATGCAACCAAAGGGGTTTATTCTCAAGCCTTACCATCTTGTGGAGTTTGCCCTTCTAGATTTGGAACTTGCTTGGTACCCATTACATCCTCTTTCTTCCTTATTTTTCCCTTTTGAAATGGAAATGTCTATCCTATGCCTATCCCACCATTGTATGAGGAAGTACATAGTTGTTTGGTTTTACAGTTGATACTGTGAAATATACAGTTCATCTTCAACACTCCTTCCTGGCATACAACTCCTAAAATTATTAGAGACTCCAAAGTGATGTCCTGGGGGTCATGTGCCCTGGGAGGGGAAGGAATCTCCACACCCTTCTCATATGCCTTGCCCTATGCATCTCTTTATCTGTATCCTTTGAAATATTCTTTACAATAGACTAGTAAATGTATTTTCCCGAGTTCTGTGAACTGCTCCAGCAAATTAATAAAATTTAAAGAGGGGATTGTGAGAACTCCAACTTGAAGTTGGTCAGTCAGAATTTCTGGAGGCCCTGGGCCGGGCGCGGTGGCTCACGCCTGTAATCCCAGCACTTTGGGAGGCCGAGGTGGGCGGACAACGAGGTCAGGAGATCGAGACCATCCTGGCTAACACGGTGAAACCCTGTCTCCACTAAAAATACAAAAAATTAGCCAGCATGGTGGCAGGCGCCTGTAGTCCCTGCTACTCGGGAGGCTGAGGCAGGAGAATGGCGTGAACCTGGGAGGCGGAGCTTGCAGTGAGCCGAGATCGTGCCACTGCACTCCCACTTGGGCAACAGAGCAAGACTCCATCTCACAAAAAAAAAAAAAAAAAAGGAATTTCTGGATGTCCTGGTTTTTGGTGGGGGTATTTTGGGTTCTGAGCTCCAAACTTTTGGGATCTGACGCTATCTCCAGGTAGATAGTGGCAGAATTGAATTGAAGAGCACCCAGTCAATGTCTGCTGCAGAATTGATTGCTCACTTGGTGGTGGGGAGAACACTTCAACCCCTACATTTCATCACAGAATTCTTCTGTGTTAATGATTGTCGTATTGACTGAAAGAATAGAAAAGACAGGATTTCCCCCTCCCCGACCCCCAAGCATACAGATTCACAGCTGGAAAGGAATTCTGCATCAGGATAAATTGTACTTCTAG
Organism: Homo sapiens; assembly: GCF_000001405.40. Taxonomy (NCBI): domain Eukaryota; kingdom Metazoa; phylum Chordata; class Mammalia; order Primates; family Hominidae; genus Homo; species Homo sapiens. The sequence continues at coordinate 62,506,953 of NC_000016.10, forward strand.
TCTCAGTCATACCTGATTTAGGTATTTAAAGGAGATTTTTCACTTAGACTTTAGAGTTTATGGTGGGATAAGCTAAGACTTTGGGGGCTTTTTGAATAGAATAGATTTTGCATGTGAGAAGAATATGAATTTTGTGAGGCCAGAAGCAGAAGACAATGGAGTAAATTTTTTTTTCCTGAAATTCATATGTTGAAACCCTGATCCCAATATGATGGCATTTGGAGGTGGGGCCTTTGGGAAATAAGAGTGGAGTTCTCATGAATGGGATTATAAAAAGAGACCCGAGGGCTAGCAAACTCTCTTTCCACCATGTGAGGATACAACGAGAAATTGATTGTCTGCAAACCAGGAAGTGTGCCTTCAACAGACACTGGATCTACTGGCACCTTGACTTTAGACTTCTGATAAAATAATAATTGCTAACACTTTTCTAAGTTCTGTGAGTCATCTTAGTGAATTATTGAAATTGAATATGGATTGTGGAAACCCCTGAATTTGTAGCTGTCCTAGGTGAGAGAACTTCAGAAGAAGTAGATTAAACATAAATCCTGAAGCTATGACCAAATTGCATGCATGTGTTTTTTTTTACACTTGATTTCAATGTTATTTATAATTTTACACATTTTTTTCAGCTCACAACTCAACAATTGTCCTTTTAATAATCATGCTAACTCAAGATTAAATGTAACAACTGACTCTCAGTTTAAAGCATCTCAAAAATTTCACTGTCCTCTTACAATACTTTTTTCCCCAAGATACCACAGTGCTTTAGAAATACTAGTGATTTCTCAAAGCATGTCTTGACTGGTGACTTTATTCCAAGTTTTACAAAGGTAAAATTAGAGAAAAATCTGTAATTACTCTAATATTCACACTTAAAGTGTGAAATAGCTGCTGGAAGACTCAAGAAAAGAGCATTGTTTAGATAGCGTAAGCTAGGCAAAACACAGAACACAAGAGAGCATTTTATGGCCTGAAATTTTGTAAATTACCCTTTCTGTAAAAAGGCATCATTACAAGATGCAAAGTATCTGTTTACCTATTTTATCTGTACCCCAAAGATGCTGTTGCATGGTATCTGAAAAGAGATTGGCAAAGTTGTGATGCCCCACAAGCCGCAAAACCAGCAAGTTTTTATTAGTGATTTTCAAAGGGGAGGGAGTGTATGAATAGGGTGTGGGTTATAGAGATCAAGTGCTTCACAAGGTAATAGAATATCACAAGGCAAATGGAGGCAGGGCGAGATCACAGGACCACAGGACAGGGCGAAATTAAAATTGCTAATGAAGTTTCGGGCATGCATTGTCATTGATAACATCTTATCAGGAGACAGGGTTTGTGAGCAGACAACCGGTCTGACCAAAAATTTATTAGGCAGGAATTTTCTCATCCTAATAAGCCTGGGAGTGCCATGGGAGACTGGGGCTTATTTCATCTCTACAGCTCGACCATAAAAGACGGTCACACTCAAGGGGACCATTTTAGAAGCCCACCCTCAGGGACGCATTCTCTTTCTCAGGGATGTTCCTTGCTGAGAAAAAGAATTCAGCGATATTTCTCCCATTTGCTTTTGAAAAAAGAGAAATATGGCTCTGTTCCACCCGGGTCACTGGCGGTCAGAGTTTAAGGTTATCTCTCTTGTTCCCTGAACATTGCTGTTATCCTGTTCTTTTTTCAAGGTGCCCAGATTTCATATTGTTCAAACACACATGCTCTACAATTTGTGCAGTTAACGCAATCATCACAGTGTCCTGAGGCGACATACATCCTCCTCAGCTTATGACATGACAGGATAAAGAGATTAAAGTAAAGACAGGCATAGGAAATCACAAGGGTATTGATTGGGGAAGTGATAAGTGTCCATGAAATCTTCACAATTTATGTTTAGAGACTGCAGTAAAGACAGGCATAAGAAATTATAAAAGTATTAATTTGGGGTACTAATAAATGTCCATGAAATCTTCACAATCCACGTTCTTCTGCCATGGCTTCAGCCAGTCCCTCCGTTCAGGGTCCCTGACTTCCCGCAACAAGAAAGAAAGGGAAAAAGGAAAGAAAGGAAGTCAAGCAAGAAGAAAGAAAAGAAAAGAAGGAGAAAAAATAACAGCAACTTGATTTAATAAGACACAATGGTTGGTGGACTTCAAGAACAATTGTATGGAGAAAAGTAAAAGCTTTCTAACTCTTTTAACACAAAAGAGTAGTATCTCAAGGCTTTTAGTTGGTAGAAAGTTTAGACTTACTGCCCTGATGCTCTTAATCATAAATTAAACTCTTTGAAAATTGCAAAAAAGTACAAGAAGAAAGCAACTGCTTAATATGATTAGGAGTGATCTGTCACTGGAACTACTCAAGTAACAGTTAAGACTACTCACATATGCATTAGGGTATACATGGAAACAGGTGTTGCAGAGGTGTCTTGTAAGAATTTTTAGGTTGAACATCATTGAAACACAAAACAATTCAGTGTTTAAGAAATATAAGAGGTAATCATCTCACTAAAAGTAGTTTTAATTAATGAAAATCTTGGACTCTCCATGAATGTTTCATGATTTCTTAATTGTAAAAGAGGAGTTAGAAAGTGTCTGATGCAGATATATAAGTTCACATTTCTAAAATACTTATTTATATTTGTACCCAGAACATATCATTATAGTCAAAAGAACCCAAAATGTGAAGAATCTAAAAGAAACATTGTTCCAAGAGGAAGATCAAGATGGCAGAGGAAGACCACCTCAAGAGAAATGAATGCATGCAGAGGAAAGAGACTACGCGGAGGAACGTGAGAAGATGAGTGCATTTAGCATGAAACCTATAACATCTGACCTTTCACCAAGATCATAGCCCAACTCATAGCTGCATGTTTAATTGGATCACTTAACGTCAGTGTAGACACATCAGTAGAGTGTCTTGGAATGGCCTTTTTTCTCACATCCAAGTCAGGAAGTTAATAGCCCAAAGAGATGACATAATAGCAGAAATTTAGATTCCATGTGAATATTCTCTAATTATAACAAAATAATTAGGCTATGTACCAATCCCTTTTCATCTGCCTTTATCAGTGTTGCCTCAAAAAGAAAGCAGTGAATGCCCTCTCCAAAGTTACTTAGCTTGAGAACCTCCACCTTCTTAGAGGTCCTCTAGTGATAAGTAGAAGATGGACTTTCAGGTCCAAAGTGGTGTGATCAAAGTGCGACCCTTCCAACTGAACAACTGAGTGACAGTCAGCAAGTTCCTTTACCATCTTAGCCATAACGTATTCATCTGCAAAGTGGGATAATACCTTCTGTAAGAGCAAATGAGGAAAAATACATTTAGTTGCTGTGTGGCTGAGTAGAAGCCTCCCAAAACGGAGCAAAATTATGGATTTTATTTCTCTCCAGAGCCTGTGGACCTGAAGCCTTACTGACTCAGAAACTTTATCCTACAAGTGAATCAGTGTGGATGGATTTAGTATTTCAAACTCAAAAAAAAAAAGATGCTCAGAAGAGATGAATATGTGGAACTGAATATCTGTGCTTTTATATATACTGTGACATATAATTGCCTAGAAAATTAAATACTTTTCCTAATAATGGCAAACTTATTTTAAGAAACAAAATTATGACCAGAAGGGGGTTCAGTGGATTAGAAATTAGGGGCAGGAAGAAGATATGTTATATGTTCCTGTTCTCATGTTTCATGACAACTGGGTAAGAAAACCCAATTCAGCTGCTTCTGCAAAAAAATTGCCTTGAAATAGAACTAAAATATTTGCATTGCATTGTCCAAGACCCTGTCTTTGAATATGTACTGTGTACCTTGATATCCTTGATTATTTATTATTTGCTCCCTTCCTAAGCAACTATCCTCTGATTAACAGTTTTTATTTAATAAAGGATGCTAGGTGTTAATTTAAGAAGTGAAATTTGAAATAAAGCAGACGTGTTACACTCTGGCTCTGCTAACTACAAATTTATCACATTGAAAAAATGATTTACCAATTGGTATTTGAGTTTCTTGTATGTAAAATGTTTTTAATAACCATGCCTGATTCATTGGTTTGTTTTTTTTTTTGGAATAAGGAAAATAGTGTGGTTCTCTATTTTGGTTCTATTGTTGTTCCCACTTTATAGATTAGTAAACTCAGGTTTACAGAAGTTAAATGACGTAGCCGATACTAAAACACTGCTAAATACATGATTCAGGAATCAAACACAAATGTAGTGACCTGACAACTCAACTGCTTAACCACAGTTCCATACAGGAAGCTGGCAGGCTACCATATCCAGCCTTTTAAAGTGGCAAATGAGCTTGATTGCATAAACTCTTCTGAAATCTGCTCACCATACATAGTAAGGGATATAGTGAAGAAAATGTCCCCTATTTGGCGTCTTCCTCAGTGCTAGACACCCACTTTTTTTTCTGTTGGTTCCTTGGGTTTTTATGTTAAACTCCCTTGTTTTAACTACCTTTGTTCTGCTAACATTTTGTGGCCATTATTAGGAAAAGCTCTTTCCTATTTATAATAAGAGGAAACCATGTAATTGTTATGTTCATGTTAGGTGTAAATAAACTCCATTTTGCTTAGATTAATGGTAACATGAGTGTCTTCAACTTTCCCCTAATTCCCTCACACTTTCCTTTCCCTCAAATTCTCCCTGATCATCTCTGCTCTGTAGCCCCCCAGTGTGTTCCTCAAGAGGTCCCAATGGTATGTGTAAAACGTGTGCATATGACAGGTAGTAACTGCCAAAAACCTATGTGTGCAATTGCAATTCACATAAACCAATCCACCTGCAATCCAATTCAACTTGCCTGCCTTTCTTCCTAGCCCTAGGTGTAATTTTGTTTCTGTGGTTGGCTTATGTATTAGTCTGTTTTGCGTTGCTAGAAAGGATTACCTGAAGCTGGGTGGTTTATAAGGAAAAGAGATTTATTTAGCTCAGGGTTCTGTAGGCTGTGCAAGAAGCATGGCACTGGCATCTGCTTCTGGTGAGGGTCTCAGGGAGCTTCCAATCATGGTTGAAGCGGAGTTGACATCACAAGGTCAGAGAAAGGAAGCAAGAGAGAGGAAGAAAAGTGGGGGGGGGAAGTGCCAGGCTCTTTTTAACGAATCAGATCTCATGGGAACTAATAGAGCAAGAAGTCACTCCTTATTACCACGAGGACAGCACCAAGATGTTCATCAGAGATCTGCCCCTATGACCCAAACACCTTCCACCAGGCCCCACTTCCAACACTGGGAATCAAATTTCTACGTGAGATTTGGAAGGAATAGATAGCCAAACTATATCAGCTTGTTTCCTTTTTTGCCTTGGACCCCACTTGTGGAGAAACCTCTTCAATTCAGATACTTTTCTGCTGGGTACTAATAAAGGTTTGTGTATTACATCCAGTGTCTGCCATGTCATCAGTTCAGTGATCCAATAAATTTCTGGGAGCATCACCACCAAATCTCTTAGTCCATTAAAAATATTGTTTAATTAGTATCTTCTAATTTTTGAATGTCATTCCCCTTTCAAAAGGCTTTATGAAGACACCAAATCTAAAATAAATTCAAGCGCACTGCTATCACCCCAAAAACTACCTAAAATTCAACACCTCATTGACTTTCTTCTTTCCCCAGAAATCCCTCTTTTTCTCATATTTTTGTTGAAGCTGCAAAGCTCTTTCTTATCAAACATACATTTTATTCATTTATTTATCAATTTCTGATCACCAATTATGCAAGGTTACCAGAGGACAAAAAGATTAAAACATTGGTAACTTTAGTTACCATTGCTTCCTTTTCTTTTGCAGCTTGGAAATCTAATTAGATGGAAGCCATCAACTTTCCATGCTTTATCTTTTCTTACTAACATTTGTCTTATGTTTTTTGTTTGTTTGTCTTTAATTTGTATTGTTACCCAAGTTCAGGACTCTATTTTTTTACTTTATGGATATTTCAGTAGCTTCTACTTCATTTCCATAATAGAAATGAACTTCTGGCATTTATGACCACAGATAGACAGAAAGAGCAAGAGTATCTTGTATCATATAAACTCATTTTCTCTGTTCTTAAAAACACCCAGTAGTTATAATCAATTATAGAATAAAATTGAAATTCTGTTGTAATGCTATTAATTCCAAACATTCCACCCATCTAACATTATGTTTTACTACTTTGTAAATTAATAGCTTTTAACTCTCTTCGTTAGGCTTTCTTGAACCAACAATGACCTTTCTTATTCTAAATCCATCCATTAAAATCCTTTTTAATTTTTTCTAATATTTGATTTTGAAAAATTTTAAACTTATTCTCCAACCTTACCTACATGATGAAACCCTGTCTCTACTAAGAATACAAATTAGCTGGGCGTGGTGGTGCACACCTGTAATCCCAGCTATTTGTGAGGCTGAGGCAGGAGAATTGCCTGAAGCCCGGGAGGCAGAGGTTGCAGTGAGCTGAGATTGCGCCATTGCACTCCAGCCTACCTGGGCAATAACAGTGAAACCCCATCTCAAAAAAAAAAAAAAAATGGTTCAAAGGACTTTACTAGAGAAGCTTTAATTCTCTGACCCCATCAACACACATAAACACCCACTTACATGTACAAACATACACTAGATCCACTTGATATTGAATGATCAACATCTTGATACTTCATCCTTAAATACTTCAGTATTTATGTCGTAAAACAGGGAATTACCCCCAAACAAGGTAGACACTTGTCTACCTACTTGTCTACGTAGTTTTGATTTCAGCTGCTGCAATGGTAGATAGTTCTTATTTACACTGAAAGATTACTATATTTTATGTACCTTGCCATATATATGAACATTTCTTCTCCATCAGAACTTACCTTAGCAAATGTACTTGGAAATATAGGTAAAATAACACCCACAGGAAGCTACTTTCAGTGGATAAATATCCCAGTCCTTTGTCTTTCAGTTAATGTTTCTGGTGTGTATTCTATGCAGGTTTTCAGAGAATTCCTAGAGGAATAGATACCCAGATATCTAGCTTAAACAGTTCTGCTAAAGCTGTACCATTTATAGAAGGAATCTGCTTCCCTGTCTCACTCTCCGCACTGCAATTCTTCTTTCTGGAATCACCTTCAAAATAAATTACGCACATACAAGCTGTTGTCTCCAGCTCTCATTTTAGAAGAATCAAATCTAATACTATAACGAACAAATCTAACACTGATTCAGTTTTATTATTTAATATCCTATTTATATTCAGATTTGTTTAATTGTCCAAAAATGTTTTTCTCTCCAATCCAGAATTCAATTAAAAATCACACATTCTATTTGGTTGTATTTTAAGTCAAAATACCTCTCTTCCATCTTTTTTCTTTTTCCTTGTGGCATTGACAATTTGAAATAGTTTAGGCCAGTTTTCTTGTAGAATGCCTCACAATCCAGATTTGTCTGATTTCTTTCCCTGTGGTTACTTTCAGGTTAAATATTATGTCAAGTGATATATAATTCCCATTGAGTAGTGTCAGAAAACATCTTTCCAGTTTCTGAAGACTCAATTCTATCTGACCTCTGTATTAGAAAGCACTTTTTTTTCCTGCTCATTCTACAAAGTTGCCATTACTGTTTGTGAACTGTGAAATTTTATAGCATATGTTCTGTTTCACACAAACAGCTTTCCATGTATACCTGAGCACTCCACCATAATTGATAAGCCTGGAGAAATTCATGATTATATCTTGGTCACCTTTTCTGTCTCTCAAGTGACTTTCAAAATGTTCATGATTTTCAACTCAGTTAATGAAAATATAAATAACCTCAATATTAGTTTTAGGTGAAAACTTGAGTTGTTAAAACTAAACTTTAGTTGTTAAAAAGTTCAACTCCTCTTCCTATAATATTAATTGGCATAGTGATAATGCTTTTTTCACTTAATAATCTCTAAGAATAAATAAATTAGCTTCAGCATAGGTGGGGTCATCTAATCACAGGATACTTAATAAAATCTGCTTATCCATACCTTCATACAAAAATCCACATATGTCCACAGATACATATTTGTATATGTATTTCTTTTGTTTGTTTGTTTAATTATACTTCAAGTTCTGGGATACATGTGCAGAACATGCAGGTTTGTTACACAGGTATACACGCGCCATGGTGGTTTGCTGCACCCAACAACCCATCATCTACATTAGGTATTTCTCCTAATGCTATCCCTCCTCTAGCCCTCCACCCCCGTATGGTCCCTGGTGTGTGATATTCCCCTCCCTGTGTCCATGTGTTCTCATTGTTCAACTCCCACTTATGAGTGAGAACATGCAGTGTTTGGTTTTCTGTTCCTGTGTTAGTTTGCTGAGAATGATGGTTTCCAGCTTAACCCATGTCCCTGCAAAGGACATGAACTCATCCTTTTTTGTGGTGTCATAGTATTCCATGGTGTATATGTGCCACATTCTCTTTATCCAGTCTATCATTGATGGGCATTTGGGTTGGTTTGAAGTCTTTGCTATATATGTATTTCCATGGGTTTTTGATGTTTTCTGGGAAAAAAGTAGTCTTTTTTTTTAATTATGAAAAAAGGTGTGTTATTTCAGTAATTGAGCACTAAATTTTTTTTGACATTTTCATCTTTAGAAATATAGCCTATTCACAATCAGTGATTGTTAAATTTGGAAACTGTTCATTTTCTTGGTAAGTTTGCCCGTTTCAGAATGCACATACCATGCAAGCTGTTGCACCATGATTTTTTAAACACATCTTACAGAGAATTGAACTTAAAATCCATGTGGTGAAGGAAATAAATTTACTCTTTATCCTAGTTTTTGCAATGACAGGGTATTTTATTGATCTCCCACTCTTTGCTCACCTACTCAGCCATTATGTGCTAACCAAATATTACCTGAATTGGCTATAGTTTTTTTTGTGTGTATTTTTTCCAGGTCTACAATAGCACCACAAAACCTGCCACTCAAAACATCTCTACAAGGGGTTATCTATTTCAAGTCGTAAAGGAGATTGAATAGATGGGAAAAAAGGGAAACTTCTCTTAACAAAAGTATTACTTTCTATTATAATATCACCCTGTCAAACATTTTATCCTGTGGCTACTTGAACTTTGAAAGGAATGCCATACTTCCTTTCTTTCCAAAACTCTAATCACTCTAGTCCTTCAGATAACAATCTAGCAAAACGGATTTTCATGTTTGTTGTTCATCTATAACATTAGCCAGGTTGATGTTATATTATTTCAGTCCAGCCCAACAGAATTACAGAAATACCAGACCTGTCAGCCCTTGCAGATTAGCTATAACCAATATCTAAATTCTGTATCACTCCTTAATTGTATTTTCCTGTTTCTGTTTCAGCTAGCTTTCATCTGATTTCTGGCTTTTTCTTCCATATGCCATTTACAGTATGGGCTTTTGACTTTTTGATTTATTATCTGCATCTTATCCCCTCATGTCTTCACTCTTGCTTCCTCATCAAAGACTCAGGCTTCATCTATCTGGTTATCACTAAATGGACTTTCACACTAGGGAATCCATTAGATCAATCAGTGTTTCTTTTTTTTCTTCTCATCTTCCTTGGAGTCAGTGAAAATTATACCTTATATTAGTATACCTTAAGAATACCTCTATTTGCAACATGTTGCATACCTATAATCTTTTCAAGTACTGTGCAATATTCCCAGGATACAGGATACAGAAATAATCAAGACTTAGTTCATTAAAGTCAGATAATCTATTGGTCTCCACTTGTTTTAGAGACAACTCTCTGAGCTATGTAAGACTTGGATTTTCATCACTGCGTAGACTGATAAAAAGGTTAAGCAACTGGTTCAAGATCATGTGTCCAATAAATCGCTGCTCAGGACAGCCAGAGACCAGATCCTAGAGCCCACCACCCAAACCTATCTCCAGACAACAAGAAGTCAAGGAACATATTTCTATCACATAATGATTATCAGCATAGATTGACTAGTTGTATCATATTTCAGTTAATTTTTATCTGGTTCCTGGAATCTGTAAATATCAAAATGCACAGTTATATGACAATGTTAGAACTTTGGTGCAAATGGTTAGATTTATTCTAAATGATATACATTTCTGTTATATGGCTGTAACCTTATTGAATGAAAACTGAATATTAGTTGGGAAGCATTTGTGTATTCCCTTCAAGAATATTTCTTTTTAAAAGTAAATCATAAATCTATTTGCAGACACTTTGAAAATGTTGTGGGTAAAATATGAGTTTACCATGAAAATGTTGTAATCACATTCTAGAATCATTTTTTAGGAAAATATTTGTTATATAAGAAACCAAATATGCCTGTGAATGGCAGATGGTCTTTTTACTTTAAAGGCAGCAATGTCTCACTTTGGTCATTTATACACTCCTTCATTCATTCATCATTGCATTCTTTATTTCTTTATCATTTTACTTTTTTAAGTACTTACTATTACCAGGCTCCCATCTTATTGAAAACTTATGGCATCAGTAGATAGTTTTAAGAACGTCTGACCTTCATGTAGTGCTTTCCACATTTGAGAGAGAAATATAAGTTTTGTTATTGTCATTGTTTTTAATCTGAACTTACAGTTTCCCCTTGGCCCTTTCCCTCACAACTTAGAGTGCTGAAGGTAGGAAGCAGCAAATTTGAACCATAGAAAACAGATAAATTAATGCTAAAGGGATTTGAATTGCATTTCAATCTAGTCTATTGGGAAACTATTAATAGTTTCAGTCATTACCATGTCTTTCTCAAATCTCTAGAGATTTACCTACTGAGTATTATGCCTTTTCAGAGGGACTATAAGTTTTATTCTGCAGTTAATGGTAACATTGGGCAAGGTGAAGTGTTGACAGAAACAAAGAATAACAAAACGTAAAAACAAGGCAATTGTGTTAGGTTGAAAATGGCTTCCCCAAAAGATATCCATGTCCTAGTGCCTGGAACCTGTGAATGTTATCTTTTAAATAGAGTCTTTGTAAGTGTAATTAAGTTAAAGAACTTTAAGTAAAGAGATTATCCTGGATTACAGGGTGAGCCTTAACTTTAATCACAAATATTGTTTTAAAAATGAGGCAAAAGGATATTTGATAGATGTACAGAGGAGACAGAGTAGACAGAGAATTGAAAGTGCTAACCTTGAAGATGAGGGTGAAGCAACCACAACCAAAGAAATATTAGCAGCCACCAGAACCCGAAAGAGGCAAGAAATAGATTTTCCCCTACAGCCTCCATGTGGAGTATGCAGCCTGGGCCCTGCCACACCTTGATGTTGGTCCAGTGATGTTAATTTCATACTTCTGGCATCCAGAACTGCAAGAGAACAATGTGTGTTATTTTACATGGCAAGGTTGTGGTACTTTGTTAGAGCAGCCTCAGAAAATTAATACAGTAATATGACCTAACCTGTGTTAGATAAATTTCCTTTTAATAAGAACACTGAGAAAACACACTGAGTTAACTGGTGATTGGCTAGAGGTGTGTGACTTTGATAGCTGACAAATTCTTGAGCATTCCTTTCTTTAACTTTAAAATGGTGGTAATGTAGTACCTTTTCCTCCTTTCAGCCATGAGGGAGAACTGGCTTTACATTCTCACCTTAGAAACTAGAAAACTCCAAATATACATATTTTACAATATAATGTATTAATAGAAAACTTGAAGTATAGTAAAGCCAACACATTAGTAGACAATTCTCATTGAAAAGATAATTTATTACATTTTCCAAGAGTAGGGGGTGTGCCTCACAATTTTTTTTTAAATTTTACTTTAAATTCTGGGATACATGTGCAGAATATGCAGGTTTGTTACATAGGTATAGATGTGCCATGGTGGTTTGCTGCACCGATCAACCCATCTTCTAGGTTTTAAGCCCCACATGCATTAGGTATTGGTCCTAATGCTCTCCCTCACCTTGCCCCCCAGTCCCCGACAGGCTCCTGTGTGTGATATTCCCTTCCCTGTGTCTCTGTGTTCTCATTGTTCAACTCCCACTTATAAGTGAGAACATGCAGTGTTTGGTTTTCTCTTCCTGTGTTTGCTGAGAATGATGGCTTCCAGCTTCAAAAAGCAGGGGTTACAATCCTAGTCTCTGATAAAACAGACTTTAAACCAACAAAGATTAAAAAAGACAAAGAGGGGCATTACATAATGGTAAAGGGATCAATGCAACGAGAAGAGCTAACTATCCTAAATATATACGCACCCAATACAAGAGCACCCAGATTCATAAAACAAGCTCTTAGAGACCTACAAAGAGACTTACACTCCCACACAATAATAGTGGGAGACTTTAATACCCCACTGTCAATATTAGATCAACGAGACAGGAAAATAACAAGGACATTCAGGACTTGAACTCAGTTCTGGACCAAGCAGACCTAATAGACATATACAGAACTTTCCACCCCAAATCAACAGAATATACATTCTTCTCAGTACCACATAGCACTTATTCTAAAATTGACCACATAATTGGAAGTAAAACACTCCTCAGCAAATGCAAAAGACTGGAAATCATAACAGTCTCTCAGACCACAGTGCAATCAAATTAGAACTCAGGATTAAGAAACTCACTCAAAGTTGAACAACTATATGGAAATTGAACAACCTGCTCCTGAATGACAACTGGGTAAATAACAAAATTAAGTGCTTCACTATTATAAAGGAGGCACATGGGGAAGCAGTGGGGTCCGCTCAGGGGCAGAAAACTGCAGGAAAGAGCCTTTTTGTGGTTTCTGCAGGAAGGCATGAGCCATGTGAGGTAAGCAGGCTTAGAATTAGCCATTTTGAATAATTACTGTGGTCTCTCAGGCACAGGGACTGTCCCTATTTTTCTAGTACCTGGCCCTGGGTGACTAGGGCAGGTGGATAATACCAGAGAGTGAAAGCTGAACCTAGAAGGTAGTTGGAGAGTGGTCTATGGATTGGTTAGTTTATATTTGAGAAGTTTGTCCCCTAGGAAGAGAATCTTCTCAAGAGGGTAAGGAGTGACAAAGGGTGCAGGAGGTCAAGGCAAGGTGACTCAGGTATACTATCAAGTGTCGATAACAAGGCATGCCCAGCATATGCATGTGGGGCAAATGTTAAAGCATCAGATTTACAGAAGCTAGAAACATAGTTAATATAACATGGAACAAAGATTTGTAGACACTGTATAACATGTAGCATTGGACAATGATCACTCAGAGAAGGGAAACAAAAAAGATAAGCCCTACAGTTGCTCCAGCTTAAGTCCAAAGGAGAGTTTATAGGTCAAAGGACAGTGATGGTAAACCTGGTCAAAGTTAAGAGGCTTCATTGAGTTGAGGATGCAGAGGTGAGTGCTGTGGGAAAGCAGAATATAGACTAGGAGGGCTCTGACCAGAATGAAAGCTCATGAAACCCATGAGAAAGGAGCCGAGGAGGTTTTGGCTGAGCATTCATCTTTACATGCTTGTGAGTAAACCCTGAACTATACTCAAGTAGGTTTTTACACTGCCTACCAAGTGGCACAATAATGTCTGAGGGAAAACTGTTTTGTGTTCAGATATATCTTATGAAGCCTAGAGAAACCATTAAAATAAACAAAACAGTTATAGCCAAAAAGCCACTAGCAGAGACAAAACAGAATTTAAAAGATTCTGTTTGCATTGATCCAAAGAAGGAAGAGAAAGTCTCTTAATTTTCTTCTTTCTTTTGGAAACAAAAAAAGAGAACAAGCGTAAAAAAAAATGTAGTGAAATTTCTTCTAGTAAATTTCCAAGTTATTATGACTTGTATTACCAGGGTAACAATGAAAATGAGTGCCTCTTTACGTCAAGCTACTTTACAGCGAACTATGGTGCTTAATCACTATCATAATCCAAACGAAGACTCTGACCGATTAGACTCTAATACCATTGAACTGCTTACATTGTCTGAACCTTAACTTGGCTAATTTGGTTTGGTTTGTTTCATAGGAACTTTTATTAAGGAGTATGCCTTGGCATTTTGATGGTATCCTCTTGATGGTCATAATAATAGTCCCCTTGGCACGCTGTATCCTCTCAAGTCTTAAGTGTTTTGTATGCAGCTATACATTGAGAGTCGAATGGAGTCACTCCAACTGGATCAGCAAGAACATAAAGAATCATTTAGCTGGTACAAAGCTGCGACTTGTGAATTCCATATAAACACCAAAGAAGACTTGTGAGACTCCATAATGAAACTAAAGATGACTTGTGAATTCCACACTGAGACCAAATAAGTCCTTATGATGGTGACAGAGAGCAGTGTCAATGCCTAAAGTTTTGGCCAATCTCTCTAAATTGAGGGGCTGACCAAAAGGGGGAAATTGTTAAAGCAAACTAAATATGGTCTGAGAAGGACTCCGTATTTCTGTATTTGAGTCCTTGTGGATGAACTGTAACCTAGCTTAATAGGCAGACAAAATTGAAAACCTAACTTAGTAATATGCATCTGTAATAACAGCTGAATGTTGGCCAATCCCAGCGGCCATACTCCAACCACTCATAGACTGCTGAGTGTTCAAACTGCGTTCAAATAAGGCAAATAATAAATTAAATTTCTACTTATACCTTTTTCACAAATAAAATACATGGTTCACATGGTTTTATTGATAAATTCTACTGTACATATAAGCAATGAATAATACCAATTCTACACAAACTCTTCCAGAATATGGAAGAGGAAAAAACAGTTCTCCACTCCTTTTATGACACCAGCATCACTCTGAAGTCTAAATTAGGCAAAGTCAGTTCAAAAAAACTTCAGATTAATGTCTCAGGTGAATATAAAACAAAAATTCTTTAATAAGATATAAGCAAACCAAATCTAACAATATATAAAGATAAATCATGACCAAGTGAATTCTACCCTAGAAAGAAAAGTTGGTTAATATTCAAAATTAATGTAATTCACCACATTCATATGCTAAAATATGATTATCTTAATAAATTTAAGAAAGATTAGACAAAGTTCAACATAAAAATGGGAGCATTCTTCAAAAGGTACTAAAGGTATCCATAAAAAATCAAAAGCTAATGTCATCTTAATGGTGGAAGGCTTCATTGTTTTCTTCTATGATCACAAACATGGTGGGTGTCCCTTTATATAAATTCTATGTAACATTGCATTGGATTTCTTAGAAAGCACAAAATTAAAAAGTATAACGATTGAAAATCCAGCATAAAAACTATTTTTATTTACAAATAATATGTTTATGTCAAAAATCCTAAATAATCTAAAAATTGTACTAGAATTTATAATTTAGTAAGCCTACATAGAAAGTTTTGAAAAAAATCAATTGTATTTCAATATACTAGCAATGAACAAATAGAAATTTAAATTAAAACAATACTATTTATAATGACTTGAGATTTATGAAATATTAAAGGCAAATTTACCAAAAAATGTGCGAGACTTGTACACTGAACACTACAAAATGTTAGGGTAAAAATTAAAATACACATGAATAAATCGGAAGATTCACGATAAGAAGTTTCAATATCTTAAGATGCCTATTATTCCCAAATTAAGCTATAGATTCAACTGAATCACACTCAATATCCCAGCAGGATGTTGAGATAAAGACAATATTCTTGTCAAAAAGACACACCCTGAAGTTGCCCCAGCTTAAGCCCAAAAGAGAGTTTATAAGTTAAAGCTGATTAACCAGTTGATTCTCATACTTCAGGGTTTTCACTATCTAATATGATGGCATACATAAAGTTAGTATAGGCAGTGTGCTATTTGCATTAATAGAGACATGCAGATGATGTAACAGGATAGAGAGTTCAAAAACAGACCCACACATTTATAGTTAATTGACTTTCAACAAAGACACAGAGGCAATTTAATGGGAAAGAATAATTATTTCAACAATGGTGCTGTAACATTTGGATCTTTGTATGCAGAAGAAGTGAAGCTCAACCCTTATTTCTTTCACATAAAAATTATCTCAAAATCGATCATAAACCTAATTGTTATTTTGAAAACTATAAAACTTCAAAAAAGAAAATATAGGAGAAAATACAAGTGACATTGAATTAGGGAAAATACTTTAAAATGAGAAAAAGCATGAAGAATACAAAATAATATATTAAACTTCATTAAAAATTTAGTTATTCAGAAAATATTGTTAGGAAAATGTAAATGCAAACTATAGACAGGAAGAAATCTGATAAAGAATGTGTATCCAGAATTTGTAAGAATTCTTACAACTTAATAATAGCAAAACATCTGATTTTTTTTTTTAATGGCAAAGACTTAGACATTTTACCAAAGGATATATCAAATAGCAAACAAACCAATTAAAAACAGAAAAGTATATTTGTTTTTTGTGAAATGCAAACAAAGACTAAAATAAGATAGTAATATATATCCAATAGATACCTAAAATTAAAGACTAATGGAGTTTTGACAAAATTGTAGAGTAAGTGAACATCTGCTCTATACATTGCTGATGGTAATGAAAAACTGCAAAAAATTTGGAATACAATTTTTTTTATTATAAAGCTAAATATTCATCTAACTATAATCAGCAATTTCACACCAAGTAGTTACCCAAGAGAAGTAAAAATCTATGAAGGTTTGTATTCAAATATTCATAGCAGCTTTCTTTATAATAGCTAAAGCCTGGATAAAATGTAAATTTGTATCAACTGGTAAATGCATAAAAATATTGTGGTATATCTATACAAAGGAATTCTACTGAGTGATAAAAAACAAGGAACTAGTGATGTGTGCAACTATATGGATAAATCTCAAGGGTATCATACTAAGAGGAAGAAGCCAGGCACAAATGCTAAATACCATATGAATCCATTTCTATGAAATTCTAAAAAGGGTGAAACTATAATGATATAAAGAGTAGTGGTATTTGTCAGCCCAGGGGATGGTGAGAGGAACTGACTACAAAGAGATAGTATGGAACATTTTGAAATGATGGAAATAATCTCTGTATCTTGGTTTTTGTGGTGGTTATACCACTATATACATTTATCAAAACTCTTCTAATTCTATACTTTAAATTGGTGAAATTTGATATATATATAAATAGCACCACAATAAAGTAAATTAAAACAAAATGCCTGCTATAACTCAATAAGATGATATGAGAGAAAAATAGACCATGTATATGAAATGTAAAGTATCTTTTTTACATGGGCTTGCTTTGTTAGGCAAAGACATAGCTGAGATTAAAAGAGACCCTGTTCCCTGATGCCTGTTGCAAAACACTTTGCTCTTATTCTTGTGGAAAGGAGTATGATCAGGCAAATATTCTCCACTGTGAGAGATTGCTTTCCAGGAGAAAGAAATCAATGTTCAATGTGAGCAACACAAATGCTTCAGACGTTTGTTGATTTGAGGGTACTTGGCCAAATATTAATCTTCATTTTCATTAAAGATTTGATGTTTGGCATTGGCATTGCCAATAAATTTAATGGATTAAATTATGTGGAAGAAATCACAAAGTATTGATCGTCATTCCAAGGTTGAGATGGAAATTACTTATATTGAGATCTGAAAGACTGTACCAAAGTCATTGACTTCAGAGGGAGTTGCATGAGCATGGAAAAAATAATCCTATTAAATGTGCAAACAATTTACCTTAGGGAATTAGAAAACTGCAGTCCAAATTTGTATTTTCAGGAGAGTGCATAAGATTTAACGAGTATATTTTCCTAATATAACTAACACAACATAAATAAGATGTGACAAAATATATTGGGATATAATTACACAGAGAACCCCTTGAAACTTTAAGCATTTGTTTTTTATTTCAAACCCCTTTATCTCCTGAATTGAATCCTATTAGAAATTCCAGAAGATAAACCAATTAACTTCCTGTGGAGAAAAAATAAAATAAAAAAGAAGTCAAAACTCATTTGTTATTGATGAATATAATCTACATTCTGGGCAGCCTCTCTGAGCAAGCACCGTTTTATCAAAAGCAGTCCTAAGAGGGTATATTGGAAAATGATTTCTCCTTATTTGTACTCATTTCAAAGGTGACTCCATCACCATTGTCTGAAAGACAGTTGCCCCTCAGTAACAAATGGTCACTGTTAAATGAATCCCAGAGGTTTGCCACTAATGTAGAACAAAGGGGTAAGAACGCAAGTGATGGCTCAAGATCTATTTTTCATCGCTGCATAATGTATTGCTTCACTGATCTATCACTAAACAACAGCTGCTGGGCTAGAGGCAGAGTGCACCCCAGGAGTGACAAACACCTCTGTTAGTGACTGGGAATGTGGGCTTGCCTCCTGCCTTGGACAAAGTCATGGATCGAAGAAGAAAAACGGGTGGGGTGTTACTTCAAATCTGCTGCAAAAGGGTTGACTGATGCTCTACACATCAGCATGACAGTCTGCAGCAGACCCAAATCCTCCTGGATATTCATTGTTATCACTGCAGATGTAGCTCATCTATTTTAAAGGAGTCATTTTGGAGGATAGCATATTTAGCAAGCATTTTCTGCTTTATCCACAGCAGTGGTGTTGGAGATTGTCTTGTTTTTATTTTTGGTAAGGCATTCAGATTTAGAATCTCTTCTTCCCTTTTTGCCTATGCCCTCATACCCTGCCCTGTTTCTGCATTCTAATCTTCCCCTGCTCCTTCACTACCGTCAAATACCTGCATACAAAGTAGATTTTGCTTCATCTCTTTTATCCTAATTAACAGGAATCCCTGTTTCCATTTCCAGATGTTAGAGAGTGACCTTCACATCAGTTTTCTGTGTGTAATTATTGCAAACAGCTAGAATTCTTTTTTAAAAAGATTTTTCAAAGCAAATTCATTAAGAATCATAGGAAAAATGAGCACTTTTTAAAAAGAGGCAATAAAACAATATTTTTTGAGAGAGAAAAAAGTGCATGAGAAAAAAAGAAACTATTAGCAGTGTATATTTTCATTATTGAAATGAACATCTCTACCATAATTTTCACTTATCAATTGCATTTTTAAGATCTATTACCAATTCCAAGAAAAGAACCATATGTTATTTAACAGTTTTTAGGATACTGCTTTAAAAAGACTTTTGGTGAGGAGACATGCTGTCAGTTCAGTTATAGAAAAAAATAATTTAAAATAATTTAAAATTAAAATTTGTTTCCAATAGCTTCTCTTCCAGGATGATGGAATTGTCTAGCATTAAGTTTAATTACAAGGGATTGTTATGACAGAGAAAATACTCCCATCCTTGTTTCTTCTTCTCTTTCTCATAATTATGAAATCTATGATTTTTGCAATGTGAACAATCACATAAATTTTATAACTATACTAAAGGTTCATGTATTCTTGATAACAAATACAATTATCTTACATAAAAAACTCTCTTACTAGAAAGATTAATTTGCTTTATAAATACAAACCCTCCATCTACCCACTCATCCATCCACTTCCTTTCTTGATTTATTTATGCACCCATCCATCAATCTATCCATTCACCCATCTCCCATCCACCCATCCCTCCATCCACCATATATACATACTTACATACATACATACATACATTCTTCATTTGTTTAGATAATTAATAAGTCAGGAAGCACTTATACCAGGGACAGAATTAGGCACTAGAGATGTGAAGGTAGGAAGGTGGTGTTCATGCTTCACAATTGAGCTTTAATAGAAAGACTTACAAATATTATAACCACTGTATACCAGGTAATTGATTGAAATGGACCTGTTGTGCACTATAAACATAGAATAACCTCAATCATTTTGATGGTATCAAGGAAAGATTTCAAGTAGAAGTAGTATTTTAAGTATTGAAAAATTGGAAGAGATTTTCCAATTGTGCAAGAAAGAAAAAGTAATTTTAGGCAGAGAAAAAAATATTAAAAGTGTGTGTGTGGGTAGATGGGTGGATTTCAGTATGTTTAATTACCTAGAAATGGATCAGCATTGCCAAATACTGGTGTTTGAGATGAGGTCCACGAGAAGAAGATGAGGCTGGATAAATAGCTAGAGAGCAGAACAAGAAAAACTCGGTAGGACGGATTTTGAAGTTTAAATACTTTCAGTTGGTAGCCACTGAAGAATTCGGGGTAAAAAGGGGGACATTATTACTCTCCAAATATATAAAAGCTGCCATTGAAATCTTTCTATAATAGACTTGTAAAATATCTTGAATATAAAAACTAAATTATTTATATGTAGCACATATTGTGTGTACACACACACACACATGCACACACACATATGTGCACACACACTTATGTGACCAGGAGTTAGGCTGATATTCATACGGAATATATTATTTTCTTGATTTTACTTACTTTTGTCTTAGATTATTTAGATGAGCAACAATTAAGAGTAAATTTTCATATATTCTTCATATGAATAAAACATTTTGATCTAAGCATATTAATCTTAGGTTTGTTTAACCCCATCTGGAAAAGTAAGAAAAAATTAGCACTTGCTTCCAAAATCACTTATCTTTTTCTCCCACTTATTCTCAAGCTTTCTGGCTCTTTCCTTTACCCCAAATACAGTCATATATCACTTGATGAAAATACATTCTGAAAAATGCATTGTTAGGCAATTTTGTCATTGGGCAGGCATCACGGAGTGTACTTACACAGAGAGGGTATAGCTTACTGCACACCTAGGCTGTCTGGTATAGTCTATTGCTTCTAGGCTACAAACCGTGTACTTAACAGTATTCATGCTAATGCACTGAATACTGTAAGTAATTATAACACAATGGTAGTTGTGTATCTAAACATAGAAAAGGTGCAGCAAAAATAGGAAATAAAAGATAAAAAATGATAGACTTGCATAGGACACTAACCACAAATGGAGCTTGCAGGACTGGAAGTTGCTCCAGGTGAGTCAGTGAGTGAATGGTGGGTGAATGTGAAGACCTAGGACATTTACGGTACATGACTGTAGGCATTATAAACACTGTACACTTTGGCTATGCAACATTTATTTTAAAATATTTTTATTTCTGGGGCCGGGCGCCGTGGCTCATGCCTGTAATCCCAGCAGTTTGGGAGGCCGAGGCAGGTGGATCACCTGAGGTTGGGAGTTCGAGACCAGCCTGACCAACATGGAGAAACTCCATCTCTACTAAAGATACAAAAAATTAGCCGGGCATCGGGGCATGCCTGTAATCCCAGCTACTCAGGAGGCTGAGGTAGGAGAATTGCTTGAACCTGGAAGGCAGATGTCGCGGTGAGCTGAGATCATGCCATTGCACTCCAGCCTGGGCAACAAGAGCAAAACTCTGTCTGAAAAAAAAAAATATATATATATGTATGTATATATATATATATATATATATATATATATATATATATATATTGTGTATATATATTTTTTCTTTGATAATAAATGAACCTTAGCTTACTGTAACTTTTTCACTTTATAAACTTTGCTTTAACTTTTTTGACTCTTGTATAATGACACAGCTTAAAACACACATTGTACAGCTGTACAAAAATATTTTCTTTCTTTATATCCTTACTCTAAAAGCTTTCTTTTTTTTTTTTTTTTTTTTTTACTTTTCAAAGTTTTTCTGAAAAACTAAGACAACATGAGCCTAGGTCTCCACAGGATCAGGATCATCCATATCACTGTCTTTCACCCCCACATCTTGTCCCACTGGAAGGTCTTCAGGGACAATATCATGCATGGAGCTGTTATCTCCTATGATAACAATGTCTTCTTCTGGAATACCTCCTGAAAGACCTGCCTAAGGCTGTTTCATAGTTAACATTCTTTTATAAGTAGAAAGAATACACCCTAAAATAATGATAAAACATATAGTATAGTAAATACATAAATGAGTGACATAGCAATTTATTATTATCAAGTATTATGTACTGTACATAACTGCATGTGCTAGACTTTTATATGACTGGCAATGCAGTAGGTTTGTTTACACCAGCATCACCAGAAACATGTGAGCAATGCATTGTGCTATGACAGGAAGGCCGCAACATCACTAGGCAATAGACATTTTTCAGCTCCATTATACTTTTATGGGACCACCATCATATAAGCAGTCTTTTGCTGCCCAAAATGTCATTGTATATGGTGCATGAGTGAACCTTTGCCTTTCTGTCATTCCAACTCCATTTTGGTACTCCCCACAGTGGTAGTGACACATTTAAAATAAACAGATAAGTCTGGGGAGCAAGATTTTCTACCATTCAGGCTTTGTACCTTTCCAGATAAATGAGATAATACATGCAAAAACATCCAGCATAATGCTTTGTAGAGTCTAATATAAAGGAATTAATGTATGTAAAGCAGCTCAGACATTTCTTGGGCAGATAACACACAGTGATGGTGATTCATACCTCTGTGTCTAGGAGAGTTAAATGCCAGTGTAGAGACAAAGAATGAGAAAAAAATCCCACCAGCCTGGAAGGTGCATTCCATCAGCTATTACATCTACATGTGCTGTTGTGACTTTGTTTTTCTTTCTGTTCAATAGCATGATTTTAAATGGCCTCAGTATTAGCAACTGTGGTCCAAGGAAAGGAAATATGCTGATTTCAAGGCTACCTGACACATTGA
Organism: Homo sapiens; assembly: GCF_000001405.40. Classification (NCBI taxonomy): domain Eukaryota; kingdom Metazoa; phylum Chordata; class Mammalia; order Primates; family Hominidae; genus Homo; species Homo sapiens. The sequence goes on from NC_000016.10 coordinate 62,529,427, forward strand.
TTCTCGTAGATATATAATACACACAATTGTAGGTAGTAGCCTAGTAAAGGCAGCCATGCATGTTGGCAGCTGTTTGAGTTCACAGAAATAGCACCAACATGCTGCTTGCTTTATTACAGATATCATCAGAACATACCAACACGAAGTTCCAGCATATAGGTCTTAGATTCTCTCCCAGTAAGACTCCAGGAATGGCTGAACAAAAAGGAGTCAAATTCAGTCTCTGATCTAATCAATCAATCAATCTCTCTCTCTCTCACACACACACGCACACACACACACACACACACACACACACACACACACAAATGAGCATGCCAGAATAGGACTCTAATAAGAGCTATTAAAATTTCAGTTACCAAAGTCAGACAAGAGAGTTTAGGGCATGATCATAGGATCAAGAAACATTATAGATTAAAATAATATGGAGAGTGGAGAAAGAAAGAGAATAGATGCTATGACTTTGGAATCACACAAGCAGTAAGACAAATCCCCTGGGGCAAAGTATCCCAGTTCTGCCAATGGACACATGGGTATAGTAACCTTAGTTTTCAAATATTCTAGATGGTAAGAAAAAGACTACTACTGCTGAATGTCCTATTCTGATCAGATTTGATATAAGAATTGGTTTCTGTATGTATATGTCTGTGTGAGAAGGAATGTTAGCTATCAAACCCAACTGAGGTTTTATAATGAAAATGGTTAGAAAACTAAGAACTAGAATATTTTACAAGGAGAAATATAAAGAAAATCTCAGGTACTGTTTATATTTTTCTTTGAAATTACTCAAGTTCATATTACCTAATTAAATTCAAAATTCTAAATGAATTAATCATCAATTGAAATGAAAAATATTTGGAAAATTTGATTGAACTAACCAGACAGTTCAAGCAAGAAGGTAAAATCTATGTACATGAAGTCAACATTCTAGAAGACACGCATTCTCTTTCATAATTATCCCCTTTACAAAACACTAACTTTACAGTTTCACTACGAGTTTACAATGTAGACATATGATAACGAGACAGGCTGTAGTCCTAAAGGTAATTTATTTTTGGATTATCTTGAGTTAACTTATTTCTTTAGAATGAATTTTGCACAGCAGCTAGTTAATTAATGAGCCTAAAGACACGGATGTGAAGCAGTTGGCCTTACAGCAGTCCCTGTTTAATAGAAAATACATTTAGAACATTCAGTGTGCCTGATTAGTCTCCTCAGTCAGAAAATCCTGTTTCAAACCACATGTGGTGAGGTTTAAATAATTTTTTCCTGCCCTTGGGGGTTTGATATTCTTAATGACTAATTGTTTTCTGAAAAAGAAAAGAAAATGTAATGTTTTCCAGTAGGAAGCATAATTTACGTGACAATTACAAATCTAATTTGGAGACCTAAAGTAAAAGTAAGCTTTTCCTTAAATTCATATTATTAATAATATGATGGAGCCTGGCTATACATATAATTCTATAGAAAAATATAAAGTTGTGCATCCCAATCTTTGCCCTCAAATATTTACCATTTCTTTGGGGACATGTGCCCAAGGAAGATGCATTTATATACACTGCAAAATAGAATATGATACATTTTTACTAAATAGGGGAGCATTTACTTTTGGGTGGGGATGGATGGGAACCCCTGTCTAGAGGGGTTCTTGGAGAACTCAGTGGACACAGGATACTCTTTTATGAGTGAAATAATAATAATAAATAAGTTCCCTTTTATTTTTGTGGAACCAGAACTCCACTTGCTAAAAAAATGAATCAATATAATTATTCCAAGATTAAACTATAGCTGCAGATTCTCAGATGTGGGGTGGGAAGGGTGACGGTTTTATTAAAATGGAATACTATTTCCAGAGACTGAGGGAGGAGTGCTGAGTGTGCAGGACTGTAGATGCCCACTGAGGCTTTTTCTTATTTAACCGTCTTTTTTATTCATAACAATAGTAGTTTGGTCTAATATGACATCCAAACCATGTGACTGCTTTCTTATAGATTGTCCCTTTAGCAAATTCTTTAAAGATAGTGTAGTCTTGTCTCTACCTATTTCTCCAGCTCAGACTATAAGATCCATCTGTGCGGCCAAAGATCTAAGATGATTTGTAGCGTCTCGGCCAAAGAATAGTGAAAGAAGATGCAGAGAGTTCACTCCAGAAACTTTTAATGGCAAATCCAAAGTTAGACTCCCATTCAAAGCAGCTGAGCATGGCCCAGAATAAAGAATGTTCAAACCAAAAAGGGGAGTGCTAGGTTTAATCAAATGGATGTTGGGGAAATAAATAGAAAAGTCATGATTGGAAGGCATGCAGGGGTACAAGGATCTCTCCCACCACACCAGACACTACATCACAATGAAAAGCCTTATTTCAGAGCCAAACTGCTGATTGTAGCCTTACCTGTCTGTGCTGAATTAGGAAAGGAAACAATAGTGGATGGTAACAGGAATTTTAGCTTGGAGATGTAGGAACATAAAAGTCATTAACATAGATGTCTTAAATACTAGGGGGTTATAAGTGCTTAAGGACAAGGAAAAAGAGAATAAAGACTAAAATTAAGTGGTCCAAAGACGTGGTAGTTACGTATACTGTTCTAGGAATCTTACTATTTAAAATACATGATCCATGCACCATCTCTAAGATATTCACTATATTTTGTGTAGATGCAGAGAATGAGTTGTGTTCCTCATTTTGATACAGACTAACTTGTACTATTCAACACAGATGGTAACAACAAAGGAAAATAACCAAAATATTAAACTTTTAAGACAATAAAAGTTTAATCAATCATTTAAATACTATATCCTTTATTCTTTCTCATCAAGATAGCCTTGCAGAAGCATAGAAAAAATAAGTAGCGAAAAACTATTATGAAAAGAAAGTTTATTCACAACATTGCTTTAATAATTGTATGTTATTAGAATGTTTGTATGTTACTAAAATGACTCTTCAATGATAAGAATTGATGCCTGAATTCTAAATAATTACAAGTACTATGAACCTCACCTCCATACAGAACTTGAATTATTCCTGATCAACAATGGAAAATCCATAGGCTGGATCTGTGTCTCAACCATGGGGTAAAATATTTCTGGTTAAAAGGAGTATTTACACAATAAGCTGCTACCTATCCTCTATCATCTTTCCTTTCTTTGCAGTTGTATTTGCCTTTGTTTACTCCTTGCAATCCAGTTACCCTTATTTCTTTCTGTTTCCCCGAGGTTCTGACTTGAGTCCAAACATCTTGACTAGAATCTCAAATTATTGTTCAGTCTTTACTTATTAACAAAACTATGGTCTTTGAAACAATGAGGAGTCTCAGAACCATTTTGCTGCTAAACACCCAAATGAGAGAATTGACCCTGCTCAGATCTTTCATGTCTCCTCCTGGATTGATTCAACACAGAGATAGGGACTTGAGAAGAAAGGACTCTACCACGTTAATGTCAAATATACTCTTAACATTTGGGAAATCAGTACAATAGCCTGGATAGTGCTCTAGCCAAGCCCACTGATCACTTCCCTTTAACAGATGCTATGCTTCATGGTAAAGTTTATGTAAGTCAATAGGCAGAGATAATTAGGGAAATTTGAGTTACAAATTTCAAGAAACTCAGAAGGAGACAGAATTTTTTCTTAAGGAAGATAGAATTCTGTGGGGTGAGGTGTCATTCTCGAAGTAAAATAAGAGTAATCTCTAGGAAAACGGGAATTTTCAAGTAAAGGACCATAAATTTAAGCATACATTTCTAAAGAATTAAAATTTATCAAGTCAGATAAATTGCTGGAGTGGCTCTTTCACCTTTTAAAGCTTTGTCTGAAAATAACAGTAGTTCCCTTATAAGTGGGGGTACTCTCTTGTCATAAATCCCAACACAGAGGATGACATTTATTATAAACTGAAAGGTCTATACCTTAAAGTCAGAGAATAAGAGAAAAATGGAATGTTTTTCATATTGCTTCTCATCTCATGAACTTAAAAAATACTCTTTGCATCTTCTATTTTGGCAAAAAGCAAATGCTTTGCCATGTTGAAATTAAAATAGCTATTTCAATTAAAGAAACTCATCAATAACAAGTTAAAGCTGAAAAAATGTAAACAGTAAATTCAGACCCTAAAATTTCATATTTTTAGGAGAATATAACATAGAGTATTTAGAAAATTTTCAGAGTGTGACTTGCTCAAAATCTGAATTCTGTGAAATGTTTTTTCTTTCATGTACAATTATATAGAAAGTGACATTTTAATGAGGTTGAAAACCTAATGAGGATAATCATACCTATACTTTACTTGGCACTGTGCTAATTTCATTATATACAATGTATCATTTGAATGTAAAATAACTCTATGTGGTCTTATTATTTTCCACATTATAAATGAGGAGAGTGGAAAAAGTAGTCAGCACCTACAAACTTCAATGTTACACCGCTAAGAGGTAATGCAGTTAAAATACAAACTCAAGATTATAGGCAGATCTTGGAGATATTGTAGCTTTGGTTCCAGACCACCACAATAAAGCAAATCGTACAGTAACACAACTCACCACATTTTTTTGGTTTCCCAGTGCATATAAAAGTTATGTTTACTGTTTACTGTAGTCTATTGGGTGTGCAATAGCATTACATTTAAAAAAACAATGTACATACCTTAATGTAAAGATATGTGGTTATTAAAAAAAGTTAATAATTATCTGAGCCTTCAGCAAGTCATATCTTTTTGCTGGTAGAGGTTATCACCTAAATGTTGATGGCTGGTGACTAATCAGGGTGGTGGTTGCTGAAGGTTGGGGTGGCTGTGGCAATTTCTTAAAATAAGACTGCAATGATGCTTGCCACATCGATTGACTCTTCCTTTCGCACAAGATTTATTTGCAGTGTGTGATGCTGTTTGATAGCATGTTACCATGATATAACTTCTTTCAAAATCAAAATCAACTTTTTCAAAACTCTGCCACTACATTATCAACTAAGTTTATGTAATATTCTACTTCGTTATTATTTCAACAATGTTCACAACATTTTCACTAGGGGTAGCTTCCATCTCAAGAAACCACTTTCTCAGCTCATTCATAAGCAGCAATTCCTTATCCATTCATATTGGACTGATCATGAGCTTGCAGCAATTTAGTCACATCTTCAGAGTCCACCTCTGATTTTAGTTCTATTAATATTTCCACGCATTTGCAGTTACTTCCTCCACTGTAGTCTTGAACCCCTTAAAGTCGTCCATGAGGATTGGAATCAACTTTGTCCCAACACCTCTTATTGTTGGTATAATAACTCTCTTCCATGAATCACAAGTGCTCCTAATAGCATTTAGAATAGAGAATCCTTACCACAAGATTTTCAACTGACTTTGCTCAGATCCATCAGAGGAAGTACTCTCTATGGTGACTATAGCCTTAAGAAATGTCTTTCTTTAATAATGAGTCTTGAAAACTGAAATTACTCTTTAATTCATGAGCTGCAAAATGGAAGTTGTGTTAACAAATATGAAAACGGCATTAATCTCCTTGTATATCTCCATCAGAGCTCCTGGGTGACCAGGTGCATTGTCAATGTGCAATAATATTTTGAAGGATTTTTTTTTTTTCTGAGCAGTAGGTCTCTACAGTCAGCTTCAAATATTCAGCAAACCATCCTGCAAACAGATGTGCTGTCATGCAGGTTTTATTGTTCTATTTATAGAGCATATAGAGCACAGGCAGAGTAAATTTAGTATAATTCTTAAGGGCCCTCAAATTTTCAAAATGATAAAGGGTCATTGGCTTCAACCTAAAGTCACCAGCTGTGCTGACTGATATGTAACAAGAGAATCGGCCTGTCCTTTGAAGCTTTAAAGCCAAGCATTGACTTCTTCCCTCTAGAACCGAAAGAAGATGGAATCTTCTTTCAACGGAAGGCTGTTTTATTTTGATGGAAAGTCTCTTGCTAAATCTTAGCTAGATCTTCTGGAAAACTTGCTGTTGCTTCTATCTCAGCACTTGCTACTTCACCTTGCACTTTTATGCTATGGAGATGACTTATTTTCTTAAATCGAATGAACCAACCTTTGCTAGCTTCACACTTTACTTCTGCAGCATCCTCATCTCTCTCAGCCCTTAGAGAATTACAGGAAGTTAGGGCTTGGCTTACTAAACTCAACTTGAGCTAAAATTCACTGCACAATCTTATTTGTAGGTACAAGGTTAACTTTTTCAGGGAATGTTGTGGCCAGTTTGATCTTTCATCCAGAGCACTCACTTTATCCATATTAGCAATGAGTCTGTTTTGCTTTTCTATCATTTGCATATTCACTGCAGTAGCACTTTTAATTTCCTTTAAGATCTTTTCTTTTGCATACTTGGCTAACTCTTTGGCACAAGAAGCCTAGCTTTCAGCCTATTTCAGCTTTAGGTGCCTTCCTCACCAAGCTAAATCATTTCTAGTTTTTTATTTAAAGTGAGAGACGTGACCCTTTCTTACACTTGTATATGTACAGACCACTACAGAATTATTAATTGGCCTAATTTTAATCCTATTTTGTCTCAAGGAATAAGGGCTGAGAAGAGTGAGAGAGAAAGGGGAATGACTGGTTAGTGGAGCAGTCAGAACACACATAATGTTTATTGATTAACCTTGCTGTCTTATATGGGAGCAGCTCATGGTGCCCCAAAACTAGTACAATAGTAACATCAAAGATCACTGGTCACAGTTCACCAAAACAGATGAAATAATAATGAAAAAGTCTGAAATGTTGCAAGAATTACCAAAATGTGACACAGAGACGTGAAGTGAACACTCACTGTTAGAAAAATGGTGCTAATTGACCTGCTTGATGCAGAGTTGCCACCCAACTTCAATTTGTTAAAAACACAATGTCTGTGAAGCACAATGAAACAAGGTATGCCCGTGTATGATTCCAGAATGTAACCTTCCCGGGTGATGCTGAAGTTGTGAAGAATCAGCATGTTGTCACTGCCATAAATGGTTTCCACAACTTTTCAAGTTTTGAACTTAGAGTTATCTACAATTTGGAAAGTGAATACAGAGGATGGTGCTTGTTATGAACTGAATGGGTAGATGAGGTCCTCATGGTGGGCATCTTCCATACTCTTAACTAAGTTCAGGCCTTTGGAGGAGCTTTATTCTAAATCAGAAAACCTTTATCTTCAGAGCTCTTTCTCCTCCACAATTTTTCTTTTCTTGTTCTCCTCTAGAAAAGCAACTGGATAAAACTTCAGATTAAGCAAATATTTATTTAAAATCCAATGTGTTCTATCCTTTAAAAGCAACAACTACAAACTTAAAGTTGGTTTGTTGAAATGTGAGCCAAAGGGCAATGCATTGGGTCTTAATAAAATATGTACAGAGGTCCATGTAATCAAGCACTTATTTGAGTAACAGAAATGCCCCTGCTACTTGAATTCGTTGTCAGAAAGTTTGATCACTCAAAGCTGTGTTTCAGTACCCAGGCTACATTCTGAAGAGAAAAATGTTATGATTACTAAATAATAACATGATTATTAAATAATAACATGATTATTAATTTCAATCAAGAAATTATTTATTCTACTGCAAGGAAAATACATTCATATCCTCCCCAATACTATTAGGGACTTTGAAGCAAGAGCAATGTTTTAGGGCATGCAGCATAGATCATACACATGAAAAATCTCAAGATTTGAGTTCACCAACCTACTTTATGTGTAGAGATCTGGATAAAGAAATGTTTTTGTGGTCACAATTCTGCTACTTAAAGGGAGTGGGGTTGGGGGGTGGTAAAACTAGGTAAACAACAAAATTCTTAAAGGATTGCTTTAACAAATCTGTTCATTTTTGTTTTTGTTTTCAGTTTTGGACATACTTCAAATTATACCGACTCTTGGAATTCACTAACAGCCTTAGGAGATCATCTAATTTCTTATATCAATTTGTCCTTTAATGACTATGAGTTTGGGTTGAGCATGCAAATACAGTCTACCTCAATTTCCCTGACAAAATCATGCTGATAGAAAGCCGAATAATTACTCAGGATTTGATAAGGATTAAATAAAGCTTTACAAAGAGAATATACCTTTGCTTTTCTTTAACTTAACTTCCCTGTCTGAAGCAGTAACTGAATATACAAAATATAAAAACTTTTTTACAGGTCATCTCTACTTGAAACTCCCCAAGGTCACAGACAGAAAGGACCATGACAGATTCTATTAATTCAATTTAGGAGATGGGGGAAATGAGGCATGGGAGAGTTTAGTTATCTGTTCTCATTTTTCTACTTTACATAGTTTTATAAGATGCAAATACCAAATAATGCACCTGCACTTAAAAGATTCTGCTCTGCAGAACCCCATTTGAGGTGATATTAAATGGGCCAAATATGTTTGGAAAACTCCAGTTTAAGTATAATTAAACTCTAATGTGGGGGTCCTGAAATGATATGCTAGATTGAATTGCTGTTTATCTTTCTTAGCTAGAGGAGTTGGCAAAGCATCACAGAGAGGCAAGAACAGAAAATAACCTTGAAATATGCTTCCTGTTTTCCTGCTTTTGCAAATAAAAAGTTGAATGGCTTTTCTTTAATATTTAAGCATAAGTTTAGTTGGCTTCAGTTACTTGAGATTAACATGCCCAAACCTAATTTTTTAAGACAATAAACAACACAATTAAAGCATAACTCTAACCTTACAGAGCTTGGTCATCAGGGAACAAGAAATGTGCATATGTGTGTATATGATGGTGGGGAGGGGATGTTTTGGATGTATAAGATACCATATGGAGTGGTGGTACCAGGGTTGACTGGCACCCGAAGTAGTAGTTTGACATGAGAACTCAATGCTGAGTGCAAAAACTATACTTTTATAGTTCAGCCCTTTGTGCACAAAGCCCCTTTAAGTGATATTGCCATCTCTCTCTAATTACCACTGAAAGGGCTCCACTGTGGTACCCAAAGAAGCACTCAGCTTCTGTCTCCTCCCTTCAGCCAGCTATTCAGAAATAACTTCATAGGTATGGTCAGATCTTCAGTTCTTAATGGACTGTAATTTAAACTGGAGTCTGTTCATTGCCACTCGACCAAGTTGCTCTGTCTGTTCCAACAGAAATATTCAACTTCAACTGCCCCTGACTTTCTGAGATCACCCTGATCCCATAGTGAGGATTTCAACACTCTACAGTACTGACCCAATGCAACAAACATCCCCATAACATCATAATCTAGAGGACAACAGACATAAAACTGGCCGTATTATGCCAGGCCAGCAAATAGACCTTTAGAGATACTGATGAAGAGAGTTGAAAAGGCTTAAGCAGTGTTGGAGCTCAGAAATTAATACCCCAAAGTATGACACTTTGACATGCTGAAATGAAGAAGAAGCCACAAGTTCCCTCTGACCTTCTCCCCGACCTCCTGTCTCAATCCCGTGTGTCTCACAAACACAGGATTAAGTTCTCTGTAGTTCCTTATCCACTTCAAATCCAAACCTGACAAAGAAGAAAATAATTACATCGGGTTCCTTCCCTGAGTTTTCATTAGTTGAACTCATGTTACAGGAAGAAATATTAAAATCTGTCAACACACCTGGACAGACTTTTGTCACAAACTGTTGTCCACTCTGCTGGCTCAACAGACTTTGTCCCAGGCACTTGTATGTTCTCCAAGCCCGTTGAATTCCCCTAAAAATCATCTACACTTCCCCATTACCCTTTCCCTAAGAAGGAGGGTATATAAGCATTTACACCCCTTTGGGATATGGGGCAATCACTCTGTGATTCTCCCTGTGTAATATTAATAAATGTGTATGCCTTTTCTCCAATTAATCTGAGTTTACTGAGTTGATTTTTTAGCACATCTTCAGGGGTCAAAGGGGAAGTTTTTACCTTGGCCTCTACAGTGGTTAGTTGACAAGTTTTTAAACCTCAGTGGATGATGCTACCAGCCTTTATGAGAATAGGCTACCTACCCTTAACAAACACCGTGGCTGCTATGGGAGCCAGAAATTTACTCATTTTCTTACCTTTGGGCTCTACTTCCCAAGAAGACTCCCTTCAGCATCTATAGAGTCTATAGTGTCTCAATATAATGCCTTCAATCTCACTATAAAGTCTACAGTGTCTTCAATCTCATTATAGATTTTACAGTGTGATTGAAATGAGCCACACTGAATTCTTCTCCTTATTGGGAATTCATAGGCTTTCAAAAATCTTAGGCACATAATGAAAAAGGAAGTAATCTGTCATCACTACCAATTTCAGGCTGATGATAATATATCATTTTCACCCCAAACTATAACCTAAACAAACAAAAAGCCTCCAGTTAGAATTTATCTTTAATACAGGGATGTTTTTCAGAGCTTTACATATGCTAACATACATAGCAAACATCCAAATATAAAGTGTGCTGTATTTCCAAGTATTTCATCATAGAGGCCTTTTTTAAAAAAAAAAAAAGCATTACATGAAACACACTTTGAGAAGTGTTGAATTCATAATTCTTTCTCCATAAGCCATTGGTGAGCCTGTGAAGTATTTTCACCCACAGCGATTGTCTGGGCTGCTGCTGTGGTTTAAACTGAAATCTATTCATTCCCCATCTTTCTCATTGGTATTAAATTACTCAGGTTCCTTTCTCCATAACCTTTTCACTTAGAACTAGATAGAAATAGTTTCCTTTGCTGAACAGTTTAGCAACTATCTTACTAAAAACAGCTCATAAGATAATTGTTTTAATTGTTAACTTAGGAAACAGCTTTTAAAACCAACAACATGCATTTTAGAGACCCATATTAGTTAACTTCTGTGTCCCTTGGGCATGTTTTATAGGGAGAGAACATGACCTTCTCCCTTCTATGTGGAATATTTTTATTAAATAATACAGAAGGGATAGGGAAAAATACTTACCTTATTGGACTAGTTGCTCCTATTATTTCTGAATTCTTAGACACATATAATTCAGGGATCTTATCAACTTATTCTAGACCAAATGTCTCCTCCTCCTCTTCCTCTTCTTCCTCCTCCTCCTCCTTTCCTTTCTCTCTTCCTCTCTCTGTCTCTCAGACACACACACACACACACACACACACACACACACACACACTCTCTCTCTCTCTCTCTCTCTCTCTCTCACTCTAGGAAAAAACCTTGGCATCTTTCCTGGTATACTATCATAACAGAATGTTTCTGTGACCAAATGTGTGGGGATTTTTTTTCCCTATTCATGATGCAAGCAACTAGTTCAGCAGTGAGCACCGGGTGAGTGTCTAATTCAATTCAATTCTGACAGTATCTACATGGGCATAGCACCAGATCCCACAGGTTGAAAGCTCAGTCCCACGAGACCGTTCCCCACTTCAGTTATCAGTTGCAAGTCTGTGCTTCCAGAACTTCTGACTGTCTGGAGTTTGATTAATTTGCTAAAGAACTCAGGGTAACACTTTACTCATATTTACTCATTTATTACAAAATATATTTTAAAGGGCACAAATGAACATCCAGATGAGAAAATACATAAGGCAAGGTCTGGAAGGGTTCTGGGCACAGGAACTTCTGTCCCCGGGAGTTTACGTATACCACCTCCTGGCAGCTGCATGTTTTTGATAGCCAACAAGGAAGCTCCCCTAAACTCAGTCCTTTTAGGTTTCTATGGAGGCTTCATTATGTAGGCATGATTGATTCAATCATTGGCCATTGGTGGTCAACATAACTTTCAGACACTGTCTTCTCCCCAAAGGTTAGGGAAATGGAGCTGAAAGTCCCAACCTTCTAGTCCTCCCTTGGTCTTTGTGGTGACCAGCACCCATCTTGAAGCTACTGAGGAAACCTTATCCACCAGTCACATAATTAGCAATAAAAACACACTTACTCTGGAAATTCCAAGAATTTTTTCCAAAAAACAGGAATGAAGACCAAATATATATTTCACGCAGGTGCAAGGTGGATGCGCGCGCACACACACACACACACACACACACACACACACACACACACACTTTTCCTTCCTCAAAGACGTATCTCCCATGTACAGGTTTTCATTTCAAAAGCACTTCCTGTAATGGCCCCTATATTATTTAATATTACAAGTGTTTACTTGAAGAGGAGGTGTGTTAGAAAGTGATTAAGCTAATATTTATTTATTTGTTTATTTTGAAACATTGTCTTGGTCTGTTGCCCAAGCTGAAGTGCAGTAGTGCAATTACAGCTCACTGTGGCCTCAACCTCCTGGGCTCAAGTGATTCTCCCACCCCAGCCTCCCAAATAGCTGGGATCACAGGTGAATACCACCATGTCTGGCTAATTTTTTTTGTTTTAGTAGAAATGGGGTCTGGCTATGTTGCCCAGGCTGGTCTCCAACTCTTGGATTCAAGTGATCCTTTCACTTCAGCCTCCTATGCTGGGATTATAGGCATGCACCACCACACCTGGCCAAAGCTAATATTTATTAATCAGCCATTTTAGTGCTCACTTTATGAGAGTGTCCAAATACATCTTAATCTTTACTGCAATCCTAGCAGGCAGATATTATTATCACTTCATTTTATGATGAAGAAAGTGATATACATGAAGATTATTTTACTTGCTGAAAATCATGGGTCACATGGAGGTGATTCCTATGATTAAACACAGGTTTAGAGTGTACGTTTTCTGATCAGAATCCCCTTCCTGCCTCAAACTGGCTACCAAACTGTTTTAGTCTCATTCTTTCTGACTTTGATTGGATATCTGTATTTAGACTGTTTTTTCCTCCTGGCCAAATACAAAACAATCTTCCCATTGTTCAAAGACAGAAAGTGTCATCTGGGGTCCACACAATGAAAAAAAAAAAAAAAGAAAGAAAATGAAATAAATCTACTTGTTTTTAGAGCAAATCTAAAGAAGAATTAAAAACAAGATAAATGGCATTTGACACTATGCTTTAAAAAATCATGAATTAATATTATTTCCTCAGGTTTAACTAAGGAAAGAGTTAAGGCATAGCTATCTAAAGAAAATGCCTCTATAAATTTTGTACAAAACATTTTATTAAAAATGATTTACCTTTTTTTAATGTATTTTGCCTTGTTGTGGGACGATTCTTGAGCAAATGATTTATTGGGGGCATATTCGCAAGAGAAACCTGTAGAGAAAGTAAGTAAAATAGGACTGGACAGAGGAAAGGAAGTAAGCAAAAATGTAGTTTCAGCAGAAGTAGTCCCAGCCTCAGCTTGGTTTCATGAGGGCCTCAGGAGTGTGAATTGTTCTACAAGGTTGCCCACTAAGAGGAAGGGGACCTGGCTTTTATGTATTATATCAGTCTGTCATTTTCCACAAGCCATCCTAGGAAGAGGTTAGCAAGCTCTCATGCAACTCTCAGCTAGATGGTTCCTATTAGTCAAGGGAACTCCTCCAGAGAAAGGTGAAGGTGAAAGGAGCTCTGGCTTGGGTGCACCAGCCTAGTAAGTAAATGGGATCTAGATGGGATGTCAACACTAACCAATATATGCCTTAAATAAGAATTTCTGTAATAAAAACTTTCAGAGCTCAGAACATGGAAAAGTCCTGTTTGATAATTATGTCTTTTTATTACTAGAATATAAGAACAAAATATGATACTTATCACATCTCTCTTTTTGCAAAGATTGCCTTTTTTTTTTTTTTTTTTTTGCTATTTTCTTAGCTGCAGCCTTCTTTAGAAAAGGTTTGGGGTACAATTATTCTCCTCAATTTTCCAGTTCTCCAAGTGTATGTCTTTTGCTCTTTTATCATTATTTCAAAGGTTTGAGTTTACTTTTTTGTTTTGTTTTGTTGTGAGTCATTTCAAATTCTTTCTGTAAGTAGACTACATATATACTAAACAACTAAAAATAGGGAAATATCCAATGGCATGAAGCAAATATGGATAAATGCAATACCTTTGCAACTAGAGTACTTATGTAATCAAAAAATTACAATTTTTTCAACAGAAGAGTCCATTAAAGGTGACATTTATAAGACAAAGTTTACCACAGTCCTCATTTTGCATAATAATACACATTTTAATTTCATCTTTCACATTTATTAAAGTAACAATTCTTTAACATATTTTTCACAAGACAATTATGGAAATATTATCAAGTTCAACCATATTCTAAAAACCTTTTAATTTAGGGAAAGCACCCATTGGTCTTGACAATGATTATTCTTTCTAACCAGGCACTTAAAAATGACAAGGTCAGAGTCTTGGATGTGACATTTAAACCCTTTGAATGCCCTAAAACAAATTATTCATTATTCATAAATCCAAAATAAAATAGCAAGGTCAGCAAAGTTCATCCGTCACATTTACAACCTGAACAAATCATTAAGCTTCTATAATTATCTTTATCTTATCAAAAAGCCACTAACTCACTGCCCAGCCTCACTCTGGTCATCTGGGTCATTTTGTCCTTTTGCCATTTCTCAGAAAAACTAATCATCAAGAACTATTGACCCAACTTGGGACAGGAAGGAAAAGAAATAGCAAATGGTCAGACATTATTAAGAAAACAAACAGGGTGAACTCTGGGCAAAATTTTGAAGTCCAGCTTTATTGCTCCTACTTCTTTTTTTCTTTCCCACTATTGAAGTCTGTGATCTGGAAAAAATGTGTGCTCCATTCTTCACGTGAAGTAGGGTCTCAGCTGTATTGACTGTACAATTCTGGTATTTGTGTGGAGAGCTTTTTAGCCAAGGTGGCTGGTGCGGGGGTTACCCTAAGTACTTCAGCTTTTGGGAATCATCATTTGCTTTAATTGTCAGCTAAAATGGCTCATAACTCCATGCCATTTACTGTGGGAAGTCTATTTACTAATCAAGATTTCTAAGGCTCTCTCGGTGTGACGAATGCATTTTAAGGATTTCTTCTGATGTCATCACACACCTGGCTCACCTCTAGTGGTTGCTAATCTGCTTTCTGGCCACTTTGCCCTCCAAAAATATTCCAAAAAGCTCTTCCTTTATTTTCTAATATGGCATTAACATAAATTGTGGTAGGTAGAAGAACTTTTCTAAAGGTTTGGTGTAACAATGGAGATTACAGGATAAAGATAAAACCAGGTGAAACCTTGATACTGAATTTTAGACATGTATATTATGAACTCTCTCATCCATTTTCACCTTCATAAATTCCTCTTTACTATGAATATATTTTCATGAAATGTGAAAAATAAAAATTTCTGAACAAATTAATAATAATAATTACAAAAATAATTTTAGAGTAGCAGACATTGCTAAGCATCCTCAGGAATTACTTTATTTAATATTCCCCAGATACACATAGAGTCAATAATATCACTTTCAAGCTATGGGTGAGTAATGAATTGAGGTTTATAAATGTTGATTAAATTGTCCAGGCTCAAATTCATAGTAAATAATAGAGTCAGAATCTGAACCAAGATATCTCAGATGTTAAAGCCTTCTTTTTTAAAGAAACGATATTGTGGTTTGGGTAGCACTGTGCTACTTGTTGAGGATGGATAATGGACACTATCATTTGACAGATTTGTTGGAGCACCGAATAAACATAGAGTTTGCACAGTTCAGATCAGTGTCTTCCACCCTGATGAAGAAGCAAGACAGGAAGCTTAGTTTCAGTAGGCATCAGAAGGAAATGATGCCAACTACTTTAGCAGCAAGAACATCTATGCAAAAAGTGGTTTTTTTTTTTGGTCATAGAACTTTTGCTCTATCAGTAGCTTTATGATAAATGCTTCATGGTTATAAAAAGAATGAAGGCCTCAGTGTTAGGAGGCAGAGTCATCCTTGATTCCTTTCTTTCTTACCTTCCTGCTGCTCTAGCTTCAAAATATATCCAGAATTTGATGACTTACCTCCTCTGCTGCCACCACCTGGTCCTGGTCAGGCATGGTGGGCTCTGATTTATATCATTTAGCTATTTTTGTGGTGTTAAAATACTCCCATGGTGGCAGATCCTAAGCTAGTAACATGACATCTTTGAATGCAGAGCTGAGAAGTGCAACCTAATTGGCACTGAAGAGCCTTAAAAGGCTTTTCCAGAACACCACTGAAAGCCTGAGAAAAAATGGACATGT
The DNA here is from genome assembly GCF_000001405.40 of Homo sapiens. Classification (NCBI taxonomy): domain Eukaryota; kingdom Metazoa; phylum Chordata; class Mammalia; order Primates; family Hominidae; genus Homo; species Homo sapiens. Next base: position 62,545,441 of record NC_000016.10, read on the forward strand.
TCAAGATCACCTGGTTATTAGTCTGGAATTAGAACCCAGGTAGCCTGAATGCTAAACCAGAGCCCATTTCACAGAGAAATATTTGCATGTTCAGTCTCATTCTTCACATTGTTCTACTAAAGAAAATCTAACTGTTGACAAGAGGGTGCAACAGCACAGTGGAGGAGAGGTAGTTATCTTAGAGCCCTAAGGACTTTGCAACGGCCTGAAGACGTATTGGGGAATTTTGGTGGCTCTTTATCTCACTCATACCTTCACGTGTAAAGTGATTTATTAGGTCAGAAAAACAAGTTAAGCTTTCTCTGATGGTAGAGATCAACACCAAATCAATTCCTTCTAGGAGGGAAACCCAAAACATAATTTAATTATGAGGTTGTGATAGGCAGGATTGTGAATAACCGCATGGTATTTGAAGTAGACCAGAACTAATTTCAGTCACTCACTTCACCATTTACTGGAACTAAGACTTCGGGAAATTTAATCCCTCAAAACTATAAAGCCAATGAAATCAGAATATCTACTCAATATTGTCATAGATAGGACAATATGATCACAGATCTGAGCATATTCCTGTTGCATGGTAAATATTCAGTAAATGCAGGAGCTATTATTACCGGTAAAAACATTGTTTCACAGTACTATTTTAAAAAGAGTCTGTTGGAACTTGAGAAGAAAGCTTTGATGAATATATTCAATTAGAAATATAGAGGAATGAAATTAGCAATCTGAACATTTGTTTACCCTATAATATTCTGTCTGACTCTACTTTATCCCTGAACCTTCTATATTGTATTCCAAATTCCCTTTATTATAGTTTCAGGCCAAGAAGACAGAGCCTTAATTTTAATCTAGAAATCACATCTTCCCTTAAAGCTGTGAGATTCATTATGCAATACTTAGAACCAGGTGACCTTGGGTGAAGTCTTTCAAACTCGCATTTTATTTTCTTACAACAGGCTTATTATTATACCTAAATGACATGCTTAAGATTTGGGGGGATTATTAAAATCACAACAATTAGACAAATTTTCCAGGGATATTGTTTCTAACAAAGCCTTTATCCACTTATACAAAACTCATACATATTCAAAGGATTATGTTTCAGAAAGTGCCCCAGCTTAATACTAACTGATATATTCCAAGTAAGGAACATTACAGAAGTTCAGTGTTTGTGGAGTTTATTAAAAGCTCATGTTTTCTTTTTCTTTACAATTCACCAATTGGTAAATTAGAAAAAATTGATATGCACTGGGAACAATATAGGTCTACACTTTCAAATCTTTTATCTAACAAGCTGTTAGAAAGGTTGGCCTAATTACTTTTCTCTATTTAAAAGTGTCCAAGCATGTTGGAGTTTAGTTAAGTGATTCTGATTTTATTATAAGCTCCATAGGAGAAGCACTCCAGGGTGGCCAGCCATGCCAGTTGGGCTATCTGCTTAATTGCCTTGATTGCAGAGCATTTTCTAAAGCAACAACAGCCCAGGCAATGCTAGTATTGTATTTGAAAATTTCAGCACTGTGGTGTTTTCACACCACATTGGTTAAATGGTACCAATTTTAAAGTGGTAAGGACAGAGATGCTCTGTGAAATATGCTAACCCTTGGAACAGCTGAGTCGGTGACAGTTGTGTCTAATGGTGACAAGCATAGAGTTTGGAGTTTGACTCTGTTAGTTACAAGCTGCACTAGTTAACTAAAATTCTCTGATTTCCTGTATTCTTTCTTCTGGCTAATATGACCATATTGACTATTTTGCAAGTAAATTAGAATCTATCTAACTATAAAAGGACGATTATAATTGGCCGGGCAATGGAGATCCTTCATTTTGGTGTTATAATGAAACTGATTCTAGAATGACATGATTTCTAAATTTTCATGCCTTATCTTTCCTGTCAGCATTGCTCACATCTTTTTATATCTTTCTGGTTTGGGAACAACTTGAGGGTAGAGACTGTGTTTTGATTCTGTTGGTATTCCTCCAAGTTGTGCAATAAATACTTACTTATTTACACTATAGTATAAACAGGCAATTTGATGACTTTCTAGTTGTACTGTTGCCCTTCTTCCTCCTCTAAGCCTGACCTAGCCATGGTGAGTGTGTGTGTGTGTGTTTGTGTGTGTGTGGTGTCTACTAGGTAGGGACCAGCAAGAAAATGAGATATTTAAAGAAGCAACACCTCTTTAATCCCTAGTTGACCTTGAGATAATGCTCATTCAATTTATTTCAATTCCACAAACAGAATTAGCACTTTCTCTGTGCAGCATCCTTTCTCCCCTTGTATGCAGTGCCGAGCTCTTGATAACATACAGTAAATAGTTAATACTTAGATCAGAATCTGAGTGTCTTAGAAATGGAATGAGTAGAAGTAATCTTGTTTCACTCCCCTCAATTTACAGATGTGGATGGTGTGGCTCAGAAATATTGAGATATGACCAAACTGCAGGGCTATTGGTGGCAGAAATAATCAGCTCTAAATCCAGGTCTACAGGGCTTGCATCTATTTCGTACTCTATCTCTATGGCTCTAGAAATGCCAATTTCTTTCTCTCTCTCTCTGTTTTTTTTTTTTTTTTTTCGTAGCATATCAATTTCAAAGAGCACAGTAGTTAAAAACATAGCATCTAGTACAGGCTGTGGATTATGGGCGTACCTATTAATTCTAATAATTTTACTTTCCAGAAAAGATCCTTTGCTTTGGGCAGCTACCTCTCCAACAGTGGCTTCTGTTTTGCCTATGTGCTTCTGATCTGATATGTAGGCAGTAGTTCCCTCAGACTGGAGAAGCAGTTGTAATTCTCAGCTGGGGGCTCTGCCTCTTACTCAGCCTGCAGGTGATTAAGGTTCTCACCTGGAGAGCACTCAGCTGAACATCTGCTGTGGTATGTCATAGCTGAGGGGGGGGGCACATCTCCCACTGTTCTCATTCCAACCTAATAGCAGGAGATAGAGCAGCGTATTTCACATCTACCTGAGATGAATACTTGCAATATTGTGCCATGAGAGTATTACTTTCTTTCCTCCTCATTTTACCCTAGCTTTTATAAATGTAGTTAATCTTTATTGGGGGGTTGGTGGAGGTATCCATTATGTTAAATCAAGCATCATGGTATAGTTAAATGAGCTTTTAACTCAGAGAAACCTACCAGAGTTCAAGTCTTAGTAGGTCACATGCTGGATGGGAAAACAGAAGCAAGTTGTTCAAGCTATTTCCTTGCCTATAAAAGGAAACTCAAGTTTCTACCTACCTCAAAGAGCTATTTTGTATGCCTGATGACATTTCCTCATTCATTCATTTAAGAATTATTTATTGAGTATACCCTGTCAGGAAATCCACTAGGTTGTGGTATAGAGTAGTGAAAATAACTAATGCTTATATAGCACTATAATTATAAAGACTTTTTTCCTCAAAAAATATATTTTAAAAAAGTTGGCCCTAGTCAAATCAAGAGTTCACAGGCATTTGGATATTTTCTTTCCCGATAAGCAAATGCCTTACAGTTTGACAAATACAATTAATATTTAAAATTATGGCCTTAAAGCAACTGAATATCTCAAAATGCCTTGTAAACTACAGGCAGTTTTAGTGCTGTTAACTCCTTCGCCACCCTTACAGGCTGTGTCCAATCAGTTTCCCAGTTCTGGAAATGAGCGATGTTGTGCACAATTTCTCATGTTAATTCTGTTCTTTCTAGTCCCACTCATGCCATTGCAATTCAGATCCTTTACCCACATACACATTTTTGCAAAATTCTGCAGGCTGACTTCGCTGACTAGTCTCTCTCTTTTTCAGCCCAAAAAACATGATGGTCTCTGATTATTCAGTAATAAATATTGGGAGTGTCACTTGACTGCTCAAAGACCTCTAAGTATATCCTCTATCAATTATAATAGATTTAAACTTTTTAGCATAGCATTCAAGACCCTCAGTATCTTCATTTACGCATGCCAGTACTTGCCTATTTAAGCCTTTTATTTCATCCAATCTCAAGTACTCATCTGTTCATTTATTCAAGCATCTGCTAAATCCAAGCAATTATTAAACACCCATGTGTTCCTGTCTCTGCTGCCTACTAGATTGCATAGGCTGTTTAACTTACCCTAAAGTTAAGTTATGGTATCATTTAAATAAAGATTGTAATCACCACCACACAAGAAAATATAACTCTAAAGATTAAATACGCTCATGTACCTAAGGTATAAGTAGAGTTCCACCAATAATGTATACTTCTTATTGTTCTTATTACTTTAATTGAGTATAATATTTTACAGATAACATTTGTTTAAATTTAGAACATTTTTGGCAATTCATTTATTGCAAATGAGTTAACTCCTAGAATTTTCAACTAAATAAAATAGAGCACTCACAAACATCTTGTTTATTGTTCAATAGCACTAATTTTGATTTTGTTTATTCTTATTTCTGGTGTTCACCTTAAGTCCTACAAGGTAGCATATGGAGCCTAACAGTTGCTTCTGGGGCAGATGGACAGATCTAAAAAGGAGCTACAGGATTATAAAAATGCAGAGAAAAAGGGAGCTCGATGTTGGACCAAGAATTGGAATTACAGGGCCAAATAGTCACTGAGAGAAACAATAAGGGTGTTCTTAGTTAAGAACTGAAAGGAATTGTTAGAACAAACAGGCAATGGAAAGGCAGCAATTGTTTGGAGAAAGGCCCAAGCTGAGGATTTCTGATTCCATTGACAATATTTTGTCTAAACATGTGGGATCCTTTGAAGTTCGAACCTGTCTTTCCTTGAAGGTGCTCAAGTATCGGAGGGTACCCCAAAAGAAACGTATTTTATGCAAATGTGTGTCCAGGAGAAGTGAGAGATTGATTAGAGTAGCATTGAATTAAATAGGGAAGGTAGGTTATAGGAGACATTTTCAGCCCCAACACTTCCTTCCTTCCTTTTTCCTTTCCTTCCTTTCTACATCCCCTTCTCCCTCCATTTTGGCTCTCTTCCTCTCTTTTTTCTCCTTCCCTTCCTCCCTCTCACCCTCCCTCCCTTCCTTCCTTCTTCTGTCCCTGCTTGCTTGTTTCTGCTTGTCCTTCTGGGTGCTGCTTGCCTTTATCAGGAGAATAATATGCACCAAGTAGCTGCAGACTCTCTAGTGCAGACCCCAAAATCAGACAGGTGCAGCCAACCTGAACTCAACCAACAGCCTGAAAGAAAGTTCCTGCCAATCTTTAGACCATGAGTAAGAAATAAGTGCATATTATTGTATGCCACAGAGATTCTTTGGTTGTTTGCTATGCAGGAAAAGCCGACACTAGAACTAATACAATTTCAAACGTTCTAAATAATACTTCTTTGGAGTTAAAAAAAAAATAAAACCAGAACAAAACATATTCTGTGAACCTCAATATCTACAATAACATACTTTATAAAAGGGAAGAAAAATGAAATAATCCAAATGTCTAGCAAGTCCTGGGTCTCTCATAGTCTTAGGGTTTCCTCTACTCATCTTTCTGGATTAAATTTTTCTGTTTAAAATACTTAACTGTGGTTAGTCTTTTCCTGGCTGACCATGACTAAGCTGATATGTACAATTTTTGCCCCCATGAAATAGAAAGAAAAATCAATAATTAGAGAGTTTGTATAATTTAACTAGGAAAATGTGAGAGAGTTAGAGGGACTGCAGTCTGCTCATTCTGCTTTTTTATTTTTTTTCTTCAAACTTGTACAGTGTCGTTTTAATCTTTGGAAAACTCGGTACCGTAACACAAGAGTGGTTACCTCACTCTTAACCAGCTTCTTTCTCTTACTTCCGCCCTCCCTTCCTCCCTTCATCCCTTCCTCCCCCTCCCTCCCTGCCCTCCCTCCCTCCCTCCCTTCCTTCCTTCTCTTTCTCTTTCTTTCTCTTTCTCTTTGTTCCTTTTTCTTTTCTTTTCTCATCTTTTATTTCTTTTCTTCTCTTTCTTTCTCCCTCCCTTCCCCTCCCCTTCTCTCCCCTCCTCTCCTTCTCCCTTCCCTGTCCTTCCATCCCCTCCCCTCCCCTTTTTTATTCTCTTCTCCTTTCCCTTCCCTTCCCTCCCCTCCCCTCCCTTCCCCTCCCCTTCCCTTTCTTTCCTTTTCCTTCTCTTCCCTTCCCCCTTTCCTTTCCTTGTTCTTTTTTCCTTCCCTTTCCTTTTTCCCCTTCCATTTTCTCCCCTTCTCTCCCCTCCTCTCCTTTCCCTTCCTTCCCCTGCCATCCCCTCCCCTCCCTTCTTCTCCCCTTCCCTTCACTTCCCTTCCTCTTCTCCTTCCTTTTGATTTACACTTTTCTGATTATCAGTGATATTGAACACTTTTCATATATTTCTTTCCAATTGATACATCTTCTTTTGAGAAATGTCTATTCAGATATTTTGCCCATTTTTAATCAGATTATTAGATTTTTTTCCTATTGAGTTGTTTGAAATCCTGTATTGTTTATTAATCCCTTGTCAGATTAATAGTTTGAAAATTTTTTTTACATTCTGTGGGTTGTGCCTTCACTTTGTTGATTGTTTTCTTTGCTATTTAGAAGCTTTCAAATTTGATGTGATCTCATTTGCCAGTTTTTGCTTTGATTGCCTGTATTTGTGGGGTAGTACTCAAGAGATCTTTGCCCAGTTCTATGTCCTGTAGAGTTTCCTCAATGTTTTCTTTAAGTAGTTTCATAGTTTGAAGACTTAAATTTAAGTATTTAATACATTTTTATTTAAATGTTGCATATGAAGAGAGATAGGAATCTAGTTTCATTCTTCTGTATATGGATATCCAGTTTTGCCATCACCATTTATTGAAGAGGCTACCTTTTCCGTAATATGTGTTCTTCGCAACTTTGTTAAAAATAAGTTTACTGTAGATGTATGGATTTATTTATAGGTTCTCTATTCTGTTTCATTTGTCTATGTGTCTGTTTTTATGCCAGTACCATGCTGTTTTGGTTACTGTAGCTCTGTGGTATAATTTTTTGTATTATTATACTTTAAGTTCTAGGGTACATGTGCACAACGTGCAGGTTTGTTAAATATGTATATATGTGCCATGTTGGTGTGCTGCACCCATTAACTCCTCATTTACATTAGGTATATCTCCTAATGCTATCCTTACCCCCTCTCCCAACCCCACGACAGGCCCCGGTGTGTGATGTTCCACTTCCTGTGTCCAAGTGTTCTCATTGTTCAATTCCCACCTATGAGCGAGAATATGCGGTGTTTGGTGTTTCGTCCTTGCGATAGTTTGCTGAGAATGATGGTTTCCAGCTTCATCCATGTCCCTACAAAGGACATGAACTCATCATCTTTTATGGCTGCATAATATTCCACGGTGTATATGTGCCACATTTTCTTAATCCAGTCTATCATTGATGGACATTTGGGTTGGTTCCAAGTCTTTGCTATTGTGAATAGTGCCGCAATAAACATACGTGTGCATGTGTCTTTATAGCAGCATGATTTATAATCCTTTGGGTATATATACCCAGTAATGGGATGGCTGGGTCAAATGGTATTTCTAGTTGTAGATCCTTGAGGAATCGCCACACTGTCTTCCACAATGGTTGAACTAGTTTACAGCCCCACCAACAGTGTACAAGTGTTCCTATTTCTCCACATCCTCTCCAGCACCTGTTGTTTCCTTACTTTTTAATGATCGCCATTCTAACTGGTGTGAGATGGTATCTCATTGTGGTTTTGATTTGCATTTCTCTGATAGCCGGTGATGATGAGCATTTTTTCATGTGTCTGTTGGCTGCATAAATGTCTTCTTTTGAGAAGTGTCTGTTCATATCCTTTGCCCACTTTTTGATGGGGTTTTTTTTTTTTTTGTAAGTTTGTTTGAGTTCATTGTAGATTCTGGATATTAGCCCTTTGTCAGATGAGTAGATTGCAAAAATTTTCTCCCATTCTGTAGGTTGCCTGTTCACTCTGATAGTAGTTTCTTTTGCTGTGCAGAAGGTCTTTAGTTTAATTAGATCCCATTTGTCAATTTTGGCTTTTGTTGCCATTGCTTTTGGTGTTTTAGACATGAAGTCCTTACCCATGCCTATGTCCTGAATGGTATTGCCTAGGTTTTCTTCTATGGTTTTTATGGTTTTAGGTCTAACATTTAAGTCTTTAATCCACCTTGAATTAATTTTTGTATAAAGTGTAAGGAAGGCAGTGTGTAGAGGGAAATTTATAGCACTAAATGCCCACAAGAGAAAGCAGGAAAGATCTAAAATTGACACCCTAACATCACAATTAAAAGAACTAGAGAAGCAAGAGCAAACACACTCAAAAGCTAGCAGAAGGCAAGAAATAACTAAGATCAGAGCAGAACTGATGGAAATAGAGACACAAAAAACCCTTCAAAAAATCAATGAATCCAGGAGTTGTTTTTTTTTTTTTAAAGATCGACAAAATTGATAGGCCGCTAGCAAGACTAATAAAGAAGAAAAGAGAGAAGAATCAAATAGACACAATAAAAAAATGATAAAGGGGATATCACCACCAATCCCACAGAAATACAAACTACCATCAGAGAATAAAATAAACACCTCTACACAAATAAACTAGAAAATCTAGAAGAAATGGATAAATTCCTCGGCACATACACCCTCCCAAGACTAAACCAGGAAGAAGTTGAATCCCTGAATAGACCAATAACAGGCTCTGAAATTGAGGCAATAATTAATAGCCTGCCAACCAAAAAAAGTCCAGGACCAGATGGATTCACAGCCGAATTCTACCAGAGGTACAAGGGGGAGCTGGTACAATTCCTTCTGAAACTATTCCAATCAATAGAAAAAGAGGGAATCCTCCCTAACTCATTTTATGAGGCCAGCATCATCCTGATACCAAAGCCTGGCAGAGACACAACAAAAAGAGAATTTTAGACCAATATCCCTGATGAACAACAATGCAAAAATCCTCAGTAAAATACTGGCAAACCAAATCCAGCAGCACATCAAAAAGCTTATCCACCATGATCAAGTGGGCTTCATCCCTGGGATGGAAGGCTGGTTCAACAAATGCAAATCAATAAATGTAATCCAGCATATAAACTGAACCAAAGACAAGAGCCACGATTATTTCAATAAATGTAGAAAAGGCCTTTGACAAAATTCAACAGCCCTTCATGCTAAAAACTCTCAATAAATTAGGTGTTGATGGGACTTATCTCAAAATAATAAGAGCTATTTCAAACCCACAGCCAATATCATACTGAATGGGCAAAAACTGGAAGCATTCCCTTTGAAAACTGGCATGAGGCAGGGATGCCCTCTCTCACCACTCCTATTCAACATAGTGTTGGAAGTTCTGGCCAGGGCAATCAGGCAGGAGAAAGAAATAAAGGGTATTCAATTAGGAAAAGAGGAAGTCAAATTGTCCTTGTTTGCAGATGACATGATTGTATATTTAGAAAACCCCATCATCTCAGCCCAAAATCTCCTCAAGCTGATAAGCAACTTCAGCAAAGTCTCAGGATACAAAATCAATGTGCAAAAATCACACGCATTCTTATACACCAATAACAGACAAACAGAGAGCCAAATCATGAGTGAACTCCCATTCACAATTGCTTCAAAGAGAATAAAATACCTAGGAATCCAACTTACAAGGGATGTGAAGGACCTCTTCAAGGAGAACTACAAACCACTGCTCAACGAAATAAAAGAGGACACAAATGGAAGAATATTCCATGCTCATGGATAGGAAGAATCAATATCGTGAAAATGGCCATACTGCCCCAGGTAATTTATAGATTCAATGCCATCCCCATCAAGCTACCAATGACTTTCTTCACAGAATTGGAAAAAATTACTTTAAAGTTCATATGGAACCAAAGAAGAGCCCGCATTGCCAAGTCAATCCTAAGCCAAAAGAACAAAGCTGGAGGCATCACGCTACCTGACTTCAAACTATACTGCAAGGCTACAGTAACCAAAACAGCATGGTACTGGTTCCAAAACAGAGATATAGACCAATGGAACAGAACAGAGCCCTCAGAAATAATACCACACATCTACAACCATCTGATCTTTGACAAACCTGACAAAAACAAGAAATGGGGAAAGGATTCCCTATTTAATAAATGGTGCTGGGAAAACTGGCTAGCCATATGTAGAAAGCTCTGTGGTATAATTTGATGTCAGGTAATTTGATTTCTTTAGTTCTGTTCTTTCTGCTCAGGATGGCTTTGGCTATTCTGGGTCTTTCATGGTTCCATAAAAATTTTCAAATTATTTTTCTGTTTCTACGAAGAATGCCAATAATATTTTGATAGAGATTGCATTTAATCTATAGATTGCTTTGGGTGGCATGGATATTTTAACAATATTGTTTCTTTCAATCCATGAACATAAAATGTCTTTACATTTTTATGTGTTCCCTTCAATTTCTTTCAACAATGATTTATAGTTTTCATTGGTCTATCCTTAAGAAAAATTCATTTGCTGAGAAAAAGAATGCATATTGTGTAGCTGTTGGATGAAATGTTCTGCAAATATTTATTAGGCCCATTTGGTCTATAGTGCAGACTAAATCTGATGTTTCTTTGTTGATTTTTCATATGGATGATATATGCAATGCTGAAAGTGGGGTGTTGAAGTCTCCCTCTATTATTGTATTGGAATCTATCTATCCCTTTAGCCTAATAATATTTGCTTTATGTGTCTGGGTGCTCCAGTGTTGGGTACATACATATTTACAATTTTTTATATTCTCTTGCTGAATTGACCACTTTGTCATTATCTAATAATATTCTTTGTAACTTTTTATAGTTTTTATCTTGAAATCTAATTTGTCTGATATAACTACTCCTGTTTATTCGGCTTCCATTTGCATAGAATATTTTTTACATCCTTTTATTTTTAGTCTATCTGTGTCTTCATACATGAAGTGTATTTCTTGTAGGTAACAGATTGTTGAGTCATTCAGCCACTCTGTGTCTTTCAATTGGGGCATTTAGTGTATGTAAATTCAATGTTATTATTGATAAGCAAGGACTTATTCCTGTCATTTTGTTTTCTATTTTCTGGTTACTTTTTGGTCTTCTCTTTTTTTTCTCCCTCCTTCTTGCCTGCCTTTTAGTGAAGCCGATTTTCTCAGGTAGCATATTTTAATTTCTTGCTTTCTTTTTTTTGTGTATTTTTTGTATGATTTTTGATTTGAAGTTACCATGATGCTTGCCAATAATATCTTATAAACTGCTATTTTAAACTGATGATTATACTATCCACGTCTTGAAAAGTTATTGTGTTAATAGCTATTTTTGATAGGTTCATTTTTATTCTTTCTACTCAAAGTGTGAGTAGTTTACAAACTGCAGTTACAGTGTTATAATATTCTATTTTTCTGTGCACTTACTACTGCCAGCAAGTTTTGTAACATCAGATAATTTTTTATTGCTCATTATCATCCTTTTTTCTCAGATTAAAAAACTCCCTTTAGCATTTATTATATGACAGGTCTTGTGTTCATAAAAACCCTCAGGTTTTGTTTGTCTTATAATATCTATTTCTTCTTTAGATTTGAAAGATATTTTCACTGGATATACTATTCTAGGATAAGAGTTTTGTTTCTTTAGCACTTTAAATATATCATGCCACTCTCTCTTGGCCTTTAAGATTTCCACAGAGAAGTCTGCTGCCAGATATATTGGAACTCCTTTCTATGTTATTTATTCCTTTTGCTGCTGTTAAGATCTTTTCTTTATCTTTGACCGCTGGAGGTTTGACTGTTAAATGTTTTAAGGTAGTCGTGTTTTGATTAAATCTGCTTGGCATGCTATAACCTTCTCGTACTTGAATATTTATATCTTTCTCTAGGTTTGTAAGTTTTCTGTTATTATCTCATTGAATAAACTTTCTACCCTGATCTCTGTCTCTACTCCTCTTTAATATCAATAACTCCTACAGTTAGCCTTTGGGGGCTATTTTCTAGATTATTTAGGCATGTTTCATGCTTTTTAATTCTTTTTTCTTTTGTCTCCTCTGACTGTATTTTCAAATAGCCTGTCTTCAAGCTCACTGATTCTTTCTTCTGCTGGATCAATTCTGCTATTAAGACTCTGATGCATTCTTCAGTATGTCAACTGCATTTTTCAGCTCCAGAATTTCTGCTTGATTCTTTTTAATGATTTTAACCTCTTTGTTAGATTTGTTTGATAATATTCTGAATTCTTTTTCTGTGTTGTCTTGAATTTCATTGACTTCCTCAAAACAGATATTTTGAATTCTCTCTGAAAGGTCTCATATTCCTGTCTACCCAGAATTGGTCACTGGTGCCTTATTTAGTTTGTTTGGTGATGTCATGTTTTCCTGAATTGTTGTGATGCTTGTGGGTGTTCATCAGTGTCTTGGCATTGAAGTGTTAGGTATTTATTGTAGTCTTCACAGTCTAAGATTGTTTACACTCTTGGGAAGGCTTTCCAGTTATTCAAAGGTACTTGGGTTTTGTGATCTAAGTCCTTAGTCACTGCAGCCATAACTGCTTTAGTGGGCAACCCAACCCCAATAATGCTGTGGCTCTTGCAGACTGGTAGAGGTACCACCTTGGTGGTCTTGGGTAAGATTCTGAAGAATCCCTTGGAACATCAGGCAGAGATTCTTGTTTTCTTCCCTTAATTTCCCCCAAAGAAATGGAATCTCTCTCTGTGTCCTGAGGTGCATGAAGCTGGGGGTGACACAAGCATCCCTAAAACCACCACTGGGTCTGCACCAGGTCAGATCTGAAGCCAGCACAGCACTGGCTCTCGTATAAGGCCTGCTGTGACCACTGCCTGGATAACATCTATGTTAACTTGAGGCCCAGGGGATCTAAAATCAGCAGTACCAAGTCCAGGAAGGCTTGTGTTTTTCCTTTCAGGGTAGTGATTTCCTTTGGCCCCAAGTGGGTCCAGTGATGCCATTTGGGAGCCAGGGCCTAGAGTCAGAAACCTTAGAAATCAACCTGGTTCTTTATTTTACTGCTGCTGAGCTCACACCCAAGCTCCAAGGCAAAATTCTTGCCACTCTTCTCTCCTCTTTTCTCAAACATAGGGATTTCTCCCTGTCACTACCACTGCCCCAGGCCTGTGGTATGTACTGCCTGGCTACTGCCGATGTTCACTCAAGGCTCAAGGCCCAAGCACTCTTCATTCAGCTTGTGGTTAGTGCCATCATTTCTCAGTCTGTCCTTTCAGGGTAATGGGCTTCCCTCTGTCCCAGAGCAGGTCCATTTATGCCACCCAGGAGCTTAGGTCTGGAACTGGGGACCCCAGGAGCTCACTTGGTGCCCTGTATACTGTGGACGAAATGATACCCAAGCTGCAAGACAAAGTCCACGTTACTCTTCTCTCTCTTTTCCTCAGGATTCTCTCCCCTTAGCTACCACACCTGGGAATATACTGGGTCTCACTTGAAGCCAGTACATTTCTGAGTCTCACCTGAGGCCCATGGTGAGTATTGCCTGGCTACCATCGCTGATTATTCAAGCCCCAAGCACTCTTTAGTCAGCAGGTGATGAATCCTTCCAGGACTGGGTCCTCTCCTTCAAGGCAGTAGCTGCCCTTCTGGCCCAGGATGTGTCTAGAAATGTCATTCAGGATCTAGGGCCTGGAATGAGGGCCTCTGTACTCTGCCTGGTTTCCCATTCTAGTGTGGCTGTGCTGGTAACTAAGATGTAAGACAAAGCCCTCTTTACTCTCCCCTCTTCTCTCCTTAAGCAGAGGGAATGATGTTTCCCTGAGCTGCAAACTGTGCTACCTGTGGTTGAGGGAAGGGTAGCATAAGCACTCCCTTGCCTGCCCTGGCTAGTGTCTCTCTAGGTTGTATGTACCCCAAGTCCACTGGCACCAAGCCCAGACAGCACCAGGACTTTCCCAGAAATTTTAGTCCTTGTGTCCTATACTGGCTTTCAAGTTTATTTAGGACCTCAGAGCACATTAGCCTGTGATGGTGGGGCTTGCTGAAACTCAGGTTCTGACCACTGGGGTTAGTGATTTGCCTCTGGCTAGGGATGGTCTAAATGCTCCCTCTGTGAATGCCAGCTGAGTTCTGCCCCTTGTTACTTTTCACTGTGACAGGGAAGCGCTGAGTTCCCTGGCAAAGTCCCACAGTCACTGCACTCTCCCTCACAGAAGTGCACAGATTCTCTCTCTGTGCCACATGGCTGCTGCTGGGGGATAAGGGTGGGTGGTGGTATAGGCAATTCAAGACTGTCTTTCCTACCTCTGCAGTGCCTCTTTTCTTAATATAGTGTTAAAACTTGGTGCTTTATTCATCTAATTTTTTGGTTCTTATTTAAGTGCTTTTTTGTGTGGATAGTTGTTCAATTTAATGTTCCTATAGGGAGACAATTGCTGGAGGCTTCTATTGGACCATCTTCCCTTACAATTTCAAATGATATTAAAATTGCCTTCAAGATTTTTAAAATTAAAAGATCCTTAGGTTAACTTACCATATTTCTACTTAGTTTTTGTAGGAGTTCAAGTCTACTTGGACACAAACTCTGAGACAGAGATTAGTATACAGAACATTTTAGGGAGTGCTTTCTCATTTCCCTACAAATGTGAGAGTAAGGTAACGAGGATTGGGCAAAGCAAGAATTTGAATGGCAATGCCAAGTTACAAAAGGCTTCAATGTATCCTATGGGAAGCTCTGGAGCTGGGGTGGCCTTGTAGAATTATCCTGAATTGGGGCAAAGGGAGCAAAGCCTTTATCCACTGCATCAAGGATGCAGGATGATCCCAGGAAAGAAGCATGACTTTGAGAAGATGTCATGAACTTGGGTGATTCTTCTTTCCTCAGCTGGGAGGAGTCTTCAGAGGAGACCGAACTACAAGACTTCAGTCAGCAACACTGTCATCAGCTGATAGAATGCGTGCTCTCCTGATGAGGGGAAGATTGGGCTAAGCATCAGAGCACCCAATGCACTTCCAAAATATTTCTAGATTTGCACAACAAGAAGAGATTGTTCTGGAATATGCAAGTGGCAGAACTAATGCTGTATCTTAAAGAAAGTAAAGAAAGAAAGAATCATGCATCAACTTTTAATATTTGCAGACTTACCAATATCAGGGCTAGAAAACTGTTTACATCTTAGAATGTCAAAGAATTTCAGTTAGTTAATTATGCTGCAGGTGGGCAGATGTATCTAGGAGTAGATATTTGCAGATGCAAATTGAGAATTTTGCATGTGTAAAGGTAAATAGCTAAAATGATTATTAAAGCACGGTGGAAAATAAAATGATATATAAAATGCAAATGTGTAGTGACAAACACATGGAGGCAATTTGCTTGTGAACTTTGACCTCTACTAGTCGAATGTCTCTTTTTCCTTCTTTGCTCTGTTATTTGCCATAATGAGGCAGAGTTTCAGAGTGCAGCCTCCCTGCCCTGCAAATGACATTCACTTGCCCAGGTCTCAAGGTCAGCATTTTATAAATTACCACTTCAAAGCAGGAGTCACCATCTGTATGCAATAGAACTGAGGTGTCATGTGATAGCAACCCTACCATTTTCTTATTGTCCCATTTCAGATTTCATTAAACAAGTCTGATTTACTTTGTAGGGGCAAAGGCTTTATTAAAGAAAAAAATGAATTATTCAGAAATTTTGGTTTTTTACTATTTCTTTTATCTGCTCATGATCTTTGACTATCTAGAACCTGATACATTAATCCTGGATGCAACTTCATTACTTCAAAGACCCATGCAAATGTATCATCCACTGTGTTTTAACTTTGCACACTAATTCTTTCAACCATGTCTCCACATATTTCTGAACATAAAATCAACCTACTCCTAAGCCACTTCCTACCACTATCACACCTTTATTGAATGTCCTTGCCTTCTTTCCTTTAAGCAATGCCATTCATCCATTCATTCATTCATTCATTTTTAAATTACGTGTATACATACCTTATCCCTGGCAATATATTGGGCATTAGAATCATAGAAATGAATAAAATATGACTCTTAAGTTTAGTGGGAGGCATACCTCTGTATCAACTAAAAAGATATCTAAACTGGTTTTGGAGTTTGTGTAGGAGTATGTCTAATATATGACTAAGAGCATGTATTCCATTAGAGGAAGAGACATTTACAAAGGCTTCATGGTATTAAAAATATGGCAACTTCAGAGAACTCTAAAAGTTTTCTAATGACAACAGCACAGAGTGCAAGTCAGGGCAGGAGATGAGGATGAAAAGGTAGGCAAGTGCCATCTCATGGCATCTTTACTGAAGCAATTCTACTTGCTTTAAGTCCCCATTTGAATATATGGAAATGTCAGTTCACATTAATTTCTCATCTCTGTATTTTCTTACAGAATCCATTATAAAAACTTTATATTAAAAAGTCATAGTGTAATCAAATTACATATGTATGTTATTTTCTTTGTAGGTAATGTGTGTTATCTGTTTTCCAAAGAGAAAAAGATAAAATATGATCCTTTTCTTTTCTTGTCAACTAAGTGAAAGTATCTCAATTCAAAACCTTTAACCACCTAATTCACTCATTGAAAGGCTTGATTTGAGCTTGATATAGAGGCAACTCCTCAGATTGAAGGAGACTCAAAGCCAGCCCTGTTTAAGTTGTTCATTGCAAGTGATTGATGTGTGACTGAACATCAGAGAGTGAAATTAGAGAGCATGGGCTCCACAGGAAAAACACCTATCAGTAGAAGCTCGTACTGCATCTTAAAATGCTATTTTGAACGATCTGTCTCTTAAGGCGGAATGTTGGGTACACAGAAGAGAGTCTGAGTCTCTTTAAGGGCATTTGGATCTGGAGCATAATACAAGGCTCTTCAAAATTGGCCTTCCTGCTTGGTGCTACAGGCACAATAAATGTCCTTCAAAACACCCAATCTGTTATTCTAAGTTGGCTTGAATTACATTGAAAACCAGTTTTCTGAAGAGCAAAACAGCCAAGATGAAAGCTGTTGAGAGACACAATTCCATGGATTCTGCAAACTGCCCACTTATAGATCCAACATGTTGCTGTTCTCATGATTCCACTTAACACATTTTTGTTGCTCTGCTCAAATGCACTCTTCTTAAGGATAGAAAGAATGCTTTATTTTTGTCACATAAATTTTCCCATGGCAAAAGCTGAAGATTTTTTCCCCTTCACAATATTTTTCCCCTTTACAAATTAAATAGGAAGAAATTTGCAGTTTTTAAGCTCAGTAGTTGGAAAGTCTATAGAGAAATATTATTGAATTCATGTTTCTGGTCTCATAACAGAGTTGAAACAGAGCTAAATTATCAGTAGATTGACCATTCATTTACAGATGATAACACTGAAGTTCATAAAGTAAAATAATTTGCCTGAAGTCACTTGGCTCATATATTAGTCATTACTTAAACTTCATGCTGGTATTGTGTTTTTGTTTGTGTGTTTGACTGTGGGTAATTATGTCTGTATGCCCACTACATATAATTATTCTTTGTATTTTCAATTCATGCCAATTTCTAGAAAAATATTCTCTTGAATTGATCTGATGTTTAAGATGTACAAAATTATTCTTAGATGGAATTGAAGATTTTATTTAAAAAGGCCATATTCTGAACCAAAATTGTGGATTGCACAGTCTTCCCATTGGCGTGAGGCTTTACAGGAATTATCTCAATCTTTGCTCCCAATAACTCTACCAACCACAGAAAGTTAGTTTTAACCTCTTTTTTTTTTTTTTTTTTTTATCTTTGTTGCTAATAAGGAAACTATGGCTTAGAGAGTTTAAGTAAGTTACCCAAAGCTACAGTTCTGGCATGCAGTACAGACAGTTTGAAACGCTGACCTCTGTTTTAAACCATAGATCTTCCACATAGTAAAACCAATTATAGTATAATCATCAGTTATTATCCTATAGTATAACCAATTACTGATTATAGTAACCAATAGGAACAACACAGTGTGGAGGCGCCATAATTAAGGAGGCTGTGGGATTGTACATGAAAGTCAAATTGACCAAGCCTGGGATCCCAGGCAGGCTTGCTAGAGGAGAGGGTGCCCAAGCAACCAAAAGAAGAATTTTTTTTGCTTTGTTTTGTTTTTGGAGAGAGGTGTGTGCAAGGATATAGAGAAGCAAGTGAAAAAAAGTGAATTTCAGGAATTTAAAACTAATCCTTATGGTAAGAGTAAAGTTTGTGGGAAATTCATAGAAGTGTAGCAAAAAATGAAATGAAAGGCAGGTAGAGGCCAGACTATGAAGAGCTGTGTGATTCTTATTTTATTCCAAAGTCTATGAAAGTTATTGAATAACTTTATACAGGTATGTTGCCTCTTCCTGTGTTTTAGGAAGATCATACTAGCAGCAGCGTAGAAGGTAGAATGGGGGCATAAGGATGAACATAATCATTATAAATAATCACCACACAGCAGGGCTTGTCAGCTCTGCTTGTGGGGAATGAGGTGGAGAACTGCTGAAAGTCCTAAGTTCAGATCAGCTTGTAGAATCCCTGAGCCACAGGGTGTCCTGGTATCTTGAGAAAATCATTTCAGCCAGAACTGTGGTGCCATCGTCCATTTATTTTACATTTTTTAGACATTCCCAGGAGACTGTCTTAACACGAGGGAAATCTGACTCAACGCAAAATATACCGTCAATTTATTTTTCACTTGGGTTTATAAGAAATTGGGTTAGTTATCAACATGCCATGTATTGCAATTTGAATTTGAACAATAAATAGATTTTCTTTTAATGTTACTTATCTCTGCAATGGAATGTATCAAATTTCAAATAAATAATATTTTGTTGCAGTTTCTCTCTTTGGCAGTGTTGTGGTCTATATATTTTTCGTCACTATAATTAGTCTTTCATCTTAAACAGAGTGATAATTCATTGCATGACATTCAGTCAGAAGTTTTGTTGTTGTTGATAAGGCAAAGCTTATCATTAGGAAAAAGGAGGAAAAGTCTAATTTGCTAGAAGAGAACAGAGTATAAAAATAATATTATCCATTCAGTTGGATTGAAATCTCGGCAGCTGCTCTTCAAAAATGTTGCTGACATGGTTTATATTATATTAAAATTCAGAATTACTGCATTTTCATCAGTTTCTCTGTCTACATCTGGCATATCATGTTGTCAGCGTCTTGGGATTTACAAGCCAATGTACATTGTAAGAATGTTCCTTTAAATGGACATTTTTATAAGCATGTTTTCTAGTTGATATGCTATGGTATTTTAAAGTGTAAACATATGTTATGAAAGTCAGAATGCTTTAAAATGTAAGTGAAATGCATGAGTTGGGTTTTCTTAGCTCAATTTTCATAAGGTTTGCTTAAAAGCAAAATAGTTCCTCTGGGATGATTTTAAAATGTCTTTTAATTTTCAAAGACATTGATTATTTCAATGGGGAAAATTGTTAAAACATAAACTTTGAATAATGGATGCATCCAAAAAGCTAAATTATTCTAAAATGGGTGTAAAAAATTTCCGACACTCAGAAAAATGCTATCATACAAAACATTTGCCATCTACAATACTATAATAATATATAGTGTCATTTTCATAGAATTAGTAGCCTCACACATTAAATGGAGAAACTGCTACTAATAACATAATAAACACAGTTTGGAGAATGTTGGATTTTAATGTATTGTTAGTATGTATTTTCTGTGGATAATTTGGAGTTCTTTGGAAACTATAATCAATTCTAAGAACTTGACAATTTCATAAGGCTTTCGATAATGTTAAAATATGTATACTTACACGTGGATCCTGCAGATATTTATAAGCACTTATGTGGTTATGATGATAAAGCTAAATTAGCATATTCATCTCGACTTTAGAGGATCCTTAAAAATTGGATTTGAGGCTAAATAAAGTGAATTTCTTTGTAGATTGAAAATGCTGGAAGGAACTTGAATTGTACCTGAAGAGCATGGCAGATGAAATTTTGGATTTGAAAATAGTGGTGTTGACTTTTCATAATGTCCATTTAGAATGCATATATGAAAGATCTAGAAACACTGCAGAACTGCTTACCATTTCCTGTAAAAGGGAAGTGCATAGTGGACACAGCCAGAATGCATGGAGCCCAGACTCTAACAAAACACCTGATGCTTGCACCTGATACTCTGATGCTTGTACTCTGTCCCAAAGCTGGCTGCCTCCTATCTTAAACACGCACACACACACATACACACACACACACACACACATTATTGGCTCTTCTTTGCACAGTTGCCTAAGGATATGACATTAAATTGGGCTCTTTATTATATACACCAACAACTGCCTAATCTCTCGTTATGACTTCAGAAAGAAGCCATTAATATTTCTACCACCAATAAGCAAAGCTACAGGTGAACTAGAAAAGCCAAGTGCACCATTCCAATAGCTCAGTGTCCATTTTCAGCATGAATACAAATGGCTTTGTGAAATCAAGATGTTGATGGAAACTTTGCTAAAGCTGAGATTTTTTTCCACCCTCAGAGAGACTGTAATAATTGCATTTCAATAGAATTGATGTCATTAATTTCTAATTATTACTTTCTTTAGTTGGAAAATATGCATGTGAAAGTTCTGGCCAAAGTGCACTCTCAGGAGGAAAATTACAACACTTCGTAATCAATAACAACTGGGCTTTTGGAATCTCTCCTTGGTTTTCATTAGCTGGAAGGAGAGCACATTTAAAGGAATGCTAACAAGTATTGATGTTTAAATTTGATTTATCAATGCTATTTAAATGTATATCTGCACTGTGCTGAGTTTATTTTTCTACATTAAAGATTATTCAGTGATATCTCCTGGGGTAAGACAACTTCTAAACAAGATAAAGCACCCTGTGAATTAATTTATTTCAGAAAAACAAGGAAATGTAATTTGTGTCTTCTTTTCATTAAATTATCCTTTAGTATATTGATTTAACAGGAACAAAAAACTTATTTGGCTAAGGAAACAAAACACAGACACAGCACTCTGTCGCTTTGGTGACTCCTTTTTCTACTGAGGAAAGAATGCATGTGTGTGGGTGTGTACATATGTGTTGTGTTGTGAATGTGTGTTTGTGTGTGGTTCTCTGTGTTTATCATATTACAGGTGCTGTTTTATAAGAGAAAAACACTGCTCAGTTCCATTCAGAAACAGACAAAAGAAGCACAGTCAGTTAATACTTGCTACCTGGCCCCTTGCATTTTGATTGTACTCTGCATAAATGATAAAATTATTGTGATTACATCATGAAATCAAATAATAAGAATTGACTAACCATTGGCAAGTCAGGGTGTACAAACACCCTGTGAGACCACCTGGTTCCCTAAATAACAGCAATTTTTCCAACCCTTTAAATCAACAACTAACCTTGATAAGAGAGAATTTTAAAACCAAGACAAGTTTAACATATATTGGAATAACTGTGTGTGTGTGTGTGTGTGTGTGTGTGTGTGTGTGTGTGTGTTAAGACTTTATTAATCTGTTAATTTTATCTGTACCAAAAAGATGTAAATTACTATTTACTCAGGAAATGTTTAGTCTTGTGAACCTGAATAGGTGAACCGTTATTAAATTTAGTCTCTTAAGAGCACTTACGTCCTGATGGTAGCACAGAGACTGAGTCTGTATAAACTATTATTACATGTGAAAAAAACTAACTTCTGTAATTAACTTGCAATATTATACATAAGGCTCCAGTTACAGTAAAATCCAATTTTCCATAGTATACACACTAGGCAGCTTTACTGAATATTAGATTTTAATGAGATTTATGACCTTACTCATAATTTATTTTTTTAAGTTGGAAACGTTTTGGTTAAAGTTCAATGCAGTATCTTGAAAAAAAAATCTATACCAAGCTTTTCTTAAAGACATTTTAGAATGAATTCTGAAAACAAGAAGGGGCTTATTTGATTCTCAGAATATCTCATTGAAACTATTCTTGCTTTAACATGGAAGAATTCCCTGTTGACAATAAGGAAGTGTTCCATGCTTGTCCTTGGCTGAAGAATGATAGTTTATGACTCTTTTCCTCTCATTGGTTATCTAGCAGCTTTAATTCATGGCACTCTCTAGTCCAGCAAGCCTCAAATTTGCATGTGCTTAAAAATCACTTGGGAATCTTGTCAAAATCCAGATTCTAATTCAGTAGGTCTGGGGTGGGACTCTCAAATCTGAATTTCCCATAAATGAGGCTGATGCTGCTGGTTGGAAGACCACATTTGGAGTAACAAGTGTCTAGTACATACTAAAGATGATTCATGTTCTTCTCATTTTTCAAATGAAGAAAATGAGGCTCAAGGAGATACATAATATCTTTCTGTATGTGATTCTTCACCATGGCTATTTATTAGAATCACCTGAAGAGTGTTTGAAACGTAAGAGACTGAGGCCTCACTCTAGACTGGTAAAACCAGAATCCCTGGGGAAATCTGTGATTTTTATAACTTCTCCGATGCAGTGAGGGTTAAGGATCACTGCATAGGTCTCACAGCCAGTTAGTGAAAAGACCTAGTTTAATGGTAGACTGACTGATTGGCAGCCTAACTGATTGATTCATGATTGATTTCTGCTTACACTCAGCATATATTTGCTGAATTATGCCCCAGATGCCTTTGAGTGCCTTTAACATACAGAGTCCTCATTCTTTAGGTCTCAGTAAATGTTACCTTTTCAGGAAGGTCTTCCTTAATCATAATATCTAAAATGGCTATTCCTCTCTTATTAGGTCATCACATCATTCTGTTCTATGTCTTTTAAAATAATGTGTTATCATTATGTAAAATTATATATACACACACTCGCACACACACATAAGTTTCTGTATTAGAAAGCAGAGATGCTTTGTCCCTGTTCACTTTCATATCTCGTACTTAATAAGCTCAGAGTCAATATTTCTTTAACAAACTACATTTAAAAGGAAGCAATACAGTTAACCAGCTGCAAGTATGAGTTTTAAAAAGAAAAAAATTGTGTTTCTTTGGACATTTTCCTTATATCCCACTAGCTTTACTTTCCACATTTGTAAATAGCATCTACCTCATACAATTTTTGCAATATTAAAAGAAAGGATTTGTGCATAGTGTTTAAGCCTGTGCCTGACATCTGGAAAACATTCAGTAAACAATACTATTGTAATCTTAATTAATGACCACAAAATTTCTGTACATTTCATATTGTAATCCTCATTTAACAACTGGGAAAATACATCCATTAAAAAGAGATCATTTGCTCAAGATCACAAATACAACTTTTGAGGTCTGACCTCAAAGCTAAGCCTAAAAGCTCATATGTGCAAAACTCTGTGCAAGACCCTTCTACTCATGTTTTCTGGTTACAACCTCACATCAAATGAGTCACCTTTTGACTTCTAATCCAGTGTTCTTTTGACTATACCACTGTGTTGTTTGATTGGCAGCAGAGAATGTTGCTCTTCTCCAGGTACACTAATGAGTGGATTCATCAGCTGATGTCCAATTCCAAGACCCATTGATGAAACCAAGGTTTTTATGTGAGGCAAAGGTCTGAGCTACAATACATCTAGCTACTGCCATGTATCAAGCACCCATCAATCCTCAATTAACGCCTGTGATATAAGTACAATCATTCTCAATTTATAAATGAAGATATTAGATGTCAGACAAGGGAAGTGAATTAGCCAGGCTATTATAGCCAGTAAGACCAGAGGTAGGATTGAAACTGTAGGCTGTGAGTAATAAAAAAAATGTTTGGTGTCAGGATGGAATGATTACACTTCATAGATGGCAAGAGTCTGCTCTTTGTGAGATGGAAAACATATGGAAATCACTTATTTTTTTTTTTTGTCATTACTTTGGAGTCCTCCCAATTTTTGTAGAGAAACTTACCATGCAATAAAAACCTCATAAAATGTGATACTCTCCTAAACAGAAAGCAACGGGGATCCAGTAAAGGAGTTGAAATGCATTCAACATTGTGTATTTGTGTGTGTGTGTGCATGCACGTGTGCACTTAAATATACTGAGTTTGCAGTAAAATGTCAACCTGATAAAAGAGGTACTGTAGGAGATACAGTTCTTAGACTCAGGAAACTCAAATTAACAGGCACAATTTTATTGAAATATGTCTGGTATAAAAATGAACAGATGTGTGCTGTAGGCAAGGTAGAAACAGAGTGAAATAGGATGTCCATTTCCCTGAAGCCATTTGAGAAGGCCTTACAGAGAAAGTGACATGTCATCTGCTTCTTAATTTTGGAGCAGTCAGAACTAATTTTAAGGGTATCCCCATTAGAAAAAAAAACCATATGCAAAATCATGGCATATGAAAGAGTCGGAGTGTTTGGGGAACAGGAAGAAATAGTCTGTGGCTACAGCAGAGGGTGCGTGGGGGGAGTGCATAAAATGAAAGAAAACTTAGAATTTTATCAATAACATACTTTTTTAAGTTAAAAATAATTCCTTCTGCAAGCTTACAAGTGAGATGCTCTCTCCTCTTTCCGCCTGCCGTTGTACAGCAGGAAGGCACCATAAGAAATACACTATAAATTCTGCATGCATAGGTTAACGTTACTACACAGTTTTGAGAGCTGCTAATACAGCAACATTTTAGATCGTCTTAAAAGATTTTTTAAAATTTATTTTTCATATGTAAGGGATTGACATTTGCCCCCTTTTCTTTACTTTCTACTTGCTACTCTGTCCATATTTACCCAGCTCACTTACAGATTTGAAGAATCGGTTTACATATGGCCAAGAAAGAATACAAAGATTTGGAAAGTCTCTGGAAGAGAACGTAATAAAATCCCACCTCCCTGCAGAAGCTGAGAAAGTCTGCAGCTTGTGAAGGGCCGAGATCCCAACTGAGCCCGAAGAGGTCCCATCACTCTGTATCCCTGCCCCAGGGACTGCCTTTGACTCAACCCATTCCTGAAATAAGCCCTCTGTAATAAAAGGTCTGTTCCTACCTATGAGTTCTGCAGTGAGTCCTACAGCCATATTGTAGAAATATTGGGTTTCTGGGGTGAGCCATATTTTCCCCCAACCTAAAATAATTTGCTTTGGTATCAGAAAAATTATGTTTTAATTATGGCTTTCTGACATTTTTTACTGGGTAAACTCAAGAAGGCTGATTAACCACTCTGGACTGTGATTCCATTAACTACCCCAAATTAGGATATTTTATCTCTTGCAAGATTGGTGCAAAGACTAGCTGAAATATGCAAAGTGTCTAATGCAGTACAAGTCAAAGAATAGGGTATTCAATTAATGGTAATTATAATAAAAATATATTGATAATGGGAGGACATCGAGAAAGATGAAGGAAATGAAAAGATTTGAAGGGAAAATGAGTGTTTGCTAAAGTAGTGCTAGGAACTGTTCTCATACTTTGATCAATCATTGTATAAGCTGGACTTCTGCTTAGGTTTCAGAGTGTGATTTTTTCCTTAGGAGTTTTGTCCTGAAAACCAGAATATGGAATATTCTCCCACCAGGCTATGCCCTGCTAATCTTCTCTTCTTAGGAGTCAGGCCCAGTTCCTGGACCCCTAAATACTATTTGTAATTCCTGGACCCCTAAATACTATTTGTAATTCCTGGACCCCTAAATACTATTTGGAAGGCTCTTTTCAAAGGCTTCTAAAAAACACAAATCATTTATCAAGCCACTTTTAAATGTTAGGTATTATTCTAAGGTCATGGAAATGAATTATCTAATTGTTACAACAAATTTCTCATCTGTCCTACTTGTGGGTGAAGCAGAGGGATTTTGTGGCATGGAAATCTATACCAAGGAAGTTAACATCCTTTCAGTTTAGTTAACCTTTGTTTTACTTTTTCTGAGAATTGCTTATTCATAAATTTTGGCAGTGAGTGATACATCTTTTAAAAGTATTTGTCTATATGCACATATACACATATACATGTTTGTATAGAGATATATATAGGAAATGTATTAATTTTTGGGGGTGGGGGTGGAGGGACAGAGTCTTGCTCTGTCCCCAGGCTGGAGTGCAGTGGTGCGATCTCAACTCACTGTAACCTCCGCCTCCCAGGTTCAAGTGATTCTCCTGCATCAGCCTCCCGAGTAGCTGGGTCTACAGGCGCCCGCCACCACGTGCAGCCACTTTTTCTATTTTTACTAGAGATGGGATTTCACCATGTTGGCCAGGGTGGTCTCGATCTCCTGACCTCGTGGTCTGTCCGCCTTGGCCTCCCAAAGTGCTGGGATTACAGGCATAAGCCATTGTGCCTGGCCCAAAATGTGTTAATTTTATGCTATATGTATTACAAATACTTTTTCCCATTTTAAGTGATAAATTTCATGTGGAAGGAGATTAAGAAGGCTTCCAAAAATATGGGGTTGATAAGTAAGGTGAACAGGAAGTTCAAGACAATTGACTTGACACAAATGTAAAGCCTATGTGAGGCCCCTTGGCAGCCCTGACCAGCCTGACCTTAATGGGCACGACTGGGAAGGCGAGTCACCTTCTCAAAAAAATAAAAATCAATAAAATAAGCAGTTAGCTAAGAAACATGTACAAGGACACAATGTAACTTAACAAAAGCCCCACAATAGTGTAAGATACTGCTTTAAAAACCAGTTAAACAGACAAGTGTTCTCTGTGGGTGTATTTGTTTGAAAAGTGGTGAATGAGGTGACAAGGATGAATTTACTCAAATACCAATCAAGTTTATGAATTTTGTTTAGAATGGTCTTAGGTAGTTTTATTTTGAATTCCATTCCTTTTACTTGTGATTGTTAATGTGTTTTCATTTTAGAAATTTTGAAAGGCAGGTAATATGGAAATATAAAAAGACTTATAAGGTTACCCCCCAGAAGTGATCACTGTAAACCTTGTTTACATTTAGAATGGCTTTTTTTTTCATTTTTAGCAAGCAAACTGCCATTCATAAAGACAAGCTGCAATAAATGCAAAACCATAATACTACTGAGGACTCCCCATACTTTCATGGCCACAGCTAATGGGGCAGGCCTTGTGGGAGAACAGAGAATAGATGATCCAATACAATGCACCATCCAGTCTAAATGGCTCAGTTTATTGTTCCCTCTATGATCGCATCAACTGTTATAGAACTTCCTCCACCCCAAAGCTGCATTTCAGTATATTACATAATTGTCTGCCTGCCGAAGGAGCCATCCTTTTCCAGCAGTCCAGATCTATGCCACACAGAGCTCAGATGGGTGGACAGATTTGGGAAGGCCCCAAGGTATGCTAAGCAGGCATGATGAGAATTAATATCCCACCAGAGTGGAGCAGCATTTAGAGATAACTAGTTGAGAAGCTGTCTGGTGACACGGTCTATCTGTGGGCCAACGCTGAAGAAAAGGACGTTAAGCCACATAGAACCCATGTGAAATAGCTGCTCAATAGTAAAGAAAATAATAATAAAAAAAAAAAGCAAAGAAAAAATCCACTTAGCAAGGAGCAGAGATGGCAAGGCCATAGGATTGTATCCCCTGCTGGCTTAATAACAGCAAGTTCTTAGAAGCTAGAGATCGGCCAGGCGCAGTGGCGCACACCTGTAATCTCAGCACTTTGGGAGGCTGAGGAGGGCGGATCACCTGAAGTCGGGAGTCTGAGACCAGCCTTACCAACATGGAGAAACCCTGTCTCTACTAAAAATACAAAATTAGCCAGGAGTGCTGGCAGGCGCCTGTAATCCCAGCTACTCAGGAGGCTGAGACAGGAGAATCACTTGAATCTGGAAGGTGGAGGTTGCAGCGAGCAGAGATCGTGCCATTGCCCTCCAGCTTGGGCAACAAGAGCGAAACTCCGTCTCAAAAAAAAAGAAAAAAAAAAAAAGAAGTAGGATTTGAAGGTTGTGTTAGGTTTTGTTTTTATTTACTTGTTTGTTTTCAGGGAGGTGAAGCCCAGACTCTTCAGGCACTACTGAGAAAATGTGCTGAAGATGAGGAATGTTACAAACAAGTAAAACCAATGGAGAATAGAGATACTAACTTGAATTGAAAGAGAGAGAGAAAGAAGCAATGTGAGACTCAAAAAAAAAGTTGGGCTGAATGCTGTGAATCACACCTGTAATCCCAGTGGTTTGGGAGGACAAGGTGGAATGATTGCCTGAGGTACGGAGTTCAAGACCAGCTTAGGCAACACGGCCAGACTCTGTCTCTAGAAAAAAACCAAACAATCAAAAAACTACATGAAATTAGTCCTGGTAACACACACACCTATAGTCCCAGCTTCTAGGAGGCTGAGGTGGGAGGATCACTTGAACCCAGGAGTTTGAGGCTACAGTGAGCCATGATTGTGTCACTGCATTCCAGACTGGGTGACAGAGCGAGACTTGAACTCAAAAAAATAAATAAATAAATAAATAAATAAATAAATAAATAAATAAATCAAAATGTTCCAAACAGGCCAGAATATTTTCCTTATTTGTATTATTTGTTCATAACTAAATCCCACAGCATACACAACCAAGATAGGAATATACAAAGCAAAGGGCTGTAGATCATCATATAAGTATTTTTAAAGTATACTTTAAAAATTTTTAAATTGAGATAAGAATGAAAAGTTTTATTTAAACTTAAAATATCCTTATCCAAAATATAGGGTCCTGTCTCTTCTGGTTAACAGAGGCATTTAAAGATTTAAAAAGTAGAAAATAACTTGAGGAAAATTCTTTTTCCGCAGAAGAAAGAGTTTTTGATCATACTCTGAAAGTTAATGATCATACTCTGAAAGTTAATGGAGTCTTGGAGGGGGTGAAGAGGGTCTGCTGTATAATTTGGGGCTTTGGATGACTTATCTGCAAGTAAAATTCAGAGTGGATGAAATATTTTCTAACTTTATCCAGGATTCTTGGAACTTCTTATGTTTCCTTCTCTCCTTCTGCTTTTTAAGAGGAGATTTAAATTTTATTTTCATGTCAGGAGATCCCCAAGAGTAAATTGAGATCTATTAGAGGAATCCTAACTTTGAGTACCAACCACATTTTGTCCTATATCAAAATATAGGGCAAAATACAGGGCCTAAGGCAGCCTTATGTCACATGCCAAGCCTTATGTCACAAGCCTTATGTCACATGCCAAATCTCAAATGGTGAGAGATTTCTCCACTGCAGTCAGGTTAGGAAGAAGCTTAGGAGATGGATGGCAGATGCCTTCATGTGCAACAATGCAAAGTGACTGAGACTGAGGGCCTCAGGAAAAAAAAAATATCGGTCACAGCAAAGATATAAAATTAATGTCTAAGTTCAATCTACATAGCAAGTGCAGCACAGTCTGTAAATACTAAGCATTAGCCCTATGTAAGAGTCAAGAAAATGGATTCTAGATCTTTGTAGGGGACTTGCTTTCTCTTGGACCTCAGTGTCCTCATCTGCAAATTTTGTAAAGTTGGGGACTTAGATTAAATCATCTGTGCATGTATCACCACCTCTGTGTACTGTGTGACACTCCCCTTTGATTTTCCCTTTTATTTTCCTAGATTTGATGACATGTGATGTTTGACCATCTCACTCATTTGTCTCTTCCACTTCAACAATCCACGCTTTCCCACACCTCCTCCCTCTCACACCCATTACAAGAAAGGGAGAATAAAGGCAAAAACTTTGCTAACTAACCAGGAGTTAATTCTCTAGGTCTAAGAAGTCTATAGTCTACGCAAGAAGGTAGAACCCTAAATATTGAATTATTTTAAAGGGGAAAGTGTATTAAGAAAAATGTACTTCTATAAGATAGAAGATCAAGGAGCACTGAAGAATGTTCTAGAAGAACAGTTCAACTCTGCTGAAGCATAAAGCTGAATATACTTTAATATACAGGTAACATTTCTTTCTGCACACATTGAACAAGTTTGTAATGCATACTTGCTTGTGCCGGCCGGCATGTATACATAGATAAGTAAAGACATACAGCTCCAATCAGAGGGTAGCATGCTCCATCTTAGAATCCTTCACCCGGGTCGTAAAATGATAACTGATAACTAAATTTATCAGATATTTTTGCCTTCAATCATTAGCTTTTTTCAGCTCACTTGATTTTATGCATTCTACCTATCAGACATTATGCTAGGCAATGGAGGAACAAAGAATAAAAGAAAAAAGAAATTAGGATAATTACAGAAGGCCTCTTTGAGGAGGAGGTATCTAAAGAAGTGACTTAAAGGATGAAGAGGAGTCAGGAAGGGTGAGAGGACATGCTATGTGAAGTGTGTTTGTGTATGAATGAATGTGTGTAAATGTGAGATTATACACGAATGAATAAATATGTGGTGGTGTGGGAGGTAAGAGGATGTTTTGAGAGCAGAAGTGCAAAGTCTTGGGGCAGGAGAGGAAATTCTGTAAAATGAAAAATATTAAAATGAAAGACAATGAAAGAACTAGGCCAACAGTGAAATTCAGAAACATGAAATTAGAGAACTTCCAATTAAGCTTGCAATTAAGCTTCTCTCTTATTACTAAATGGAAACCTGGCCATTAAGTAGAGGATTCTTCAGACATGTGTAAGATGTGATATATGTAGAATTACTTTTATGGAAATAGTATACAGATACTTAGACGTGCCTGGCAATACTTTAGGAGGTCTGTGAGTTCAGAATTTTACTCATAAAAAAATTGAGACATTAGTTTTTTTGTTTTTTTTTTTTTACACATTGATACTTGCACTGATGGTGCAAAAGTAACAGTGAGTAACACTGCTGGAGCCTTAGCAAAATCAAGCCAGTAATATCAAACTATAGCAGTGATCACTGTATTTTTTTTATTTTCATGCATTTACAGTTTAAAAAGCCAATGTCAGCCGGGCGCAGTGGCTCATGTCTGTAATCCCAGCACTTTGGGAGGCCAAGGCAGGTGGATAACGAGGTCAGGAGATCGAGACCATCCTGGCTAACATGATGAAATCCCATCTCTACTCAAAAATACAAAAAATTAGCCAGGCGTGATGGCAGGTGCCTGTAGTCCCAGCTACTTGGGAGGCTGAGGCAGGAGAATGGCATGAACCCAGGAGGCGGAGCTTGCAGTGAGTCGAGATTGCACCACTGCACTCCAGCCTGGGCGACAGAGTGAGACTCCGTCAAAAAAAAAAAAAAAAAAAAAAAAAAAAGCCAGTGTCTCTTAAGAATAGCTCTTGACATAGGTCTTTTTTAGTACATTGTGTGATATATAAAACACTTCTGCTACATCCTGAAGTGTAATGATTGCCCCAGGGAAAAAACTATTCTGCAATTGTCTGTGAGCTGAACTAGCTGCCTTTGTCATGGAACACTATTGTTGCTTGAAAGAATGGCTAACAGATTGTGAAGTTTGGAAAAAACAATGTTCCCAAGACCACTCCATCTTCTAACACTGATTTCTAGTTCAAGGTTCCCTAAGACCACTTTTAGGTTCAATAATTTACTAGAAGGACTCCAAAAACTCACTGAAAGCTATTATAGTTAAGGAGAGCTGAAAGATACAGATAGAAATCAGCCAAGAGAAAGGGCACATGCAACAAAATATAGGAAAATTCCATACAAAACAAAGCTTCCTATTGTCTTTTCTTTGTGGAGCTGTGGACAGCATTGCTTTCCTGGCATCGATGTGTGACCATATGCACAAGAAATTTCCAACGAGGGAAGCTCACACAGCCTTAGTGTCTAGAGCCTTTATTGGGGCTTGATCATGAAAACTTGATTGGCTCCCCACCATGGCTAACCTCATTCTCCAACTTCTCTGAAAGTCAAGTGATAGGACATGACTCAAAGCCCATGAATCACATTACTGGTGTGGCCGAAAGCCTTCACTCGAAATCACATCGTAACTATTTGGCACCTTCCAAAGCTCCCAGGTGAACAAACACATACCTCTCAGGCAGAATGTTTAAAAAAACCTAGAAATTACTTCCAAGAAGCTAAGTACATAGGTTAATTTTTTAAAACCTCTTTTGGGAAAGATTAACTTCTTTTTTTTTTTGGAAACCGGGTCTTGCTCTGTCACCCATTCTGGAGTGCAGTCGTGTAATCATGGCTCATTGCAGCCTTGACCTCTCAGGCACAAATGATCCTCCCACCTCATCATCCTGAGTAGCTGGGACTACAGGCACATGCCACCACACTCTACTATTTTGTTTTAATGTAGAGACAGGGTCTCACTATGTTGCCCAGGCTGGTCTCAAATTCCTGAGCTCAAGTGATCCTCCCATATCAGCCTCCAAAATTCTTGGATTACAGCTGTGAGCCACCATGCTGGGCCCAAATTCTTTACTACACCTAAATCAGTTATGATTAACCAGACTTAGATATTTGGCAAATCTTTTCTCAAAAGTGAGTAAAATGATTCTGCCACGTCAAGGTAAACAACTGACAGTATGTGTTACTGAAGAAAAAAAATCAACTTACAAGTAAATGTTAGATTTTGGAAAATGTTATCGACTACCATAAGTTATAGATTTCCAATATTTAAAGACTTATCTGGAGAGATTGAAACTGGTGGCCAAGTAGCCCTTAAAGATTAGAGAGACAGTAACTGAAGTTCCTCTAGGTAGTTATTAACTATAACTTTCAGCTGTTTGCTTACCCATTGTTAGCTGTCCTTTTTACTCTTAAAATGTCATATAGCCTAACCATAGTTTCTGCAGTCTTCCTATAGATAGCCTCTTACCCTGATGTATGGATTACAAGATGTTGGCTAAATTGTTTTCAGAGACTCAAAAGTCAGTCCTGAATCCAGCTTAAAATGCTCAAGATCATCAACCAACCTAACTCCTAGAACCAAAAAAAAAGTTAAAAACTCAATTGCTAGGACCATGTCCTTATGGACCCATTTCTGAAATGAGGGGTACCTCAACTATAGTTGCAACCCAGTGCCTGATCCATGGACTCTGGAATTTCCTTCATCTCAGACAATCAACTGATGACCCCTCATTACCCAATTCCCCACCCCCTTAGTTTGATCCTTAAAGTCACCCCACTTAAGACTCATTGGGGAGGTGGATTTGAGGCTTGCTCTCATGTCTCCTCACTTGTCTGCCTCATGAATGAATCCTTTTTCTGCCACAAATCTCAATGACTCAGTGATTGGCTTGCATTGGGGAAAGAAGCCTTGTTTGGTAACAAGATCAGTGATAATATTAGAAACATGATTTAAAAAATATTTCCAAACAACATGTGTCAACATACGGAATATCTGCTTAACTCAATGAATCAATATTTTCCAGATGACTAATATATGATGTTATAAAATCATCATGCAATGGTAAGAGATCCATTCAAAGTGTAAGACTAATGGATTTTAATAAAACAGCGCAAAGTTCACTGATACGGTTTTCAGATTGTGATTTACAATTAACATTTAAGAAACTATCACTTATCAAGTTTTGATGTTGTATTAGTTTGTTCTCCCATTGCTATAAAGAACTACCTGAGACTAGGTAATTTATAAAGACAAGAGGTTTAATTGGCTCATGGTTCCTCAGGCTGTACAGGAAGCATGGCTGCGGAGGCCTTAGTAAACTTAAAATCATGGTGGAAGGTAAAGGGGAAGCAGGCACAGTCTTCACGTGGCTGGAGCAGGAGAGAGAGAGAAAGGGGAAGGTGCTAGACACTTTCTAAGAACTAGATCTCATGAGAACCCTATCATGAGAACAGCAAGGGGGAATTCAGCCCCCATGATTCAATCACCTCCCACCAGGCCTCTCCTCTGACACTGGGAATTACAATTCAAAGGATGTAATTCTTTGAACATGGAGTCAAAACATATCAGATGTAGTATCAAAAATGGATATCCATAATTATCTGATGTCTATAAAATACCTCTTTTTTTAATACATAGTCTGGATTCTCTTCATACACTTTAACCTAAATAATGTACTATACCAGATTTTTTTAAAGTTATTTTCTTCTTTCAATAACTTTGAAATATACCAGATTAAATGAAAAATAGAAATGAAAATCTAGCTCTTTTTTGTTAAGCCAGACATTAAGAGAAATGCTAAAATATAAAAGCATATGACTCTCAATGGTAATTATTTCTTTGTTCTGTAAAACAATTTTTTAATAAATATGGCATTTACATTAATGTGCAATTAAATTATTGTGAAAAATGAATGAATAAACTTTTTTCTCAGTATAAATTTCTGTTAAGATAAATACTGATGGATATAATCCACATAAAAATTTTACTTCTTGCTTTAATAATGTTAAGAGTATGAAGTGGTCATGAGGTCAAAATGGTTGATAATAGCTATTTGAGAGCAGTATTTCTCAAAATGAGTCTTATGATTAGTCACTATGATCTCTGACTGGGACAACTATAGTTTGTGGGTCCAATCTGGGCAACCCTCTGTTCTATAAATGAAATTTTATTGGAACACAAACATGCCCATTTAGTCACATATGACTTATGTCTACTTTCACACTACAATAGCAGAGTTGAATAGTTGAAGCAAAGTTGAGCAGTTGTGACAAACAGCACACACACACAGACACACACACAATTCTATGGCATGCAAAGCTTATAATATGTATTGTCTGTTTACAGAAAAATGTTTGCTCACCCTTGATTATGTGAGCCATAAAATCAATTTTGTGGTTTGGATCAGCAATCTTCAAAAATAAAGAAAAGAATTAGGGAAAAAAGAAGTGAAACACATAGATGAGATGAGAGAAAAAAACAGTGCATCACATAGTGGTAGCCATTATTTTTGGAACATTTGTTTTTGCTGTGTGCATGTGTGTGTGTATTGAGTTTAGTTGTAAATTTGATTTACTCTGGGTCATGGTAAGAAATTGAAATCTGCTGATTAAAGTGCAAGCTAAGTACAATTAAGATTCTCAGAGATGAATTATTAATATTGTAAATGGTCTTAAATTCTCCAAGGCAGTAAGTGGCATATCAATTGAAAATAGATACATCGACACATTTATATTAGTCTTACTAAAGATATTCACAGATATTTATGGCAAAACAACTCCAACAGTTTTTGTAGAATGCGAATTTCCCCTAACTGTACAGATTTGGTTATGCTTTATAGCCTGTTATTTTAAGAAGTATACAATGTCATTTTTCTCTATATATGTCATTGTAGATACCGAGTTTGTTTCTTAATCTGAAATTTGTCTTTTTTGCAATGTGTGTTATATTGTTAATATACAAATCACTTCAGAACGTGAATACCTTTAAAGTGATATATATGTATA
Source organism: Homo sapiens (assembly GCF_000001405.40). Lineage (NCBI taxonomy): Eukaryota > Metazoa > Chordata > Mammalia > Primates > Hominidae > Homo > Homo sapiens. The sequence continues at coordinate 62,580,462 of NC_000016.10, forward strand.
CACACACACACACACACACACCCCTCCTAAGGACATAATACCATATATTTTTACAAACAAAACATACTCATGTAACCAGAGTTTGGATCTTTTACATTACACATTGGAATACATTAGAATTGAATTATTTTTTAAAACTGATCATGTTTTGAGCATGTTTTTAGGCATTTTAGGACATGAAAACATGAATAGGGCTGTTCTCTGTCATAAAGAAGTTTGAAAATAAGATGAGAATAAGACCTAGATGTAAATAGATATAAAATTTTGTGTGAGTGTGTGTGTGTGTGTGTGGTATAGTTTTGAAATCTCATGTCAAACAGGGCACATGCTTTCGATTCAGAGTTCTTGATTCAGATTCATGCTTGAAGACCGGCAAGGCTTTATAAAATGTGTTACACAGAGCCTAGTATACCTTGAATACTAAATAAATGTTGATATCTTCAAATTGAAGACAATAGCAGCAGCATAAAAGATTCAGGTTTTGTGGCTGTTTTGCAACATTCCTGGCAGGAAGCACTTGTTGCGGAGATGATTACAAATTTCAGTGAACAGACCAAGTGAAACTAACATCAGAGAATAGAGCTTCAGAGGCAACATCAACAGAACAAAGATAAGAGCATTTGGTTAGCATCTTTTCATATTTTAAGGTAGAATTTTGAGCAAAAATATTTGAGAATGGTAATTAGTCAAGTTCCTACACTAATTCCTTCTTTCTCAGCTTTCCTTAAAGTTCCAAGGTATTTCCAGGGTTCCGAAACAGTTTTCAAAGCTATGCATTGTACATTTTATCTACTACGGTTACTAGGTGCTCCTCTTGTCCTTTGCTATCAGTTTTCACAAGCAGGAAAATAGTTTTCCTTGAATCTTTGCCTGTGGAGAAAGTGTTCAGTATTTTCCAAATCAAAGAGATCAATCCAGAGCAAGATAATTGCAGTATTGTATTGTCCTATGTTGTGCTGTGATGCAATATATCCTTTATGGTGGTACTTGGATAGTGAAATTGCCATAAGAGTTGAGTTAGTGCATTGCCAATAGTTACCTGACAGGTTGAAAAAAAAAAAACCCTTCAATTACATAGACACAGTGCACATATCTATCCCTCATTACTCCTCCACCAATGGCTGCCATTGATAATGAATGGCAACATCCTTTCTCCCTGAGCCCAAAGAGAGTTTCAGGACACTCATTAATGCACTGATCCATGCAACTTCTACCAATTGATGAACACTGGCACACCCATACACATCCAAACACACACAGTGTCTAGACAATTTTATCACCTGTATAGATTTGTATAAGCTTGATGTTTTAAACACAGTTTTCATTGTATGATTCAGGCATCACAAATGAACTCCTTCTCTGAAGTTCTAGCATGTTTTCAGTTGCAATTGAAAATCTGAGTATTTATTATGCAATAAACTTTTGCCAAATCTGAGTTATTCTTACACAAATGTACACAAATTTCCACCATAACATAGCAGATATTGTTAATTGTATACTCACTGACCATTATTATTTACATTCTTGAAAACAGAAACCTATCTGATTCAAGAATGTGACATACTAAGCTCCAGCAGAGATTCTGACTTCCTCAGTTTCTCTTGTAGATAAGAAAGAAGCCACAAGACACAGTCCTTCTCAGTGAGATGTAAGCAGAAATCAGTTGGGGTTTCTAGAAAGCCGTTTTCTTTTCCTAAAAATGGGTAACATGTGGCTGATATCACTACATCTCCTCAAAGTTTTTAGCTTTGAATATGAACTTCCAGAATCATGTTATTACTATGAAATACAAGAGGGAAGGCCAAGAAAACCAGACTTTCCAGCCCATAAATCAGTAAACCTCTCAATTGCTATCAGCAATTCAAAACTGAGGAGTAATTTGTAAGATTTGACCCTTCAGGAAAAAAAAAGTGGTATTCAAACCATATAACTAAAGCAGGCCAAAAAAAACAAAAAAACACCCCAGACCTCAAACTAGCAAAATAACAAACATATCAACACTTTGATTCTTTGTTCTTGAGAATCTATAATTAGCCAGGCCACAATGTTTCATGCAACATTTTATTTCATTCAGCAACTTTTGGAAAGAAATACTTTAGACATAATTTTACAAATGAGGAAAATGTGAATAAAAATCACTGCAAAGGTCACATAGGTGATAAATATCATTATTAAAGTTTGTATTCAGGCTTGGGTAATTTGGTTATCTGCATTTCTTTATTATTATTATTATTTGTTCATTCATTCATGTAATGCTCTATATCTCTGTTAAGCAAACATAAATGGAGTTTTAATTTAAAATCCAAACCATCAGACTTTTTGTTAAATCAGAAAATCACTTTTTGTTGGAGCCACTTTAAGAAAAATTGCCCATTGGGTGAATGTTCACTAGTTAGGTGATGGGTACACTAAAAGCCCAGACTTCACCACTACACATGTAAGAAGCCGCATTTGTACCCTCCAAATACGTATACATTTTTTTAAATAAAAAAATGTACGATTACTTTGTAAATACTTTTAACAGAATCATATAGCTTTATCCCTGTTTAATATGAACAATCACACACATTTTGTTTCCAATATATCACATTGGTCAGGCAAGTCCTAAGTATAAGCAGAGCAAAACAAAGCAAAAAGAAAAAAAAACAAAAACCACCAACTGAGCACTCTGAGAGCTGCTAGAGTGATAAAAGACACAACTCTGTGTCATGAGACCTTGAAAGTTATTCAAGAAGCTGCAGATTGAGAAGCAAGAGACACAGAACTCTATGTTCATGGCGTCTGTGAGGGGGCAGGCAGTGAGATTTGGTTAGGAGTTGCATTTAATTTGTGGACTAGATTGAGATTATGCAACACCAATGTGTAAAAGGAGATTTGAGAAATGCCTTCTCAGTTTGTAAAGGGAAATTAGGCATGTCTCTGTTTTATCATCACAGCCATCCACACTGCCATAGACAAGCTAAATACATCAACATTCCTGATACATAAAATCACCATCCCCACCATCTCTACTCCGGATTAAAATACCATATGGGATAAATTCAATCACTAATCTGCAAATATATGTATCTCACTTCTTGCTTTACAAATGTAGTATCTATGTGGCATAACATGTTTTTCTCTTTATGTTATTAGTTTTCTATTTGATGTTGGGTTTGAAATATAACAGAGGTCTTTGGCTCCTTCTGATTTCCATCAGGAGAGAACATTAACTGCAGTGTGCCCCATAGAGCAAAAGCACAGGGAGACAGAATATTCTGGATAAGCATCAAAGCTCAAACTGTCTGTGGCGGAACACATCTTCTGCTGACTTTATGCACCTAAATCTTAACATAAAGCAACATAATTCTAGTGGGAGCTGATTATCCTGTGATTGACACCTGAGGATCTGATGTAGTTTTACAGAAGTAAAGTAGTCTGCTCTAACGGGACAGTTTATGTAGGGTAGTGATTAGCCAACCCTATCATATTCCTTTTCTTTAGGAATTAGAATACAAATCATTCAGAGAGAGGCAGAACATCCACAGAAGCAGAGAGACACAAGGGGGAAGGAAATAAGCGAAAGCCATAAGGGAGTAAAACCCATAAATAAGCTAACACCATGAGACAGGAGTGATAGGGAAGACTCAAGTAACAATATTAATAATGTTAGTTAATAGACCAGGTGTGGTGGCTCACTCCTGCAATTCTAGAGCTTTGGGAGGCACAGTGTCACACACCTGTAATCCCAGCTACTCAGGAGTCTGAGGCAGGACTGCTTGATCCCAAGAGTTCAAGGCTGCGGTGAGCTATGACTGCACCATGCCCGGGGCAACAGAGTGAGTCCCTGTCTCAAAATAATAATGAAAATAATATATTAGTTAATAATTCAAAATAATAGACACATTTTTGGAAAATGTACAATGTGCCAGGCACTGTCATGAACACTTATTAAAATTACATCAGCTTGGCCGGGCGCAGTGGCTCACGCCTGTAATCCCAGCACTTTGGGAGGCCGAGGCACGTGGATCACGAGGTCAGGAGATCGAGACCATCCTGGCGAACACTGTGAAACCTCGTCTCTACTACAAATACAAAAAAATTAGCTGGGCGTGGTGGCGGGCGCCTGTAGTCCCAGCTACTCAGGAGGCTGAGGCAGGAGAATGGCGTGAACCCGGGGGACGGAGCTTACAGTGAGCCGAGATCGCGCCACTGTACTCCAGGCTGGGTGACAGAGCGAGACTCCGTCTCAAAAAAAAACACAACAACAACAACAACAACAAAAACACATAAGCTTTATCACATACTTATGAAGCTTGCATTGTTATCTCATTATTCCAAGTTTACCTGCAGTGCAGTAGAAATACAGGCAGGTTAAATATTCTCAAGTTTAAAGAATGAATACGTGGAAGAGCGGCTGTGAGCACAGACAGTCTTAATCCAGGCTGTCCACTTTTACTTATCCCACAGCATTGCCTGTCCTAGAGTGATTTGGGCAAGGTAAGCATGCTATGGCATCTTCAATGAGGTTCTCTGAGAGACCCTGAAGACAAACATCTTTCTGTGCTTCCCAACTTGGCCCCTGTATCCTTAAAATAAGCACTAGCTCCTTCTCTCTGGTCCTTGCAACACATTGATGAGATTTTAGACCAAATTCTGCTGCTTATGAGAAGTTTTAGTATTGGAAGATCATTTAAATGACCTGACCCTTGGTCTCCTTTCTGTAACCTAGGAATAACAACAGCACCAAAGTGTCCAAGGGGCATTGTGTACTGTGGATGCTCAGAAAATACTGTTGGACACAGCTTCTTTGTTGTTTAACATGCAGCTTGCCGTGGGTGCTTAATAAAGTTCTTTGTTTGATTGAACTCAAGAGAACTCAAAATGCTGAAGAAATAACAATAGTCACTAAGACGCCAGAGCTCTTTCTATAAAAACCTAAAAACTTACTCTCTCTCTCTCTCTCTTTTATTTTTTTTTTCCATTTCAGCTAGATCACACCAGGGATTACCTCAAATGCTATAAAATGAATCTTTCACTGAAATGGAAAATGAAAAGTGGTGTTATGTTCATCATTTTGCTAGCTTGAGGTTTTTTGATTTCTTTTGTTTTGGTTCTGCATTAGCTACATGGCATCAATATCACTTTTTTTTCCTGAAGGGACAGATCTTACAAATCACTCCTCAGTTTTGAACAAATATTGTAGTGAACAATGCAGGGAAGAATCTTACCTCAAGGGACTACTTATTGTCAACTAGTTTCCAGAGTAGCTAAAATAACAGTGTTTTGCTCAACTAATATCACCTTTAGCATCTTGTTTTTGAAAGTATAAATGTAAGCACGGTAGAACAACTTCTTTTTTTTTTTTTATTTCACAAACTTCCATGAGTATGTGCTCACCCACAGCCTCACATCAGTCTGGAGCATAAGCCCATAGTTCTGAATTATTCCTAAAGTTTTCATCTCTCTTAAGTTAATGTATTTTATCTTGCATGCAAATAAAAATAGTGACAGAAAACTGTGTGTGTGTGTGTATGGGTGTGAACATGTGTGCATGCATTAACACTAAAAGTAAATCTAAATGAGTTTGGCAAGGCTCTGACTTTTCATGAGAAGGTAACATTTTTGTATATTTGATAAGCAAACATAGAGTTTTTATTTAAAATCCAAATTAACTCTAGTCACTCTTTGTTAGAATAGGCAGATAGCCAGAAATGAGCAGTCAAGGAAGACCCCTGGGGAAAAAGGTCCTGGAGACACTGACCATCGATAGTCAGCACTGCCCACTGACAGTCAGCAAAAATGACAATGGCTACGTTGGCTACATCTGGCCTTGTGTTTGGGCTCCTCTAGCCAGAGATAAACATGGTAGGGAATTTCCCCACTGACAAGCAGGGAAAGCAGAAACTCACCTGAGCATAGCCTGCTGCTCATTATAATAGTAAAAAACACACCCTCAAGTGGAGATTTTAGATGCTAATGAGACATGGGACATGTATCCTAGCATGTACAGCCACAGAACATGTATGCCCACAGGGACCTCCTGAAACATGCTTGCATGTGACAACCCCTCATGCCCCCTCATGAATAAGTATATAAGATTGTCATGCAGTTCCCCAGCACTAGCTGCTGCTGGTTCATTCTTTTAAGCATCCCACTCTGCCTCATCTTTCAGAGTGTGCTGTCTCTTTAAATAAACACTGCTACTACCATTTTCCCAGCCAGACCAGCCTGGAGCTGTTTTTTCACTCCTCTGTAAGAATGTACTTTATCTTCCTAATAAGCTCGGCTACTTTACCCTTGCTATGTGTCTCTTGGCTGAATTCTTTCTTGCAACTTGGACAAAAACTGAGGTTTCCCACACTTGACAATAACATCTTGACTTCTGAGTGGTATAATGTATATCATTAATTATGATATACATTTAATGCTGTCCTAAGTTAACTTTCCTGCAAAAAAATTAGAAATTGATGCAAAAAATTAGATATCTTTGTTATTTTGGGGCCCTCTGAATTTGAACAGGCTGGTATAGCGATGGGGAAAGAGCTAAGTTTATTAACAAAATAAAGAGGATCAAATTGCTAATAAACTCTGTCTCAGTCAACTCTGGTTGCTGTAACAAAGTACCATAGAGTGAGTTGCTTATAAACAACAGAAATTTTATTTTCTCACAATTCAGGACTGGAAGTCTGAAATCAGGGTACCATCATGGTGGGTTCTGGAGAGAGCCCTCTTCCTGACTTGTAGATGGCCACCATCTCACTGCATGTGCACACAGACTTGCCTCAGTGTGTGTATATGGGGAGAGAGAGAGAGAAAGAAAGAGAGAGTGAGTGAGCAACAGTGCTCTCTGGTGTCTTTTCTTATAAGGGCACTAACCCCTGCATGAGACCCCCACCCTTATTACCTCATCTAAACTTAATTATACCTCAGAGCCCTCGTCTTCAAATATAGTTACATTAGGTGTCAGAATTTCAACATGTGAATTGGAAGGGGGGCACAATTTAGTCCATAGCAGATGGGGACCGAGGAAAAAAATAAGGAGAAGCCACTGGACTGTGGAGAAATTGGAAGGCTAACAAGATGATGGGGGCCTGAAATCTATTAAAAAAAAGAGAGGGATAAATCAAGATAATCCCCTTGGCCAAAATGAACAAAATCTACTAAAGGTTGGGATGCCCAATATCCAGTTTTGGGCTCTTTATGGTAGGATGTTAAAACACTACTCAACTCTTTTACATCAAACTCTTAAGATTACATCTCACTCTCCAGTGAGATCATGAGCATATTTGTAGGAAAAGAAGTTATGTTGTTGGCAATACCAAGTGGAATAGGATCTAACTATGGAGACAACCAAGCAAGCCATATGCTAATTTTGCAGAAACGGGAGCTCAGGAACAAAGTGGGTGTTACAATAGATCCCCTATCCCCCACTCTCTTTTAGCCTAACCCCTAAATCTGGATAGTCAGTAGGAACAGAATGGAGTTTATACTGTGTACCATAGTATTCATTTGACTTTCAAAGAGCATTGAACTTAGTTTACATTTGGGTTTAATGACCATTTGTTGAGCATCTTCTAGTTTCCTAGTATGGTGCATAAGACCGAGTGAATAACATTCAGAGAGATGTCATTTAAGCCTGTGACTATTTCAGAAAACTCAAGGGAAAGGAGTTTATTTTATAAAATTATTTTTATTTTTTTACCTTCCATTTCCTGATGATGAGAGAGTTTACTATAACTGCATGATAGTGAGTGCATTTGCTTCCTGGGGCCACCATAACTAAGTACCACATGCTGCCTGGCTTAAAACAGAGAAACCTATTGTCTCACAGTTCTGGAGGGTACAGGTCCAAAATCAAGGTGTTGCAGGGTAGGATCCTTTACAGGCCAGTGAGGGAAGAACCTGTTCCAGGACTCTCGTCATGGCTTGTGGATGACAGTCTTCTTTCTGTCTCTTCACATCATTTCCCTCTATATGTCTGTCTCTGTGTCTAAATTTTCACCTAATAAAAACAATAGTCCTTACGAATCTATGGCATTTTAACTTGATTAGCCTTGTAAATACCTTCTCTATTTGGAGAGAATAAGGTCATGTTCTGAGATTCTGGGAGTTAAGACTTTAATATAATCTTTGGGGGGATACATTTCAACTCCTAACACTAGGTAACAAATATGACTTCAGAAAATCACTATACATTATGAAAGCCTCTTAGAAAAATCCCACATTTATTTCACTGCATAAGGCTTCCATTAAAATAGCAAATGTAGAAAACAATGAAGATGTGGCCAGGTATTAATAGATAATAAGAAATTACATTCCCCAAATCACAAGGCAATCATTTTTTCTAAAATTCATTTTTTTAACACAACCCAGGTATTGCTTATAGAACTGACTTCCTAAAATTGTTTCAGTAGCATTAGAATGATTTTATTTTCTGCCAAATGGGGTACCTTTGAAGGAACAAGATCAATCTGAAATTTAAGTTATGGTGACTTTATTGAAATGTAGGGCCTGCTATTTTATAGTAATGCCGGCCATGCTGTGGCTTTCCAGATCAGATTTCTGGTTATGTTTTGGATTGTTGGAAATTTCCAATTTTACAAGTGATTTTTCCATTTAAGGATTTCATATTATTTAATTTGTGAGGTAGTGCTCTCTATTTTTTCTCCAAACTTAAAGTGTTGTAATCATTATAAAACTTTACACAAAAGGGCATAGAATAGTTTAGTCAAATTCTTTTTAGATAAAGTATGTGGCAAGACTATACTTCAATATCTTGTGTCTTTTAAAATAGATATTTTACTTTTTCTAAAAAAAAAAAGGTAGTATTTCATTGTCTTGAGTGCATATGAGCACTGATATTTAAAATGCTAAAGTTAAAAATTTTCATTATAATGAAACTGGTAACTGTCCAATGTCTTATTCTAAACCACAAAGTTCAAGCATTCTACCTTCAGGGGCAAGAAGTCAAATTTTCAACGTAAGATAAAGAGTTGAAAAAAATAAAAAAATTGAAATATCTTTCATTATAATTTTTAAAGTAGTTCTAGCTCATATTTTCTTATTTCTACATTGTCTTCATCAATGTAAGCCAGTGACATAAATTTTAATACATGATTTATGGTTACAAATTCATTTTTTTATTCTCATTTATTATGAGGTGTCACATTTTATCATGCCTGCATTTAATCATCTTCTGTCTGCATATTAATGGTTACAAATATGATACCTGTGTAGACCCAAGAAACCAGGAGCTGTCTTGGAGTGCAACGGTTGAGTGCCTTGAAAAGTGGGGTTGGAAAAAAAAATCTTTAGATGTCTTTGTACGTGCATATGTATTATAGAATAGCTCAGATAGTGAAAAAGAGGGTTTTCTACTGTGTAGAGTCAATTTGTGTAAATTGATTTTTCATAAGCCCCCATAATTTGTGCATCCATAGCTATATTGAACATATACTAAGTCTTGTGTCAAAATCAGGTGAGATCATAAACAAGACATTGCTAAGTTTTATTGTCAAGTTTAAACCAATGGGAAATAACTAATACCTCATAGTTGCATTCATTCATATTGGCATATTTCTTGAATCAATGGCTAAAGTACATAAATGAGAAGACATGATTTTAGAAAGTTAGATTTTATTTGAACTTAACCACGTGAGGTTTTGAGAGCTGAGTGGGGATTAAAGACAAGTGGGGAATCTGTTGCTGCTAGAGTGTGGGTGTTTGACAGAAAGCATGTGCTAAATATATGTTTGTTTAATGAATAAATATTCTATTTTCTTTTACTAACAAAGAATACCTAACAGCCACATCCGGTGCTGATGCAAATTGAGCTATAATACCATCCATGGCACTGGTATGGTGGGCTAGGTATGGAAGAAGGACTGGGACTTAATTCTACTAACAAACTTTAAGAAAATGAGAAACAAATTAGGGAGTGCACATTCAGTGCAAAGAACAGGATTAAATCAAGACCAACGAAAAGCCATAAATGCATGGAGAAAAAAGGAGCTGTGATAAGCTTGGGAGAAGAGGTAATTTGAGAAGTAGAGTATTAATATAATCAGGAAAAAAAAAAGTATGTGATCAGTGACAAAGCATGTGCTGCTGACCATGCAAATTGAGGTTAAGTTTGAGGACTTCAAAGAACCCATGAGGAAGGAGGGGAGTATATTAATTAAGAGAAACTGCATGCACGATTGGTACCATAGTAGACAAACAGTCTACTATACAAGAATCACATAAGTTGTCATTCTTGGCCTTCAGGATGGCCACATAGGAAGATTTCCTAATTCACAATGAAAATAATTTAAGACATGCTAAAGTATAGAAATGTAAAGAAAAGAGAAGGTAATTTGTCATAGCTATCTATGCAACGACATGCAAGGATTAAGAATAAAGGCATGTTAACCCCCTGATTTCAAAGTAGGATGTCAGTCTTGAAATAAACTGGACCAGCCTCAAAAATCTGTTACCCCAGTTTCTAAATGAGAAAAACATTCAGACAGAGGCTTTATGGTTAAGAAATAAGGTACCTGTTCAATCTTTCTCTGATTCTATATTGTTCCGTCTTTTTAGACAAAACTTTAAGGTTAAAATGTCAATTTACTAAAATAAGGCCTATACATTTGAAAAAGCCATTTTACTTAAAGAAATGAAGATTTGTGAAACAGAAGGTAAATTGTTCCAGAGACTCTTAAAAATTATTTCTCCCTTTTCAAACATGACGAAGTCCTCATGATTAATAAATAGTTTTGCAAGGAAATAAATTCTTCAGTTAGAAATTTCAATAGCCATTAACAGTATAACACTTGTTCCCTAAGCACTGTGGACTTGCCAAACCTGTAAATTATAGGCATTTTTCCACATCCTGCATTTAATACCTCTCCTGTTGTCTTCCATTCAAGTAGGTAAGTCATTAGGCAACTTTACAGGTGATTAATATTATACAGTTGTAAGTACAATCTGCCCTATTGTATAAACTTTAATGATGATAGGTTTAAAGTAAGTTACTTGTGATGATATTACTTAGGTCATTATTTTATTTTATTTTTTTTTCTTGAGACAGAGTCTCGCTCTGTCTCCAGGCTGGAGTGCAATGGAGTGATTTTGACTCACTGCAATCTCTGCCTCCCAGGTTCAGACGATTCTCCTGCCTCAGCCTCCCGAGTAGCTGGGACTACAGGCGTGTGCCACCACGCCCAGCTAATTTTTGCATTTTTAGTAGAGACAGGGTTTCACCATGTTGGTCAGGATGATCTCTATCTCTTGACTTCGTGATCTGCCCACCTTGGCCTCCCAAAGTGCTGGGATTACAGAGGTCATTATCCTAATGGCTAAAAGCTTTCCTGGCTGGGTACAGTGGCTCAACGTCTGTAATCTCAGCACTTTGGCAGGCCAAGGCGGGCGGATAACCTGGGGTTGGGAGTTTGAGACCAGACTGACCGACATGGAGAAACCCCATCTCTACTAAAAATACAAAATTAGCCAGGTGTGGTGGCGCATGCCTGTAATCCCAGCTACTCGGGAGGCTGAGGCAGGAGAATCACTTGAACCCAGGAGACAGAGTTTGCAGTGAGCCAAGATCACACCACTGCACTCCAGCCTGGACAATAGCAAGAGCAAAAGTCCATCTCAAAAAAAAAAAAAAAAAAAAGCTTTCTCAAAGTTTCACCTTTCTCTAAGGAGGAAACAGCATTAGACTTTACAAGATTTCTTAAAGAAAATTGTGGAAAATACTTACTGAAATGTTTTTACTTTGGCTGGCAGGCATATACGTATTTTAAAAAAATATAATTAGACTATGTGCCTTAAGCAGCTCAAGAATATTCACAGAAGAATGTAAGCACAGGTCTTTTAAAATAAGAAAACAAAACTAATAATACATAATTGAAATAGTCATCATTAAATACATAAGGTATTTAATTATATCAAATATTTCTTAAAGTCTATTTTTTCCTTACCTATTCACCCAACCTACATCTATCATTGTTCTCTTATGCTTACGTCTTTTCATGTAGTCAAAGGAGCACAAATATAGAGTGAGAAATCTTAGTGTCATATAACTCCCACTTTATTCCTGTATCCTCATGAACTTTTATTCAATTTTCTTAACTTACCAAAAATTCTCATTTTTTCTCATCTATCAATTGAGGATGAAAAAGTATCTGTAGGAAAACTGAATAAAATAATTATGAGATGCTTTGTAGGAGCTTATAATGTTGTATGTATATCTAATATATTATCATATGTTAATATATAATATAAAATATATATTACTTGTGCATCTATATATAAAAATCACAAAATTGAATATCAATTTTTTTTTGTTTTTCTTAAATTTTGGAAAAGCTGTCAATGACTGGTGCTTGTATTTTGTTATCTTACCTAATGGAAACTTTCAGAAAATTTCATTTAAAATACCTTATAAAATAGAAAATACTAGGATTAATCTCAGTGGTATGTTATGAAGATAAAATGATACTTTAAAGTGCTTAGAGCCAAGCTAGGCCCATCGAAAGCATTCAATAAATGCCAGCTATTTCGATAATTATCAGGATTGCCACTACTCATCAATTGATTATTAACTTTCGGGTTGCTTATTCCTACAGTTTGGTTCTCTTTAGCTTTTCCTTCCTTTGATCTCTCTCTGAGCTGGTGTCAACCCAATATTTCTCAATTTCAGTGGGAATCTTTTTACTTGCCTGGTCAAACACTGGTTAGGTCCCCCAAAGTCTTTCTTCTTTTGCCATTCAAGGCTCTCTACACTCTGGTTGCCATCTTCACCCTGCAGATTTAGCTGTCTGTGCTAAGCACACTCCAACAACACTCAGGGTATACCCCCAAGACAATACACACCCCCAGATATTCTCTGTGCCTTATACTTTAACATAAGAATTGGTCTCCTTTCCCCAAAACCTTTTAACTCCTTCTTTTCTGCTTGTTAAACACCTACAAGGCTTAGAAGGGACAATCTATTATTCAATACAATCTGATTTCTGTAAAAATACAAAGAATAGCTCCAAATCTAAAGGTCTCATGTAATAAAAGCTGTGCACATATGGCCCAGTGAGTCAGAATACAGCCAACATGAAAGACAAAAAGGCTGGAGGATCGCATGGAAGTTTTATTGTCTAGATGGTGTCACAAAACACTTCCAGCCACATTTCAAGGGCCACATGTTGTCAAATGATCCTATTTACTACAAGGGAGATTGGAAAAATGTAGTGTTCCTGGGTGCAGCGGATTAAAATGTAACAGGGTTAGCAAAAGCATTTTTGCCACCACATTACAAAGAGCTTACTAAAATCCTCAAATATTCTGTATCATTTATCTGAGTCAGAAGGAATTGCTTACCCCTTTAAGCTTCCGTGGCCTACCTTATGGCATTAATCTCTTTGAGATGCACGTTGTTGCTGGACTTGGGTCTAATTTCTCCTGGACAGTGAAGAGTTTAAGAATGGCTTCCCATCCATTGCACATCTGCTATTAGGCCTCCAACATAGAACTTCTGCGAAACTACTGTTAAAAGGAAGGAGCAGAAAGACAGATAAAGGAGGAAGATGTGGAAGATGAAGAAGAGGTAGATGAAGAAGAAAGGGAAGAGGCCGGGCGTGGTGGCTCACACCTGTAATCCCAGCACTTTGGGAGGCTGAGGCGGGCAGATCACAAGGTCAGGAGATCGAGACCATCCTGGCTAACACGGTGAAACCCCTTCTCTACTAAAAATACAAAAACTTAGCCAGTCTTGATGGCAGGCACCTGTAGTCCCAGCTACTCGGGAGGCTGTGGCAGGAGAATGGCGTGAACCTGGGAGGCGGAGCTTGCAGTGAGCCGAGATTGAGCCACTGCACTCCAGCCTGCGTGACACAGCGAGACTCCATCTCAAAAAAAGGAAGGGGAAGAGAGGAAGAAAGAAGAGAAGGAAATTCAGGAGGAGAAAACAGGAAAGAAATTTTTTTCAAATATTTAAAATATACCAGTGTTTGTATGTGTTCCTGTGTGTGTGTTTGGTGTATGTACCTAATTTAAAAATAAAGCTCAAAAAAACTTTAGTAATTTGTATGGGATATGATTAAATTACAGAGCTATTTTGTTCTAGTTTTGTTTTTAAAAAGCATTACTAATGTAAGAGTAAGGTATGTGAATTATAAAATTTATCTCATTACCGTAGTAACATTTTATACCTACATGCGAAATGATTATACTGCAGAATCCATTCATTGCATGTCTATAAAGAGAAGATTAAGCTAATCTTAAGGACTAGAATCAAGACAGCAACTGCAGGAAATTTCATGTTATACTGTAGAATGAGTCTGAAGTCTCTGGTGAGAGAGTTTTGCTATAATGTTTTGGGAAGCAGTTCTCCAATCAGAATCATTTTCAGAAGTGACCATATAGAACAATGTCATACAATTGAGTCTAATATTCGCTGAGCAGCAACTCTGTCTGACAATTCCTGCCATCCATGCCTTGGAGAAAATGAGCCACAGACAAATATATGCCTGACTGTTTTCAAGTCAAATGGGGGATTAATTTTTGAGATATTCAGTTTTCAAACAAGAACAAATCCATTGAAGTTCTGTGACATGTGAATAGAGAGAGAAAGAAAGAAGAGAAAGAAGAGCAAAGAGTAAGAAAAGAAAGCAAAAGAAAAACATAAGTAGTATATGGGGTATTTCCAAATCAGATTAGTGATTTTGTGACCTTGCCATGCGCCTTACGAGTTAAATAATCACTCTTCATACATTATGGTATTTAACAATTAGCTCATGGAACACAAAATGACATCCTCAATTTACAGATATAGAGACTCATGGATGTCCTCCATAACACCTATGTAGAAAAATCCCAGCACTTATATTATTTTTGGAGATCAGTTTTAGCTGGCATATAGAGGTTGCGCCCAAACTGTGTCCCGTAGTTTACTTTTTATTTTTTATTTTTTGAGGCAGAGTCTCACTCTGTTGCCCAGGCTGGAGTGCAGTGGCATAATCTCAGCTCCGTGCAACTCTGCCTCCCAGACTCAAGCGATTCTCGTGCCTCAGCTTCCTGAGTAGCTAGGATTACAGGCATGTGCCACCACCTTCAGGTAATATATTTCACTTTTTTGTGTAAAGGGCCAAATTCCACCTCATTTTAATGCTAAAAATCTGCCCCAAAGTAAACACGGGATGTATGTTACATGTGTGTTTACCGGTTGTGCATGTGTCCAACTCCCCTTCATAAATAAGTGCAGCTTTCCCCCCAAACCTGGTGAATATGTATGACTGTGTGGTGTGATATAGGCCCTACCTGTGAGGCATAAAACCCAACTTGTCCCTTTTCATCTTCAAAGAGGGTGCACCTTTGGTTCACACCACAGACTATCTCTTCCTGGTTTGCAAACTGATAACACCAATCAAGCTCTCCTTCCTGCTATTCAATCATCCTGGTGGTCTTTAGGATGACAATATGAATCTCCTTTTCAATTCTCAGTGGCAGGAGGGGCCTGAAGTCATTCTATCAGAATGTGGGCTGTGGACAGGCAGCCTTGATATTATCTCAGAAATACAGAAATTTAGGTCCTGCCCTCCAATTGTTAACTCCTAGTTGACATTTTTACAAGATTCTTTGTTGATACATAAGTGATGTGTAAAAAAAAAATCACTTAACAAATATAAGATCAATCAGTCAATCAATTGGCCTATTTAAATGAATGTACGGGGTCCTATTCTCTGTGCTGGGGATGTTGACTGACTGGAGATCCATTAGCTGTGATCTGAGTGACCACGTATGCCAAATATCCTTTTCTTCATGTGCTGCGTAAACTCTGATCCCTTGAAGTAGTTAAATCCAAGACTTGGATTACTATTGTTGACAAGACTCCCACATAAATCACAAAACAAAGGGAGAAAGAACAACTACAAGTCTCTAAACCTTTGCCGGCACAAAGAGAAGTGACCAAAGAAAAAAAGGCACTCAGCACATAACAGCTGTCTGAATTT
This sequence comes from Homo sapiens, assembly GCF_000001405.40. Lineage (NCBI taxonomy): Eukaryota > Metazoa > Chordata > Mammalia > Primates > Hominidae > Homo > Homo sapiens. The sequence goes on from NC_000016.10 coordinate 62,596,430, forward strand.
TCAAACTCCTTTACTAAGGAAAAAAGAAAATTAAAAATACGACTTTTTTATAAGGCTTTTAACAACGACAAAAGCTTGCAGGGGACTTTGAAAATACTGCTGTGTTTCATCAAGGCTTTTTGACTATTACAGAAGGTAAGACTTTTTTATTGTTATTATTTTGTGTGTATGTGTGTAAGCATGTACTTTAAAATCAAAAAAAAGCAAAAGAGAAGGTGGTAATTAGGTAATCTAACAATAAAACAACACTTAATTTTACTTGGCTCACCACGGGATTAAATATGTTTTGTGAGAAAGAGTGATTACATTATTTTAAAGGAATGGATTGTTGTGGCCAGAATTCTGTAGCCTCTGGCTTTCCCCTTAGTAAGGGGAACAGTGAGAGATTTTTTAAGGCTTCCTCTGACAATTCAATGCCTTGGATTCAGGATGTGATTTGTTTTCACAAGGCCAACTCTATCTCTATTTCTAGAAAGACATTTTGTCTTGAAAGAGATAATATCAGGTGTTGTATTCTCTCCTCCACAAAACTCTGCAATTATTCCATTGAATGAAGGGAATTCTAACTTAGTGATAGAAATCCACACACATACACACACACACACACACACACACACACACACCCTTAAAAACATATTCATAGTAGTTTTAAGCTTAAAACACATAGCTTAAAACACAATCCTGGATTTCTGCTCACTTTTCTGCAATCTAATTGAGGCCAGTAAATCAAATGTGGGTCAGCAAATCTAGACTAAGTTTGGCTAAGTTGGCCTCCAGGCTAAAGTTTGACAGTAGTTGTGCTTTATCTTTCTGGGACCATGGACAACATAGGGCGTATGCTTTTCATGAGATGAAAGAGGCATAGGAAGACAGGAGATGACAAAGGTCTGTCCTGCAATAGCCAGTGATCCATTTCCTAACATGGGGAAAATACTTACTCCTGAAACTTTTTGAAGGTGGACAAATTTGTTAATAGATGTGCTGTTATCACTGGGATGTCATCTCAATGTTTTCCTCTTTAAACTGAGGATGGCAGTAATGTCATTGTTTGGGGATTATTGGGATTCATAAGTGAAAATGCCTCTGAAAATATTTAACAAACTATTACATGTAACATGACTGGTCTGTTAGACCCATCTACCTTCTATTACTTTAATGACAAATTTTCAATAGAATGTAGTAAATATAAAACTTTCGTTTACACTGTGTAATCTTTCAGTTACTATTCCAGCACGTAGTTCACAAAATAAAATTTTGAATGTAAGCAACATATATTTGACTTGTGCCTGTATCATTTACTAGTTGTGACGTCCTGCACAATTACTAGTTGTAAGCCTTCTTACCAAGCTGAAAGATAAGGCTTCCCTCACAAATATTTTAAATAGCAAAAGGGACAATATTTCCTTTGTAAATCACTTAGCACATTAAAAGATCTAAAAAAAAAAGTTAGTTCTCTTTCCCTCCAATTTTAAACTTCTGTAACTGTAGAAATAAGTAATTTGTCACATGCATGTTTTGAGGCAATATCTGAAGTCCTCTGATCTCTGTATGTTAAGTGACAAACACTTTGAATGAGTGCATGCTGTAATCTGTTGCTACCAGAGCTGCAAAATGACAAAATTCAATTGAGTTTTGCAATGTGTTTTCTTTTCCAGATGTGTATTGGAAGCCTAATGAAGTCTGTTTGTCTTGCTTCCAAAACTCAGTATGTTGGCAGGAATGACTGACAGGATTTTGTTGAAGAAAAAAGATTGTCATATGGTGATCAGGAACAGGCACAAATCTATAAAACAAAATAACATCCTAATTCCATTAGATGCACTATTCTGTAGCATAATGTTTAATTGGTTTCAATTTAACAGAGATTCATGTTGAACTGCACTCTGGACAATCAGAGATGTTGATGGCCATATGCTGAATTCCTCAAGGTGCAGTGAGAGGGGCTTGTGTGCTTGTTAAGGACATGGCAGGCCATCAACAACATATGTATTGGATGGCTTCATAACACACATGCTTTCGGGGGGAATAATATGGGAACATCATAGTCTGAAAGGAATTTGTATCTTCTTTTGTACAAATGGAAAGATCATAGGTTTGTATTAAAATTTACTAAAACCTCAAATGGCTTATTCTTGAAATATGTATAGCGTTTCTGTAGCATTCCTTTAGAAATCTTTGAAAAATTGTCAATCTTGGCCGGGCCTGGTGGCTCACGCCTGTAATCCCAGCACTTTGGGAGGCCAAGGTGGGTGGATCACCTGAGGTCAGGAGTTCGAGACCTGGAACTCCCGTCTCTACTAAATCCCGTCTCTACTAAAAATACAAAATTAGCTGCGCACAGTGGCGCATGCCTGTAATCCCAGCTACTTGAGAGGCTGAGGCAGGAGAATTGCTTGAACCTGGGAGGCGGAGGTTGTGGTGAGCCAAGATCATGCCATTACACTCCAGCCTGGGCCACAAGAGCAAAACTCCGCTCCCCACCTCCCCCACCAAAGAAAGAAAAATTGTCAACCTTGTTTCTTACACATTTTGTCCATCTTTGGGATAGATGTAAAGTGTGATGAGTGGTAATTAACTGTTTATTCAGAAATCAGAAATCATCACAGCATCATCAATATTATTATGAATTTCAAGTCATTATTTACTTAATTGATGCCAGTTGGTCTGATGACCATTTCATTTGCATGATTGTATTTAATCCTCACAACATTCCTATGATATCTTTATACACATATTACAGATCAAGGCACTAATACTTAGAAAAATTAAGCAGTTTCCTCAAGGTTTCTGATGATAGAAATATCACCAGAAATAGATGACAAAAACCTGGCTTTTGACCCCAACTCTATAGTGTTAAGTCCTCGTCTGTCTTTCATGTGAATAAAGTGAAGGAAATACAGGTGTTGAGGAATACCACGGAGAATATGATGTAAGTTGAACAAGTCAATATCATCCTTTTGTATCTGGACTATGGCTCTTAAAGAGATGTGAAAAATATTTGCCTAGTGAGATAAATTTGTGTTTGTTTCTCATGTAAATTAAAGCCAAGACTTGCATGGTGCTCCATGGTCATGAGAGTTCATTAGAATCACAGCTTTCAACTCAGACATCTCTTGTTACCTCTTGGCCTTACAATCCAAAATAGCTTCCAGCACACCAGCCACCAGATTCCGGGTCCAGATAGCAGCGTAGAGAAAAAAATATAAAGAAATACCTATCATCTTATTTTTGAATATTCTTGATGGCTGTGTCTCACAAAACTTCTGGAGATCTCTTTCTTGGGAGCACATGGCCTCACCTACCTGCAAGAACCATTGGGAAACATACCCTGTTATATGGACAGCAATGCACCAAGTTGAAAAGGGTGACCATAATCAAAGCTGAAGGAGAGAATAGCTACTATATACCACCAGCCATAGATGCCACAGATTCTAAAGAAACTATTCCAAGAAATTAATTCAAAATTATTTTCATTTCAAAAGACAACTTGGAAAATATTAATGTCTGTATATTATTGATCATCTGGATGGCTAGTTATGAACAAAATATTTCCATAAAACTTTAGGACTCACATTTGCATTACAGTTTATACAACTGTCAGGAACAACACGGTTTTAATTGTTAATCATTAATGAAGAAAGAACTGTGGAAATTCTATAGTACATTAGTAACATGCATGTGCCAAATGAAGGTCACATTACATCCTTCAGAGAGAAATGATCACAGATTTGATTCCCACAGCATATGTGGCAGAATTGACAATTTCAATTGCAAAAGCTCCTGCGCTGTAGTAATCACATGGCAAGAAGAGACTCTACTTCCACAAAACAATATCATTTATCAAGAAAAATTCATGAATGTTAATGTGAATTTTATTAATGTAAAGTTTTTGTGTATTTAATTATAAATTTGTGTTTTATAGTTGCTTATTAGATATAAGCCTATGAAGTTTCTCACTAGTTCTATGTGATTGTGTAAACTTACAGTAAAGTTAATTTAAATCAGTATGGGTTCTGTATTTATTCCCTCTTTTTAAATGAGTTCATATCTACATTGGTCAAATTTCAGAAGCAGAGACCTGTAGAAAGTACCTGGTAAATGTAAAACATCATGTGTGATAGTTCAGTCGAATTGGCCTCCCAGTCTCCTCAAAAGCAGACCCATTCACTTCCCACTAGGCTATGTGAGTCCCAGCCTGAGATTAATTGACACTTTTCTCTCTAATTCCTTCTTCTCAGCATCCATCATTTTTTTCCCGTGTCTCCTGGGCACTTGTAAGGTTGGTCAGGAAAGATTTAATAACAGTACTTGTGATTGCTCATTTTGAGCCCTTGTAAAATGCAGGATCTGTGGGAGCCCATGTGGGCCTTTCATAAGAGTGACTGATTGACTGACTCAAGAATCATCAGTGAAAGTGCTGAGTGAGAGTGTGGATGCTGAGATGAGCTGGGCAGACCTTACTTCAATGAAGGATTTGCTGCTTAGCAGCCGGTTGTATGCTCAGCTCCATCCAGGTCAGCCCCCACTCCTGGAAGCTGATCCACTGAGCTTACACCCTTCCTGGGCTGCCCATATCCAGTGACTGAGTGAATCAGGGCATAAAAGTCAAGCAATTTTAGTTTCTTGCATTACAACACTGGGTTGGTTTAGGTTTTGTCAGAGTTGCATTACAGTTTGACTTCTTTTGCTGTCCAATCCTGCTTTCTTCCCCTTCCTTTCACATGTAATAATCCCTAATAAACATTTCGCTTGCACAGTGCATCTGAACACCTTCTTCTGAGGAGCCTGACCTGTCACCCTGAGTAACTACTGGGTTGCAGGTGTTAGCTAGGTTGTTGGTTTTCTTCCCTACTCTTGGTTTGTTTTATTCTGTATAGTTAGTCATTTACACTAAATATTGGCATCATATTCCTGTTTTGTATCTAAGGATAGTGAAAATCAGAGAAAATCACTTACTAAGTCAAAGTCACACAATTGGTAAGTTGTAAAGCCAGAATACAGTTAAGAGTTCAAATCTAGCAGCCTTAGATTCATTTATTTATTCTTTTTTTCCTAAAAAACTCAACGATGACTTCATAAATGTTTAATTTATGTCAGATATTGTGCTAGCCCCTGAGTAGATGAACAGGAAAAATGTCATGAGGGCAGAAGCAGAACCTCTCCCTGCCCTTGTGAAATTCATGGTCTGGAGGAGAAATCAAACATTTCCCAATTCACCGCATTTCAGGAATTACATGTTGCATCCCAGAAGAGCCATATGTAGTCAGTGTAATCTATAGAGGGAGCTTTGAACAATGGCAGGAGATTATAGAATACTTTTAGTGAAAAAAGAAACATTTCATCAGATATCAAAAGGCAAGTAAGATTCGTTTAGGTAAAAAAACAAGAAAAGAATGTTTAAGACAGAAAATAGGATGTATAAAGCTCCTGTAACAGAAGGTATCACGGTTAAAAAAAGAGAATCCATGAAACTGGGTCACATAGAAGAGAGAACTAAAGTTAAATTAGAAAGATGTATTTGTGGGGCAAATTCCTACAAATATTCCTCAAGGTAAGGGGCATTTATATTTACTGTTTTTAAGAGTGATGAGAAGATATCAAATAATTATAAACAGATTTACATTGTGTGGTCATCAATTTGTTGTTATTTTTGGTGCAAAGAAAAGCCTCATCGGAGAGGGCTTGAATGAATGTGAGAGGTCTTCTAGAAAGTCCAAGAGATGTCAGGAACTTAAAATGGATAGAGAAGATAGACAGCAAAAGGGGATAACATGGAGAAAGTTGGGTACTTCATGTCATACATGAAACATAACACATGAAAGTTATCAATATGCAACTGAACGATTTTAGTAATGCAAACAAAAACCCTTGATGTTTCAGCTGAATAGAGTGAAAACAATGCAAATGCTAGAAAAAAGAAGAAATCTAAGCTATTAAGCCCTATATTCACAAACCTTATACAGACAGAAAGCAGTGAATTCAGACAAATTAGCAAGCCTGGGAAGTGGTAATACCTATACATATCCCTTCTGGTCCAGAATAAAACATGCTCATAACTTCTTATAGCATGTGAGTATTTTAATACCTTAAAGATTCTATTCTACTCTACTCTGCTCTACACTACACTACTCTACGCTATGCTACTCTACTCTACTCTACTCTACTCTACTCTACTCTACTCTACTCTACTCTACTCTACTCTACTCTATTCTATTCAGACAAGGCCTTGCTCTATTGCCCAGGCTGGAGTACCTTGGCACTATCATAGCTCACTGCAGCCTTGAACTCCTGGGCTTAAGCAATCCTCCCTCCCCAGCCTTCTAAGTAGGTTGGATTACAGTTACATGCCACCATCCCCAGCTAACTTTTTAAATTTTTTGTAGAAACGCTGTCTCACTATGTTGCCCAGGCTGGTCTCAAACTCTTGGCCTCAAATGATGCTCCAGTTTTGGTCTCCCAGCGAGTAGGATCATAAGTGTGAGCCACCATGTGCAGCAGATTCCTTCTGTTTTAAAGATAATGCTGCCTATCTTCTAATGGATCTTCTAATTTATAATTATGAAGTCTGTTCTTGACATTTTTGCCTGTCTTTGGCCTTAATTTAGTAGAAGCTTGGATACAAAATACTGGGTAGATAACTTTGCCTTGCAGCTAAATTATATTAGCAGTCCCACACAGATCAATCCTTAACTTTAATTGTAGAACAGTCTGCTTGTGAAGCTCCTCTACGGATATTAACAGTTTTAATTTCCTGTGCATTGGTTATGAATTTATCCATCGGTCTTATCAAAGCATTTGAATTTTCAAGTATTCTAAAGATTGTTTATTTTTAAAAATTAGCTTTTATTTCTTTAGGACACATAACAAGCAATCTAAAAGCCTTTCATTTTCAAAGAAGTACTCACATTTAAGCTAACATGAGGAGTGTTGAGAGCTACAGGATAGGGCTCAAAGGAGATAAATCAATATTTTACCCAATGAATATGGCACTTCACTTTCAAGAGGAAAACTTGATCATTTTTCTCTTCCTCCTTTTCTCTTTCTATTCTGTTCCATCCTCCAGACACAGCCAGATTTATCTTACAAATCAATCTACTCATGGCTGGCTTATGCTTGAAACACTAGGAGGGTTGTCTACTTCCTGCAGAATGAAGTGCAAACATCTTAACTTGGCATTTGAGACTCTTCAAAATTTGATTCCAAGCTATGCTTTCAGCTTTAACTTTTGCCATACCTACCAGGAGGCCACTCTGCTTTTCTTCCAGAATTGCTCATTTGTTCCCCAGCAAAATATGCTAACATGTACCTCGCTGGTTTTCATAGGCTTTTTCTCCATCTGAAATTCCCTCCATTTTTTTCTTGAAATTACTAGTTTAAAATTTTAAGACCTGTTCTAAATGTCATCTCCTCTGAAGAGCTTCTTGGTTATTCTGTAGTTACTCCTTTTTTTCTTTCTTATTTCACTTTGTCAATATCTCTATTACCTCCTTCATCATAGTTTTTCGAGATGACCTGTTTACTTATTTGTCTTCCTGAAGCATTTTTGGTGGGTTATAGAATTCAAGGAAGAGACAACTGATATACACCAAGGTTTTGTTGTTGTTGCCTGTTTGCTTGTTTGTTTACCTTGTTACAAGGATACAGAATCTTAAACACAAGCAAAGTGGCTGCTCAGAGTTGGGCATACATAGAATTGTGGCTTCTCCTCTCCCTCATCTGACTCAAGGTATCACAAACACCTGTATAGGGAGAGGCTTAACATACAGGAAAACTTGTATGAACCTACACAAACATTCTTAACATGTGATGCTTCAAATTAAGACAATGTGTAAATATACTGGGCTTTTCTGGCACTTGAACTAAATGTAGTGCCACATGGAAGAAAGTAGAGAGAGGGCTGGAAGGAAGTGTATGACAAGAATGGAGATTCTTAGCAATGACCTTAGACGTAAAAGATCTGGTTTTGAATGCCACATTAGCTTTTGATTTCTGGGGTTCATTTCTAAACTTTCTGACTTTGCAAAGTATGAATTAAAATAAGTACTTCATTGAGTAGCATAGGACCTTGTACATAAAAGGTACCACAAAAAGGCTTATTGTAAAAGAAATATTATTATGTTTGGGAGTACAAAGGAGCAGCATATTAATCCTTATAACCATTTCTCATTTCTTGTGAACAAGAATTGAAATTAAGGGGATATATCTAGCCTAGTTCTGCCTGGACATGATGGCTCACAGCTGTAATCTCAGCACTTTGGGAGGCCGAGGTGTGAAGACTGCTTGAGAATCAGGAATTCAAGACCAGACTGGGTAACATAGTAAGACCCTATCTCTACAATCTTTTTTTTTTTTTTCAATTAGCCAGGAGTAATTACACATGCTTGCAGTCCCAGATACTCAGGAGGCAGAGGTGGGAGGATCACTTGAGCCCAGGGTTCAAGGCTGCAATAAATTAACCACTGTACTCCAGCCTGAGCAACAGAGTAAGACTCTGTCTCAAAACAAAACACACACACAAAAGAGACATATCTAGCCTAATTTTAACAGTTTTTTTTCCCAAAAGCTTTGCAAAAATAACTTAATATTATTTCTAGACTGGCTAATGGTACCAGGGAGAAATCAATGAAGGCCACTGTGTGGCTAGATTTTCAAAAGGGTTTGGTTTGTTTACAACAAAGCCCCTTACAGCCCTGAACTAGCCCCTTACATGCTGAGGGGTTCCTTCTTTTTAAGGGAAGTCATAGAATAGCCCAGAGAGGATAAAATTGTAGCGGATTTTGCATCATTTTTATCTGAGAACCCTGACACTATTCAACTGATAAGTTGGCAATATCATCTAATTGAACTTTGAATTATTTTTTGAGAGGAAAGGGAAAGAAGGGCTTAGGGTATATAGCTTATTGTTAGTATTTCCATGAACAAACTGTTATTATTATTTTTAGTGACAGAATGCTTTTTATGGGAAATCTTACATAGGAAACTAATTTATATAACAGAAAATGGAAACTTCAAATAAGCGACACAAGAGCCTCTCTCTTTCAACCTCCTTTGAATCCTCCCATCCACCTCCTCTTGAATCCCACACATAGAGGACAGCTGAAGCTCATTCTCCAACATATAAGCTCATTCTCCAATGTATTAAGCAGTACAGAAGACAATTTGGAAACTTTCAGTGTGTTGGAAGAAGTATGGATTTTAGAGAGATTCAGATTCTAATCTTGCCATAATCACAAATAAATTATGTTTACTTTACATGAGTTATTTTTTCTCTATGCTCCAGTTTTCTTTTCTACAGAATATGAATAGTGAGAGAATTTTTAAGAAATTGTTATAACTAAATAATAATAATCATCAAAAACCTGTATTGAGTGCTTTCTACATTCAGTACTATTTTATGTATATTCCATGTATCGTTTAATTCTCAGAAAAATTCTATGAGGTGGATACTTTATTATCTCTTGCTCCTTTTCTATCTGCTTTACTGGGTTTTCCTGTTCTTGCCATTCTTTAAGAAACAACCTACAGCTAGTGTTTGGTAAAGTGAGAATTGAAACCAAAGCAGTTCAAGCCATATCCAGATTTCTCACTATATAATCTGTTAGTCTCTATGCCTATACAAAGCTCAGCATCTGAGACATTCTCAACAACTAAAAATTCTCTATCAGTTTTATGCCAATTTAAAAAATGGCAAATAGTGATAATTGTTATATTATTGTTATTATTGACATAACACCAAAAAGACATATAACTGGCCAGGTGCAGTGGCTCATGCCTGTAATCCCAGCACTTTGGGAGGCTGAGGTGAGCAGATCACCAGGTCAGGAGATCGAGACCATCCTGGCCAACATGGTGAAATCCCATCTCTACTAAAAACACAAAAATTAGCTGGGCATGGTGGTGCGTGCCTGTAGTCCCAGCTACTCGGGAGGCTGAGGCAGAAGAAACACTTGAACCGGGGACCCCGAGGTTGTAGTGACCAGAAATTGTGCCACTGCATTCCAGCCTAGTGACAGAGACTCTGTCTCAGAAAACCAAAACAAAAAACAAACAAAAAAGACACATAGTTAAATAACCTCATTTAATGTCATATTTCTAAAACAAAAGACCTCTGAATATTGACAAAATTATCTCTGATGTTGAAATTATGGTAACTACACTAAAGTTCTACATTTTACTCATTTTTGTGAATTTCTCTGTCTAGAATCAACGGTTTTTAGAGAGATAAAGTCCACAAACAGGCAATCCACAGTGATACTATGTTGTAAAACTCAGTAATTGTCCATCTTCAGCGTATTTAACCTGTTTATAATCTCTGATTAGTCAACTATTAATTTCTGCCCTTTGTATACTTCATGTTTCTTATTTTTTTTCTTATATCCCTACTTTCTCCATCTCTGGCTGTTTCAAGATTATCTTCTCACATTCTTTAAACATTAGCCTTTCACAGAGTTTGTGTAGTCTGTCCTCTCCATCCTACTCTCTAAAACTCCTACTCACACTGGTGTCATCAAATAGAATCTATATGCCTACTGATGATTGCAGCCCAGATCTCCCCTCTGAGATCTAAACTCATCGAGACAGAATTGACTAGTTCTGTCTTCAACCTGGGGCTTTGTACACATTATGCAGTGTTCATGGTGGCCAACCTAAACGTGTCACCAAGCTCAGTGTGTAGGGCTGAAGATATTTAAAGAAGATTTATTGGAAGACTGCATATAGTGAGGCACCTCTAGTTTGGGTTAAGCTGGAAACCCTTTCTTCATGCTTCTTTTTCTCTCTTTTCCTCTCCTCTTCCCTCTCTTCTGCTTCCCTCCCCTCCTCCTCTCTTCTCCTGTCTTCTTTCTTATTTTTTCTTTTCTAACTCCAACGACTTCAATGGATATTCAGTTTCTTAAATTAATTCAAACAAGCCAGAAATTAGTACTCTGTAGAACACTCATGATTTCTCTGTGTCTAATTGTCTAATTCCTCTTCTTCCTTTTGAGGATAGGGTAGGCAGCCACTCCTAAACCACTTCTTCAGGCCGAGAAATCCAACACAGTCACAAATCCCCACTCTCTTTGCTGACTTATCAGGGTTCACCCCATGCCCCTCCTAACCTCACTCCAAGCTTTTAGGCAGCCGGATTTGTCTTTTTAGAAAGGACTGCTTCTAATTAAAATTCAGGCTGAGTTACAAGAAACCTTTTCTTTTCCCATTTTGAGTACTTGGGCATTTGAAGACAATCTTCAAAGTTATCTAGTTTTATGTCCCTTCACAGACAAAATCTGTTTTGACATCTTTTTCCCTCCAGAGCAAGGGATCTTCAAGTCCCATTTCCCCACCCCACCCCCACCTACCCCTGAACCCATTCATTTTATTGCCGTGACTTCAAGCTGAGATCAGAACTGGATGCAATGTTTGTTTTCATTTTTATAACCCAACTGAAGCATTCAACATAAAAACATTTTAAAAGAGCACATCACAAACTTTGCCCTAAGTTGTTCCTGGGGGGATAGATTTCACCTGATAGCCCAGGCACATCCCTATACTTAGGAGCTTGTATCATTCATTGCTGTCATCAAAAAGAGTGCTTCCTTTCAATTTGCCAAATGACAGGCTTACAGGGCAATGCTTCAAAGCAGCTCATCGTTGCCACTGATATTACAGATGAGAGTAAATGGCAGAGATAGGTACAGTTGTACAAGACAGGATTACAAATCTGTCACAAAAGCTTTGGGGGTAAATTGGGGATGAAGGAAGCCCATGTGCATGAGAGTCTCAAATGTCCAGGAACACCAGCCCATAGTCACCAGTAAGTGGGAAACGTACAAATTATCAACCATGATTTGAATTGTGTTAATTGCAGGTGTATTTCCTGCAAAAGACATAATGTTTAATTACATTCAAATGGCTACTTAATAATGCCAGATGGCTTTCTGGTAATTTTTGTAGCCCTCTGTCCACACTTACACCTTTGAAAAGACATCACGAGGTAAAACTACAATATGCTTCTTTCCATGAATTTGTTCAGTGATTTTGGTATTACAGTTACCACTTAATGTTATACAGTTAATGAAAAAGTTAAGCCCTGGCTGCAATGCCACATTTTCCTTTGTTCTTAATGAACACTGACATTTGTGCTCAATTAACAGTGACAAATATAATCATATGAGCCTCTGCTCTGATTCCAACCCAGTATGGCTGGACCATAAGGAGACCTCCCTGTGTGATCGGATCAAAGCCCCTATGCAGTGTGTCTTTTCAGAGCAGGGTAGAGATAAATTAATCACACCTATCTAATTTTAAGTAACATAGTCAAAGAACCATTGGGAAAAAGTCACGGCAGGAGCAACAGAAAGTCAGCCTCTAAAAAGGTTCATGTCACTAAAGAGACAAGACGTCATGCCTGACAATATATATTTGCAGTTTTCTGCTTTGTAATTTTTCTCATGGCTATTTAAAATTAAATTAGCTCTTTTCTGTTTTAATAGCAGATATAAAAAGGACACTTTGGTCATGATGCATAGCACGTTAAATACAATTATGTCAATATATCTTTCTCTGCCTCTTTATGCAGTTTTTTTTTTTTTTCCTAGCCTCCTTCAGAGAGCTCTTTGGGAGCAACTTTAGCTAATAATTAATAATGGGAGGATTCTCCTGAGGAAATCATTTGGAATCATTGTGCTTGTCTAATAAATCATCATTTCAGAATTCTAATCAGCAAAATTTGGATTCCAAACGTTAGGTAATTACAGTGGCCCATTGCATCTGGATTGATTAATATGTAAATGTAACTAATACTACCTTCAAAAGTCAATATAAAGCAATGTGTATACATTCATGTAGAACAGGATTCACAGGATTGGAAACTTTGGGGGAAAGCCTGATATAGAGATAATAAAATAATATCTTTCACCCTCTGCATAAATTGGTAATCACCTGCCTTTGTTTCTTAAATTTAATTGCACTTGATTCATTGGTCTCTTCCATAGCTGCTTCAAGCAATAAGGCTCTTTCAACAATGTCACACAACTTCCACGCAAATCATACCAGTGTTTATCTGCTTGACGTATGGTAGAGCACAATGCTATAGTCATCCAAGGAACTCTAACTGGTGTATAAATGCTTAGTAAAGGGAACTCTAGCAATCCTTACAGACAGTCAGAAGCAGAACAAACAGAACACAGATCACAGAATGATGACCAGCTGCAAAGAACTCAGAGATTTAATAAATGGTCTAACAAAGTCAAGGACAGGATAAATGAAGGGGACAAGTCAACTCAATCGAGGTCTGATTTTAGACTCTTTTCTCTCTTATTTTAGTTAAGGAACCACATCTTTTCCAGTCTGTTATTCTTTGTGGATTCCTATGGAATACAAATTGCAAACTTTAAAACTTCATTTCTAAGCATCATTTTGTGGAATTTTCGAAGCAGATTATTTTACAGCTCTTCTAGGGGTGAGTAAGGTAAGCAAGTACAGTAGTTGTCAAATCTAATTGCATGTGGGAAACACTGAGTTTATTGTGATTATTCGTTTTAATCAATATTCAAGCTCCACCCACAGAGATTTTGATTTAATTAGTGGATGAAGCACTAGTATTTGTGTTTCAAAAAGAAAACCTCCACAGTTAATGCTACTTTGCAGCCAGGTAGTGAACCACTTTTAAGCGAAGGGCCCAATTCCTTCTGTTTCCCAGATATGCTCAAAGGTGTAGGACCAAGGCTAGGCCAAAAGGGAACACATTCTCCACCTCTGAAACGAGGTCCAGTACTAAAATGACCATCCATCTATCCATGTATTTATTTGGCAAATATTAATTGAATACACACTGTGTGCCACAAACTGTTCAAGGCACCTCACATATAGCAGTGAATAAATTAGACAAGGCCCCTGTCTCCAGAGAGCTTGCCATCTGGTGGGAAAGACATAAAGTAAACTAGTCAACAAACAAAGGAATCAATCAGCCAAATGACCTTCAGAAAATAGAAAGTGCTAAGAACGGAATACCACAGGGTAATGAACTGAATACGTGTCCAGGATGTGAGGCTGCTTCAGTGCAGAGAGCCAGGAAGGCATCTTCATAAAAGTGACATTTGAATTGCAGCTTAAATGATGAGTGGACGCCTATCACGCAGAGGTCTGAGAGAAATCTTCCAGACTGGAGGCACAACTACAAGCGCCCTGGGATAAGATCTGGCTTAGCACATTAGAGAGACAGTTTCCAAGATCAGTGAGGCTTCCGTGGCAAAGGGAAACATGGTCGCAGTGGGACCTAGAAAAAGCCAGAGGTCCCATCTGGCAAAGCCTTTTCAGATAAGAGAGGAGTTTGAATTGTGTTCTGATTTGTAATGGGTAATGAATTGGGGTTGATGAACTAGAGGAGGTCACCGGCACAACTTTAAATACAGGTAGGAGAAAGAGATCATAAAGGTTGGATTCACTTGTTTCTGTTAGTAATAACAAATAAAGGAATAGTTGTAATCTGAAAAGTTAAGTCAGAGCTTCAGATTTTTTTTTCCAGCATAATCAGAAAGTCACTTTTTTTCTATCCTGTCTGTTCCCTCTAATTATTTACTGATAGGCAAGAACATATGAGGGAACACCAAAACTCGGATCTAAGAAATCAGTTTCATCCTCTGAGTCTTTACTCATTACTACTTTTGGAAAAGAAAAAAAAAAGGACTACCTTCCTATCCCCACCATATATGCTTTGTTATATTTTCTTTCCTTATTTTAAAAGGATTAACATGAGATTTTTTTTTTAATTTTATTATTATTATACTTTAAGTTTTAGGGTACATGTGCACAACGTGCAGGTTTGTTACATATGTATACATGTGCCATGTTGGTGTGCTGCACCCATTAACTCATCATTTAGCATTAGCTATATCTCCTAATGCTATCCCTCCCCGCTCCCCCAACCCCACAACAGTCCCCGGTGTGTGATGTTCCCCTTCCTGTGTCCATGTGTTCTCATTGTTCAATTCCCACCTATGAGTGAGAACATGCGGTGTTTCATTTTTTGTCCTTGCGATAGTTTGCTGAGAATGATGGTTTCCAGTTTCATCCATGTCCCTACAGAGGACATGAACTCATCCTTTTTTATGGCTGCATAGTATTCCATGGTGTATATGTGCCACATTTTCTTAATCCAGTCTATCGTTGTTGGACATTTAGGTTGGTTCCAAGTCTTTGCTATTGTGAATAGTGCCGCTATAAACATATGTGTGCATGTGTCTTTATAGCAGTATGATTTCTAATCCTTTGGGTATATACCCAGTAATGAGATGGCTGGGTCAAATGGTATTTCTAGTTCTAGATCCCTGAGGAATCGCCACACTGACTTCCACAACGGTTGAAGTAGTTTACAGTCCCGCCAATAGTGTAAAAGTGTTCCTATTTCTCCACATCCTCTCCAGCACCTGTTGTTTCCTGACTTTTTAATGATTGCCATTCTAACTGGTGTGAGATGATATCTCACTGTGGTTTTGATTTGCATTTCTCTGATGGCCAGTGATGATGAGCATTTTTTCATGTGTTTTTTGGCTGCATAAATGTCTTCTTTTGAGAAGTGTCTGTTCATATCCTTCGCCCACTTTTTGATGGGGTTGTTTTTTTCTTGTAAATTTGTTTGAGTTCATTGTAGATGCTGGATATTAGGCCTTTGTCAGATGAGTAGGTTGCAAAAATTTTCTCCCTCAGAAATAATGCCGCATATCTACAACTATCTGATCTTTGACAAACCTGACGAAAACAAGCAATGGGGAAAGGATTCCCTATTTAATAAATGGTGCTGGGAAAACTGGCTAGCCATATGTAGAAAGCTGAAACTGGGTCCCTCCTTACACCTTATACAAAAATTAATTCAAGATGGATTAAAGACTTAAATGTTAGACCTAAAACCATAAAAACCCTAGAAGAAAACCTAGGCAATACCATTCAAGGCATAGGCATGGGCAAGGACTTCATGTCTAAAACACCAAAAGCAATGGCAACAAAAGCCAAAATTGACAAATGGGATCTAATTAAACTAAAGAGCTTCTGCACAGCAAAAGAAACTACCATCAGAGTGAACAGGCAACCTACAGAATGGGAGAAAATGAGATATTTTTATATTCCTAAAAGTAGGCATAAGATGACTAGGAAATTATGTTATGAGCCTATTTCATACTGACAGCCCAGAGAGGTCAGTTTTTCTATGTCCACCGCACAGAAGCTTTGGCAACTACTACTAAGAATGGATGCAGCATTGGAGCCCAGAAGCCAGATTTCTTTTTATTCTAAAATCAATGCTATTAACTAATATATCACACTTTCACCTGCCAATTCCTCTGTACTATTTGATGACATAAAAGTGCCTTCAGGAGAGAGTAGACAGACCAGTCCACCTCACAGACTTCCACTTCCCTCCTTTCCCATGACCACAAGAATCATCGGAGTCAAAGAATCACAGAGCAAATTTGTAATCTATCTAAAAGGGATAGTAAAGCTTACCATCTTCCATGCTGAAAGCAAGGAAACTGAGTTGTATGGCTGCTGTTTCAAGGTAAACAGGTCTATGCAAACCTAATTCCCAAAGTTTGAGGAGGCTGAGAGGCTAAAGAAAGAGGCTGAGAAATCCAGTTTTTTTTTTTTAGAAAAAAACATTTAATAGAGATTTTTGAAGAAAAGCTATGTCTGTGTCTCAGGCAGTGATGAGACAAGATGGTGGACCCCTGAAACATTTAACCCCCAGACCCAGGGCTTCTTTATGCTACAGGGAAAGGGTGGTTGAAAAGGGATGTGTAGGACGACTGAAGCACAGCAACATCAAGGTTATTTGACCTAAGGGCAGGATTTATGGTAAATACCTGTGGTTACAGAAGGAACAATAGATAAACTGGAAATTTTAGAGGCCTTCCCATAACTGGGGCTAATCAGAAGCCAACATGGCAGATTAGCATCCAAGATGGGGTTGCTTTGGCCTCCATACTTGCTGAAGGCAGAATCGAATCTAGACAACAGGTTAGTCTTAATCTAGAGCTCTTTTCAACCCGCTGAGCTGCCCTTGGTTCTTCTGAAAATGATATGTGCTTCAACTATGACTTACCACAAGCCAAAGATTGTCAGAGCTATGATAGAGACCTTGAAATCTGTTTGTTTCCCAGTGCCAGTTTACAATTATTGTCACCCATAGGTCCACATATGCTCAGCAAAATGGGAATCTTCATTACCTGCATGATACAAGACTCTGGAGTTTTCCAGCACTCTAGAGTATTCCTTTATTTTTTTCTTTTCTTTTTTTTTTTTTTTTTTTGAGACCAAGTTTCACTCTTGTTGCCCAAGCTGGAGTGCAATGGTGCGGTCTTGGCTCACTGCAGCCTTCACCTTCCGGGTTCAAGCGATTCTCCTGCCTCAGCCCCCCGAGTAGCTGGGATTATAGGCGCCCCCACCACACCTGGCTAATTTTTTTTATATTTAGTAGAAACGGGGTTTCACCATGTTGACCAGGCTGGTCTTGAACTTCTGGCCTCAGGTGATCCACCCGCCTTGGCTTCCCAAAGTGCTGGGATTACAGGCATAAGCCACTGAGCCCAGCCTAGAGTATTCCATTTTTAACCATTAAAGAGTTGGGGGGGGACTATGATATCTAGTATTTCTTCAGTCCACAATATCTATACCAGTTTTTTCAGAGCCATGCCTTCCTCATGCTATTATCCTCACCTGGAATGTCCTTGTCATTTTTCTTTGAGAGAGGACAACCAAGCAAGAACGTTGCTCAGGCCTCTGTCATCACTTAATGTCACATTTTGCATGGTCTTTGACAAAATCAACTAGTAATTGCCATAACCTGGTCCCCCCTTTTTCTGCCTGCATGAAATACTGTCATTCATGTATTTATCAAATCATTTGTTCAAAGCCTTTTGTATATCAAGTACAAGGTTATAAATGTAGGACACTAACAGTCATTAAGACATAATTCCTGACATCAAGAAGACAAAATCCATTGGAAAGGTTAATAGATTAACAGAAAATTACAGAGAACATGATACATTCTCTGGAAACCTCTGAGGACATGTTTGCACTTAGTTGAAGTCCATAAATATTTAAATCTATATATCATGTCAGAAGCAATTTATATTGAATTTCTTTTCTGGGTTCATATAATATCCCTTAGTGTGACATTACTTTATGTATCATTTATTTTCATAATTTATCAAATAAATATTTGATATTTTTGCCTTATGTAAGTACTATTAGTTAACATCATATATTTATGGCTTGTTTCCCAAACGATGTCTTCGAGGAGAGATGCTGTGTCCTATATGTGTGTGCATATCCTTCAAGAACAACTTCCAAAGTAAATATTATTTTAAGTGCTCAATAAATTGTATGTTTTTATCTAAAAGTGCACCACATAAGCTACACATAAAATTGCACCTTTAACAAACTTTAAGAAAATGTTCAGTAATGACCTGAACCACTGATAGCACACAAATTTGATTTCTATCTTGAAGTAACTTCAATCTGGCTGGCATTAATAGCTACAGTTTTATTTTCTGTCTTTAAAAAGTGTGTATACAATATATGAAAAATCCATTAATTAAACTGCATTATCTTAGGATTCCATCTCCATTATATATCATCTAGTATTGCTTCAGATGTAATCTTCAATCCCCTGCCAAAAGTGCCAATCACAATATGCCAAGCAAACTATCTGAATATAGTATGAACAATAATTTAATTGGAAGACTGTTACATAAAAAAAAAAGTTGTAAAAGAAAAAAATTTATTTTTGCCTATTCTAAAAATCTTAAAAACACTTGACCTTTAATCATCCCCCTGCCAGGCCAAGCTCTCCATTTTTGTTTTATTTACCTTACTTAAGTGCTATGTGTGTTTGAAGTAATTGTTCACATAGGTCTTCCCAGGTAACGCTCCATAATTGCTTTAGTAACAACCTATGTTCAAAGCCCATTGGTTCAGAATATATTTTTCCTCCTTTGTTCCATGATTCATTTTAGGATGTATCAGGAAGCAAAGTGATTCACTGAGAATTCAAACTTCCACAGTTTAGAGTGTCCCTAGCCCTATATCAATTCATCAAGAGAGTGACTTGTAGTGATTTCATTCAGTGATGCTAGTATGGAGGAAATGCAAGATAAGGTTATTGCAAAAGAAACACAACATACAGCTACTCTGCCCAAGAAGTTCTCAAGCTCACAAACTAAAAACATCCCTTTTTAACCAAAGCCTTGATTGATTATGTCTCCTGCTGGATTAATGTAGTATTTTTCAGCCTTCTTTGCGCCATTCACAATATTGCTGACTCAGTGACTCCTTATGGACTATATTTTCACACACACATTCCTTTCAGCCTTGTCTGTGTTCTCAATTGTCATTATATAAATGTCAGATCAACATGAGCTCACTCAACAATGCAGACTGGAGTGGGGATGAGTCGAAAACTACAACTCTTCATTTATCTGAAGGTGACTACCTGTAAGAGTATCCTCAGGATAAGAGCAATTTTTTTTTTTAACCATATTCTCCAAGGTCCTTCAGAATACAAACTCTGCTTACTTATCCTTTTCCCTTTCTGGCCACAAGCAAAATAATTCATTCTTGCATTGTGCCTTCTACACACATTAAACAGCTTGCTGTACAGGAAGAACTGTACTTCTGCATTATTCTTACTACCTAAGAGGCCTTTCTTTGTTCTCATGTTGATTAATCCCTTCTCTTCCATTAGATAACAGATTGTATATTGCCTCCACCAAAGAAGTCTCTGTCACCCCTCTAGGTGTTGAGATGCCCCTCCTTGAGTACCCAGAGCTTTAATCACTTACTCTGTTGCAGTCATTATCAACTAAGTCTAATTTTCTTTCTTCCTCATTGGACTATGGGCATCTTGGGGTAAGAACTACTGACCAATTTTATATACTGAAGGAGCAAACAAATTCAAAATCAAGATCAACCGTTTTCCCAAAGAGCTGTAGATGCAGGAAAATTCATTAGTTACTACTAAGAAACACTTCCAAGATTTTACTTAGAAGGTACTTAGTACTACTTCGGGAATAGCTAAAAGGATTTCTTGATTTCCAATAAGAAGGACATCGAAAAAAGAGGAAAAGATTGCCCTAAGAAGAACCACTGGGCTCAGAAGAATTAAAGGTTGCTGACTAGATGCAGCTGAAATGTGCCTCTTCCATGGAGGGGAAACAAAATATCAAGTAAACTGTCATACTTCAAACAGATGTTTTGAGAGAAAACACTGAAATTAAATAGAGAGAAGTGATAGAAGACACCATGGTTGAAGAGGGAAGTGGGGCTGCCTGCTGGATGTTACCAAGCATCAGGAAAAACCTCTGGACCTGAACCAGACACAAGGAAGGGATGAGTGATGGAACTGTGGGGCAACCCTTTTCTATCATGGACTTCTTAGATCCTAGCTACAGGAGTTCCCACAACCCCTGCAGACCTTTAGAATGGCAGGGGGTAGCTGCCTGGAGACCATGCAAAGGCATCTGTTGAACCCACGTGGAACCCAAAAGGCTTCAGTGTGCTGGTCAGCTGCAGCAACACGTGTCTGGGTACACACTACTAAGGCTCTGCATCTTTCCCTAAGCAGCTGCAACTCCTGCTGTCTACCTGACTGGGAGGCAGTGGGGCCTGGGCATGCTCATGTCTCCAAGATAGTCACCATGGCCATTGCTGTAGGACTGAGGCACATTTGAACCCCCTGCTCCCATGCCTGCTGATCCCTCCCAAGACTGCCCGTCTGTTCCCACAGGAAGACAGCCCACAGGATAGCGTCCATCACCCTGCAAGAGTGGTTTGTTGGTGGCGGGAGTGAAATTCAATGCACCATGGAAACCAGTGCTTGACCCCAAAGAGCCAGAGGAAAAAATCCACCAGCCTGGTCCCAGTTCCCCAGGAATTAAGCACACTGACCAGTGGTATAAAGATGAGATCTGTGCTCTGATCTCAAGTGGGAGATAAACCTCTACTGTCAGAACACATGGAAGAGTGTGGCAGGAGTTCCCCTGGTGTCCTGGAAGCTGGGTGCCCCTCCCTTTGCAAGAGCAGGAAGGGTGTGGCATGATAGACAGTTTCTGAGGCAGGGAGTCTCAGGGTCCAGAATGACTGGAATGGCTTGGCAATTTGGGGAGACCCCATTTACAATAGCAACAACAACAAAAATTACCTAGGAGTACATTTAACCAAGGAGGAGAAAGATCTCTATAAGGACTATGAAACACTGAAGGAAGAAATCATAGATAACACAAACAAATGGAAAAAAGTCTGATGTTCATGGTTTGGAAAGATAATTATGATTAAAAATGATCTTACTGACTAAAGCAATCTACAGATTTAATGTAACTCCTAGAAAAGTACCTATGTCTTTCTTCACAAAATTAGAAAAAAAAAAATCTTCAAGTTCATATGGAACCAAATAAGAGCCGAAATAATCAAAGAAATCCTAAGCAAAAAGAACAAATCCAGAAGCATCACATTACCTGACTTCAAATTATAATAGAAGGCTGTAATAATCAAAACACCATAGTACTGGTACAAAATAGACACATAGATCAATGGAACATAACAGAGAACCCAGAAATAAAGCCACATGCTTACAACCCACTGATCTTTCACAAAGTAGACAAAAATAAACAATGGGCAAAGAGACACCCTATTCAATAACTGTTGCTGGGAATGTTGGCTAGCCAATAACAGAAGAATGAAAGTGGACCACTATATCTGACCATATGCAAAAATTAAAATGAATTAAAGACCTACATGTAAAACCTAAAACTATAAAAGTCTGAGGAAAAAAACTAGGAAAATCTCTTCTAAACATTGGTCTAGACAAATAATTTATTACAAAGATCCCAAAAGCAGATGCAATAAAACCAAATAGAGACAAATGTGACTTAATGAAACTTAAAAGCTTCTGCAAAAAAAAAATGAACAGAATAAATAATCTATAGAATGGGAGAAAATATTTGCAAATTATGCCTCTGACAATAAAATAATATCCACAACTACAATGAACTCAAACAACTCTGCAAGTAAAAAACAAACAATCCCATTAAAAAGTGGGCCCAGGACATGAACAGACACTTATCTAAAAAAGACATATATACTGGCAGTAAGGATAAAAAAAAAAGTGCTCAACATCACTAATCATCATAGAAATGGAAATTAAAACCACATTGAGATATCATCTCACACCAGTCAGAATGGCTACTATTAAAAAGTCACAATACTGCAGATGTTGACATGGATATGGAGAAAAGGGGACAATTACATACTGTTGGTGGGAATGTAAATTAGTACAACCACCAAGGAAAACAGTATGGAGGTTTACTAAAAATAGAAGTAACATTCAACCCAGCAATCCCACTACTGGACATCTACCAAAAGGAAAATAAATCATTATATCAGAAAGACACTTGCGATCATATGCTTATCACAGCTCTATTCACAATAGAAATGTCACAGAATCAACCTAAGTTTCTATCAGTGGTTAATTGGGTAGAGAAAATGTGGAATACTATGTAGCCATTAAAAAGAATAAAATCATGCTTTACAGCAACATGGATGGACCTGGAGGCCATTATCCTAGGTAAACTAACCCTAAAACAGAAAATCAAATACCACACATTCTCCCTTGTAAGTGGGAGCTAAACAGTGGGTACACATGGACATAAAGATGGAGATAATATACACTGGAGACTGTAAAAGAGTGTAGGGTGAGAGGTGGGTGAGTGTTAAGAAATTACCTGTTTGAAGCCAGGTACAGTGGTTCATGCCTTTAATCCCAGCACTTTGGGAGGCCAAGGCGGGCGAATCACGAGGTCAGGAGATCAAGACCATCCTGGCTAACATGGTGAAACCCCATCTCTACTAAAAAATACAAAAAATTAGCTGGGTGTGGTGGTGGGTGCCTGTAGTCCCAGCTACTTGGGAGGCTGAGGCAGGAGAATGGCATGAACCCAGGAGGGGGAGATTGCAGTGAGCCGAGATGGTGCCACTGCACTCCAGCCTGGGCAACAGAGCAAGACTCCGTCTCAAAAATAAAAAATAAAAAAAAGAAATTACCTGTTTGAGTACAATGTTCACTGTTTTGGTGATGAGTACACTATAAGTCCAAACCTCACCATTATTACAATGCATTCATGAAACAAACACTGAGGTCAAGAGCAAGACAAGACATCAGGCAATCCGGACATAAAAAAATGAGACAGAAGAAAACCAATCCATAATAAATAAATGGACAAGCTCAAAACAAAATCACAGGAAAAAACAAAGATATAGACATAGTACATATTACATGGAGTTAACTATTGTAGGTGAAAACTATCCATCATGATTCTGTAGGTTCTCAGAACACAAACTTACTGCAGAAAAATGAAGTAATTAATTGTCATAATTACAACTTAAGTATAAACAAAATACCTTTATTAATAGTATTTATTTTTCATCAGTAACAACAATATTCCTGGCAAATAGGCCTTCTGTTCTATACATATCTAAGAGGAAATTGAGAAAAAGTGTTTGCTCAAGGCCACTCAACTAAGCAAGTGGAAGCTGGAACTTAGTTTTCTGATTCAAAATCTGTATTCTTTCCTCTGCTCTTGTGAAATATAAGAATTAATGAAGTTCTGATTCAAATTTTAGATACTTTTTTTTACCAAAAATTGCAAAATATATTATTTTAGTTCTAATGAACAAATTAAGAACTATATAGAAAAACACTGTCACCCTTAAATGCAGCCAGTTCATTAGTTTGCAATTTCTTATAAAAGATTTCCCAAGACAGTCAGATTCTGCATTTAATATTGACCTCAACTGGCACTTCCTGTTTAACTTCATTAAAAATATCTACTTAGGATGCCAAAGGTTGCTGGACTTTGATTCATTCCTATTTAGTCTCTTCCCTCAACCAAAGGAGACTTGAGTTGCCTCTTTCTATTAATGTGATTGACTTCTGAAAATGATGGGGCAGTGCAAGACACAGCATATTAGCTTGATGAATATGCCAATTCTCATGATAAAATCAGGCAGAAATTCTAGAACATTCCCCAAAGGGGGATGGAGAGAGCCCTGTTCCAGGAATATGAATCACAACATTTAGAGAAAGCATCTAATTAGCCACACTTGTGTGGGCAGCTCCCTGTTTTTAGATCACAGACATGAATCAATAGGAAATTGCTCAGGATAAATATCTTGAAAGTTAGTTGCAATGTTTCATGTAATATAATTTAGAACCTCAAATGTACTTTTCATTGAAATGTCACAAAACGGATAAGGAAGAAATGATACAAAACAATATTTCTAACCATTTCAACTTCATTTTGGCATCATCTTCTGAACCTTGCACATTTTATTTCTTTTCTTTATTGAGTGACTTTTCAAATGGTCCTGCCGTGAGCCAGTAGAATTACTAAGGGGTTTCTGATTTCATAGCTATTTTTTTATTACATTTGGAAGCTGATCTTAAGTAGAACTAAAACTCCAGAGCCACTATTTTAGAGCAGTAAAGATTGACATCTAAATTATGATCTAAAGAAAGTACCAGGCCATAGCTTTCATTGAGGGTAGAAAGAGTAAAAAATGAATTTGTCTCTTATAATGTTGGCTATTGGACATCTTTGGAAAATTTTCAGATATACTAAATTCCAACTCTCAGCCATGAAATTGTAATAGACATTTGGTTTACATCTATTACTCTTAGATAATTCCCAGGCAAAGTTTCTTAAATCTAGCATTAAATGGCTCTCTCTTGTCTTGGGGAAAATATGCCTGTGTATGATTTAAGAGCCTAAAGTAGATATTATAGGGATTAGTAAAGATCAGTGGTAAGACATAATACACAAACATAATTAGTTGCAAAAAGAAAAAAAAAAAAAGAAGGCATCTGACACTTCTTGATTCAATTTCAAATTTCAGCCCCAGAAGCAGGAACTTTATATTTTGCTCAAATCTTAGTAAAATAATATGAGTTAAATGTTCTATTTACCATTTTCCATGTGAGTGAAACCCAGAGCAGTTTAGTAAGCATGCCTAAGGTTGCTAAGGTTAGGATAGGTTAGGGTAGGAAGCACCCATCTCTGTGCCTAGAATGAGTTTTTGTTGTCACCATCTCTCCTTATAGGTTTTTTTGGTATGTATTTGTCCTTCAAAATGGAATTTACATAGTATATTGGAGAATAGTTATCCCTAACCCTCATCATTCAACGTAATATAGACATCCAACTTCTGTGTTTCCGCAACACCGCACATGTTTATTTTAGTACCTATGAAACAGGGTAAGTTTGGTGATTTCTCAATGTAACCCACTCCCAACCCCATTGATGGCAGAAATTATGCCATATAGGATGTCACGAACCAAGCACCTATCTTAATAACTAACATGTACTAATCAGTTAAGAAATGTTTGTTGCATAAAGTGGCACAATTAGAAGTCAGTCTGTTTAACTCCTAAGGCAATGAGTATTAGGAGGACAAGGCCAAAATAATACTACAGAGCAATTACTCCAAAACCCAAGTAATAAATTGATGATGAGTTGCAGCATCGCATAGAGGATTTTTTTTTTGGCTAGGGTTAGAAGTGCTATGTAATTGACTATGTCCCCAAACAGCTTTTTATTATAAGGAAATACAGATATTCAGTCAAAAGGCAAGAAAGAACTCTTTATTTTTTTTTTTTTTTTGAGATGGAGTCTCGCTCTGTCGCCCAGGCTGGAGTACAGTGGCGTAATCTCGGCTCACTGTAAGCTCTGCCTCCTGGGTTGATGCCATTCTCTTGCCTCAGCCTCCCGAGTAGCTGGGACTACAGGCACCCGCCACCATGCCCGGCTAATTTTTTGTATTTTTAGTAGAGACGGGGTTTCACCATGTTAGCCAGGATGGTCTCGATCTCCTGACCTCGTGATCCGCCTGCCTTGGCCTCCCAAAGTGCTGGGATTACAGGTGTGAGCCACTGCACCCGGCCAGGAAAGAACTCTTTCTAAAAACCTAAGATATTACATCAGTTTCATTGATCATTGTAGGGAGGAAAAGAAAAACAAGAGGAGAGACTGACTCTCAGCTGACTGAAACTGGGCTGAGAAAGTGAAAAAGTAAGAAAACAAACACCTTCCCTGTCATGGCTTAAATCTCGTTTTTGGGCTTGCACCTCCAACTTGACTTTTATTTTTTGAAGACATGTAGAGTGATAAATGTTGCCTTAAATCCACATATATCCAAATTGATTCAAAATACATAATATAAAGATTGTAGGACCAGGATTCTTTTCTGGTTATTTCCATATAGAATATCAGCTCTTAATTTGCTGATATTATTACCAGCACTGTTTGTAAGCGGAAAATGGATTGGCAGCATTCCAAGGATAGATGCTCAACATCAAGGTATGAATACAAATACAATTAGGAGGAACCCATATTTTATATGAATTAGGTCAAGAATAAGGCTGTATGTGCTGCCTTGAGCTTGTTCTGATTAGGTGCTGAAGGTGGGCACCTGAGAAGGCTGGAATGAGAGTAGTTTGATCTACACATGTCATAGGAACACCTACCAAAGATTCAAATTCATGGCTGCTGATTCCAAGCCAGAAGTTCCTCCACATTGCCATGCTAACTGGTTTCTTGAAGTACTGATATTACATTGTATTCCTTTTATGTGTGTATACATTTGGAGAATACAGTAGGGGTACAAGGAATAGACATGGACTCCCCAGGCTATTCATGTAGTAATAAAATAATATTATCTAAGTTGTATGGAAACTCACCAGGCCAGAGATACCATACACTACGTACTTTATCTCAGTATTCTTCAGACAGTTTTGTGAGCATGGCTATTATTATCTCCATTTTACAAGGACTACTATATCCAAGGTAGATTTAAGTAGATTTTCCAACTTGACAGGACTAACATGGAACAAAGTCAGAACAGAGGCCAGGCACATTGTCTCATGCCTGTAATCCCAGCACTTTGGGAGGCCGAGGCAGGCGGATCACCCGAGGACAGGAGTTCACGACCAGCCTCGCCAACATGGCAAAACCCCATCTCTACTAAAAAAAAAAAGCAAAAAACTTAGCCAGGTGTGGTGGTGAGTGCCTATAATCCCAGCTACTCAGGAGGCTGAGGCAGGGAGAATT
Organism: Homo sapiens; assembly: GCF_000001405.40. Lineage (NCBI taxonomy): Eukaryota > Metazoa > Chordata > Mammalia > Primates > Hominidae > Homo > Homo sapiens. Next base: position 62,623,561 of record NC_000016.10, read on the forward strand.
GCTTGAACCCTGCAGGTGGAGGTTGCAGTGAGCCGAGATTGCACCACTGCGTTCTAGCCTGGGCAACAGAGTGAGACTCCATCAAATAAATAAATAAATAAATAAATAAGCAAAGTCAGAACTGAAAACCTGGTCTCTACTTTCAAAGCCAAAGTTTATAATACCAGCTCAGTTGTGGTATCTCATGGCTTCCTTTTACCTGCCACTTTCAACATGACGATCTTATGAAATAAAGAATTCTGTGGGATACAGCATTGTGTTGACTAATGTGTCATATGACCAGAAGCATCATTACACCCTGAAAATATAGAACTGTAGCATAAGTCATATTATTCAATATAGTGGTAGTCATGATTGTGATATTGTTAGGTTTCAATTAGTCAGCTTAAATGGTCTAACGTCTTTAAGGCTGGTTCTATTCTGGTAAAACTGGGGAAAATAGCTATGAGTTTCCATATTTTTTAATTAACTAATTAGGGTTGGAGAAATAATTTTCACTCTTCTCCAACTCAGGTGTCATAGAACACATGCATACACACACACACACACACACACACACACACACACATAAACATACACTGCTTACTCTTCATGATCAAGGTCACTTTTTGCTGTATATTTTGTGAAGTCCTATTGTTAGCCAATGATGATAATATCCAGGTATTTTTGCTTGATATTATATGTGGAGGCAAACAACTGAAATTGTGCCCATTAAAGAGGCTTCACTTGCATAATGGTAGGTAGTTTCTGGCAATGCTAATTTATTGCTAATTGTAGAGATACCTTTTATTTTTGCTAGCTAGCACAGTAGCCTGGTGTAACCATTTGTCTTTGCCTAGAATATTCCAGGATTTTTTTTGTCCCTGCATACGAATTAATACTCATCAATACTAAAATGTTTCATTCTCAAGTCCTGATTTTGTCATCCTGAATTCTAAGTTCACAGTACTCTGACTATTATTAAAATTAACCACACCATATTGACCTTCATTAGAGTTGAGACATAACGAGGTGAGAGTGATTTCAGAGACAAGTTAATGTATTATTTTCTAAATATTTCCCTGGTTTGTGAAAGACAGATTAATATCCTTGAAGTCATCCATGAGTTTTCTTTCTTCTTAATTAGCCGAGTTCTTCATATCTCTCTATTCTTTTATTATCTCAATTGTAAAATACATCCTTAGACATTATCATTCTAATGTGTAATAGAGATTATAGCTCCATCTTCTAAGCCTGTCATTTGACAATGTGGCTAGTTATGCATCCAGAATATTTAGAATATGAAATTAAACAAAAGAAGCATGCAGATATCAAATGACTACATGTAAAAATGTATTTGGTACTTTGTTTGCAAGTGAAATAATTCTAAATATGTATAGCACACTCTGCATCCAATTAAGAAAAAGAGATGTAATTCATAGAATCTTATTTTCTATAAATAGGTATTCACTTAGATTTTTACCCTCTGAGAGTCTACAATTATGATTAGTTTCTATATATTGTCACAGTTCATAAACTATGCCCTTTAATTATACATATTAGAGCTTTAATAAAACAGAGTTCAAAAATAAAACAGATTCATTTTTGTAGTCTGCTTTTTACGTTTTTTATTTGTTTAACTCTTTCTCTTAACACATATAAATCCAAACATAGGCAGATACCTTTTTGGGTCAGCCTGAAACTTCCATTTTAACCAAGAGTTAATCTATTTGTGTTGATTAAAATGTCCTTTTATTCTTGAAACCCCTGCAAAGTGAATTGAAAGCATAAATGTGGAAATGGGTTAAAAACTCTAAAATCTCTGGTACAATCTATTGGTTAAAGTTTATTATTTTATAATGAAAAGAGACTAACAGGTCAAACATTATTTCATTCTAATGCTATTTTCTCTTTTTTTGTAATGGTAAATACAGTGTTGTTATCTTTGGACAGGATGACAGCTTCAGGCACGAGACACAACCCCAGGGACTAGCACTTTAATTTAAAAAGCCAAGAGGAAAATATACAGGAGGAAATCAGACAAGGCAAGTCTGGAGACGAAAACTGCATTTCACAATCAAAAGTTGGACAAGGAAACCCTGCTAAATCTCATGCAGACTCCATAGTTTGTTCTTATAATAGCAAAAACAGAGGAAATAGAAACAAATGGCAGATGCCTCTTTAGTGAGGTGTTGAGGGAAAACATTCATCCTAGGATGATACACAGGATATTACTTTCTAGAACAGATACATAAGGGAGACGCATAGGGTGATCTGACACAGTGTTTTCTCTTTATTTAAGGGAAGGTGCATTTACAAAGGAAAGACAATAGCATGTCTTTCATTTCTCTGTTAATAAGCAAGCATTTCTGAGGATCTACTAAATAGTAAATGCAGGAGAAGAGGGAGAGAGAGAGCTAAAGGACTAAAAGCCATGTTCTAGTCTAAAACTGAACATTTATTCCAGTTAGGAGAACAGATAATTTGGAGACCAACAAATTACTCAAGTGCATGAGATTAATGCTGACCATGAATTCTCAAAAGCACATATATGATCATAATTGTATCCCTGTTGTTTCAGTACCAAGAAAAAGCTTAACAGTAGTCGCACATATTTATTGAATTAAATAATTGAAATATATGAGAAAGAAAAACTTGGAGTGCTCTAGGAGTATTCAGGATGATCAAAGTTACATCTTTCAAAGGTGGTGGCTGTTAGCTTAGACTTGAAATGGTACACATCAACTAAGTGTAAAAGGAAGGGTGATACTGTTTCAGGAGAAACAAAGCAACGTATGTAGTTATATGAAATTTGCTCTGTGTCTGGGTGTGCATGGAACACAACTAAAGGAAAATAACAAATGATGATGATAAGGAGGAGGACGATGGTGGTGGTACCACCAATGATGATGTTGCCAGCAAAATTCTCAACGTATAAAATTCCTATTGCTTTCAGTGACTGTGTTAAACTGTTTGCAAAGTTTCTTGCTATTCATTCATCTTCATCAAAATCCAATAAAGTAAATGCAATTCTATGGACAAATTGTCAGTGTTTTTAAAAGCCTGGGGGAAAATCTCAATAAACTTACATGGGTTAAATAAAATAGCATCTTTCATGTTTTAGAAAAGAAATGTTATCAATTTAATATGAAAACCCCGGTTAGCTATATCATAGTAATTAAATGTTCTGAATGATATAGGTACATGCTTTTAAAAAAATGACTAGACAATAATAGACATTGATTTAAAATGCAATTCATTTGCTAGACAAAGCTAAAACGGGTTAATAAAAAAGATCTTTAGTAATTTGAATGTTCAAAACAAAAAAAAAAGATCAATGTTCAAGGTGATGGATAGGCTAATTATCCTAATTTGATCATTACATATTGGAATCATGTATCTAAATATCACACAGTACCCCATAAATATGTACAATTATGTGTCTAATATAATAATTTAAAAAATCTTTAGAGGTGAAACATTTGCAGAAAATACATACATTATATTCATAACCTTGTATTTTACTCTGAAGCCTAAGTCACTTTAAGTGACTTTTTTAAAAGGCCTCATAGAGAACATGATACTACCCTCTAAGTTTGCTCACTATCATCCAAGTCTTCTATAAATTGTACCAACAGTATATATAGTCGTTTTTTCTTCCAAGTCCTTAAATCAATTGCTTAGGTGTAGGTCATTGTTTATGAGCTAGTCAGAGAAGTTAATTAACTTTTAGTTAATATCTGAAACAAGGAGGACTTCTCCATTTATGTTATCTTTTGCTACAAATCAGCAAAGTAACAGAGCTCCCCTGACAAGTATTCAATATCTTTACTTTGAAATCCAGCTCCCCCATCTCCTCTCTTGCATTGTATTGATTCTTCTTTACTGCAGTCTAGTTCTGACCACATGGAAGATTTACCCTGAAACTCTGCTACATTTTACTCTTTGCTTCTCAGGAATGCAAACTAACTAATGTGACTTGCATTTTATTTTAATTCATAATATTTAATTTTGGGAGCAGTTCGAAGAAAAAAGCAGATAGTACAGAGAGTTCTCATATACTCTTTCTTATAGTACTTTCCCCCATTACTAACATATTTCAATAATGTGGTACTTTTGTTAAAATTGAGCAATATTGATACATTAGTATTAACTGAAGTTCATTATTTACAGCAATTTGTTTTTAGTGTTGTACATTCTATAAATTTTGACAAATGAATAATTACAGGTATCCACCATTACAGCATCATATGATACAGTTTCATCATTCTCCTTAAAATGCCCTGTGCTTCATCTATTCTTCCTTCACTTCCTTCCACCAAATCCCTGATGACCATTGATAGTTTTACTGTCTCCATAGTTTTCAAAATGTTATATAAGTTGAGATCATATATTGTATAACATTTTAGACTGTTTTTCTTTAACAACATGCATTTAATGATCCTCCATGCTTTATCATGGCTTGATGGCTCACTTATTTTCATTGCTGAATAATATTCCATTGTATAAATGTGCCATAGTTTGTTTATCCATTCATCTACTGGATTACATCTTGGTTATTTCCCATTTCTGGCATTTATAAATAAAACAAGTATAAATACTTGTGTTATCATAGGTTTTCAAGCTATTGGCTTCTGTCCATGAGACACCTGAGAAGCACAATCACTGTAACTTATGGTAAGACTGTGATTATCTTTGTAAGGAACTTCCAAACTGCCCTCTGAAGTGGATGTAACATTTTGTATTCTCACTAGCAAACAATGAGCATGCAGCAGCCAAAGGAAAACTTACCCTTTACCTTATGAAGGTTTACTGAAAATCAATGGACAAAAGGCAGATTAATAGGAAATAAGACATTAATATTTGTTAATGTGCATGAGCGGAAAATCAGAGTGATTACTATACAATGTAATAGGGTATAGATATTTATATACCCTTCTTAAGGAAAAGAGATATGGGAGTGTGGACAATTTCAGCAGGTAATAAATAATTTTTAGGGGAATCCAGTGGGCTTGAAGAATACATAATGACTTCAGAAAAAGTCTTTCGGGCAAAGCAGAAAACCGTTTGTGACAAGTCTGTTCAAATGTGTCAACAGACTTCAGTTTTTCTTCCTGCAATATGAGTTCAGTTAATGAAAACTTGGGGAAGGAACCAGAGGTCATTGTTTTTCACTTTGGCAGATCTGGACTTTAGGCAAATGTCTTAGTCCATTTGGGTTGCTACAGAGAAATACCTGAGGCTGGATAATTTACAAAGAAAAGAGGTTTATTTTGCTCACAGTTCAGCCAGATGTACAAGAAGCATGGCACCAACATCTGCTTTGGCGAGTGCCTCAGGCTGCTTCTGCTGATGCAGGAAGGTAAAGGGGAGCTGGCATGTGTGGAGATTACATTTTCAGAGAGGAAGCAAGAGACGGGAGGTGCCAGGATTTTTGTGTGTGTGCCAACTATTTGTTTTTTTATTTATTTAGACTTTTATTTTAGGTTCATGGGGTACATGCACAGGTTTGTTACATGGATAAATTATGTGTCACCAGAATCTGGTGTGAATGATCCCATCACCCAGGTAGTGAGCACCATATCTGAGAGTTAATTTTCAACTGATTGCCACTCTTCCACCTTCCCCCCTAGTAATCTCTGATGTCTATTGTTCTTGTCTTTGTGTCCCTATGTCACTCAATGTTTAGCTCCCACTTATAAGTGAGAACATATGATACTTGGTTTTCTGTTCCAGGCTGTTGGCAAGGCTGGCCTTGAACTCCTGACTTCAGGTGATCCACCCACCTCAGCCTCACAAAGTGCTGGGATTACAGGCGTGAGCCACAGTGCCTGGCCTTATAATTTCTTTTTTTGTTGTTGTTATTTTTGTCTGGATTTATTTTCAGAGGTACAGCTTCATAAAATAATTTTGACATCATTCTCTTCTATTATTTGGAAGATACTGTGTAGAATTGTAAATTTTTCTGTAATGTGTGTTAGCGTTCTCCATTAAAGCCATCTCAATTTGAAGATTTTTATTCTGAGAGATTTTAATTTTAAATTTAATTTCCTTAATAGTTTTAGGACCATTCAAATTATCTATTTTATATTGGGTAAGTTATGGTAGTTTTTGTTTTTAGAAATTGCTCCAGTTCATCCAAGTTATTAAATTTATGTGTGTAGAGTTCTGAGTATTCCTTATTATTCTTTTGTGGTCTGCAAAATCATACATGATAGCCCTTGTTATTCCAGATATTGGCAACTTATATCTTTTCTCTCTTTTTAATCAGACTTAGAGATTTGTTGGTTTTGTTATTTTTAAAAATTTTTTTTTAAATTCATTAATTGTTAAAATGTTTTTACTGCTTTCAATATCATTAATTTGATATATTATTTTTATTACATTTTTTCTCCTGTTTTCTTTTGGGTTTATTTGCTCATTTTTTATTGAGTTGAAAAGTGTGAGCTAGATTATAAAATTGAGACTTTTCCTTTATTTTAAGGTTTGAATTTAGGGCTCTATATTTCCCTCTTAGCAGTGCTTAAACTGTGTCTCACACATTTTATTATGTTTTATTTTCATATTCACTCAGTTCAATATATTTTTAAATTTTATAAGACTTCCTCTTTTACCTAAGAATTATTTAAAATTTTATTATGCCGTTTCCAAGTGTTTTGATATGTTTCTGTCATCATTATATTATTAATGTGTAGTTTGATTACATTGTGATCAGAGAACATATGCTGTATGATTTTAATTATTTTAAATTTGTCATGATTTGTTTCATGGTCCATAATATGTTTGACCTCAACATTAGTTCTCTGGGAATTTGAGAAGAATGTGTATTCTGTGGTTGACTGGAGTGTTATATAAGTGCTCATTAGATTCTGTTGGTTGATGATACTGAGTTTTTATGCAACTTTGCTACTTTTCTGTCTAGTTTTATTAGTTATTGAGTTAGGGCTGTTGAAATCTCAAACTAACTTTGTGAATTTCTTTACTTCTTCTCTCAGTTCTATTAATTTTGCCTATTTTCTGCTGTGTCGTTTGGTGCATACATATTTAAGACTGTTACGATTTTTGTTGAATTAATCCATTTATTATTATAGAATGCTACTTTCTATCTCTGGTAATTGTCTGCTCTGAAGTTTACCTTACAAATGTCAATATAGCCACTTCTATTTTCCTTTGGTTAGTATTTGCATGACATATCTCTTTCCATCCTTTTACTTTCAAACTACCAATATTATTAATATTATATATAAACTAAGTTTTTTGTACACAGAACACACAGCAGGTAGTTGGGTTTGTATTTTAATCCACTCTGCCAATCTTTGTCTTTTAATTGGTATATTTGGACCATTCTTACTTAATCTAGTTATTGATTTATAAGGGCTTGAAGCTGCCAGTTTTATTTTTGGATTATATTCGTTTTCTCTGCTTTTAATTTTTCTGTTTTCTCTTGCCTGCTTTCTTGTGGGATTTTTGGACAATTTTTATAAATGCATTTTAATCTTTTTATGCTGTTTATGAGCTTCTCTATTTGCATAGCTTTCTAAATGGTTGCCGAAGGTACTACATTACACACACACACACACACACACACACACACACACATCTTACCACAGCTTACTGGTGTTATCATTTTACCAGTTTAAGTGAAGTATACAAACTTTACCTCCTTTTATGTTTCTTTATTATCTCCCATTTATAGTGTAATTTTCTTAAACATTTTCTCTACATACATTTAGAACCATGCCAGAGAGTGTTACTTTTTTTTGGGTTTATTTTATTTATTTATTTATTTTTATTATACTTTAAGTTCTAGGGTACATGTGCACAATGTGCAGGTTTGTTACATATGTATACATGTGCCATGTTGGTGTGCTGCACCCATTAACTCGTTATTTACATTAGGTATATATCCTAATGCTATCCCTTCCCCCTCCTCCACCTCACAACAGCTCCTGGTGTGTGATGTTCCCCACCCTGTGTCCAGGTGTTCTCATTGTTCAATTCCCACCTATGAGTGAGAACATGTGGTGTTTCGTTTTTTGTCCTTGCAATAGTTTGCTGAGAATGATGGTTTCCAGCTTCATCCATGTCCCTACAAAGGACATGAACTCATCCTTTTTTATGGCTGCATAGTATTCCATGGTGTATATGTGCCATATTTTCTTAATCCAGTCTATCATTGATGAACATTTAGGTTGGTTCCAAGTCTTTGCTATTGTGAATAGTGCTGTAATAAACATACGTGTGCATGTGTCTTTATAGCAGCATGATTTATAATCCTTTGGGTATATACCCAGCAATGGGATGGCTGGGTCAAATGGTATTTCTAGTTCTAGATTCTTGAGGAATTGCCACACTGTCTTCTGCAATGGTTGAACTAGTTTACAGTCCCACCGTAAAAGTGTTCCTATTTCTCCACATCCAGAGAGTTACATTTTTTGCTTCAACTCTCAAACATAATTTAAGAAAGTCAAGAGGAGAATAAATATCTGTGTATTAACAGAATCATTTTGCGTATTGAGTTCTTTCCTTCTTTTTGATTGTTTTAAGGTTCTTTCTTTGTTTATCTCCATCTGTTTAGATAACTTTCTTTATCCATTCTTTTAGTGTCCATCTGCTGAGCCGAATGCTCCTAGTTTTCCTGCATCTGCTAATGTCTTGAATTCCTCTATTTCTGAAGGATAGTCTTGCTGGATATAGGCTTTTGGATAAACAGTTATCTTCTATAAGTGCTTGAAAAATGTTGTGCCTCTTCTTTCTGTTTTTTTTTTTACTTTTTTTTCTGCTAAAAGATTATCCATCATTTAAATTGTTTTCCCACATAGTTAAGGTCTTACGTGTCTCTTGTTGCTTTCATGATTTTTTTTTCTATTGTTCAGGAGTTTGACTGGAATGTTTCTGGGTGTGGATTTCTTTTTATTTATACTATTTTGGCCAGATTCTTTAGGTTTGTGTTTTTTGCCAAATTTAGGAACTTTCGTACATTATTTCTTTGAATACTTTTTCAGTCCCATCCTTCTTATTCTCTTTTTCTGTGACTACAATGACAAGCATGTTCAACCTCATACTATCGCCCTTTAGGTCACTGATGATTTTCTATTTTTTTTTTAGTCTATAGCCTCTCTATTGTTTATAGTTTGTAATTTCTACTGTTTAATCTTCAGCTTCACTGAATCTTTCCTCTGTCCTTTTCATTCTCCCTTTAAACTCATTCATAGAGTTTTTAAAATTTTGATTATTATACTTTACTGTTTTAAAATTTCCATTTGATTTTTCTTTATTTCTATTTATTTATTTATTTATCAGGCAGCCTCCAAAGCCAGCGTAGGCTCAGAGAGACCTTCTTTATATCTTCTACTTTTTTGTTCAGACTTTCTATTTTTTTATTTGTTTAATTCTTGTTTCCTCTATTTGAATTCCTCATTACTGTCCAGTGGGGATGCAAGCCCTGACTCTCTACCTGGCCATTTGTGACACCACCTATTGGGTGGGTGGGACAACTTTATTAGATCCTGAAGAAATTGAAACTCTTGGCTTTCCACTGGATATTTATTTATTTATTTGTAATGGGTGAAGATAAGGGATGCAAAATTTTCTTTGTTCTTTGGCTGGAATAGAGTAATTATTTTCTTAATGCTTTTTTTCTTATTCCCAGCATCTTCTCCTGATATTGTTTTTCCTTTGGACAGAGAACCAGGTTTTGTGGAGGGTTTTTTTCCCATGTCCACCTGTTGACATTTTGATTACTGGCCTCTTAGCTCCAAATCTTGGATACATGTAGCAAATTAAAATCCATTGAATTCATCACTATGTCATTATGCGCATCCCATAGTTGCTAGCTGGTCTGGCTTTGTTGTCTCCACCTTTCAGAGTATTATTATATTTTTTCCATATATAACATCCAGAATTGTTAGTTGCACTCAGTAGGAAAAATAGAAAAATGTATGTCTACCCCATATTCCAGGAAGTATAACTCCTCTATCTATTCCATTTCTTTCATATAAAAAATTCCAACTTCAACAGCCATAAATTTTGACTTAGTAACATTTTGCCAGATGCATTTAATATATTTGACCTCAACAATGCACCTAATTAGGTTCCTTGATTGAATATAAAGACTTAATCTGAATTATATAATAGTAAGTCACCATGTCCCCTGGGATAACAGTTAACTCTTCGTTTTCTCCTATAATCTTCTGCAATTGGAAGAGGATAGGCTTTTGAGAAATCATATCACAAATTTGTTCCTCAATTTGGATAATGAAAATAGAAGGCTGTGGATATAGAAAGACACTGTTTATCTCAAGGCCAGCATAACTAATATAATGATAAAGATACGACTCATTAGCCAATCTCTCAAGTGATTTACTGGATGAGACCATGTATTAGTCTGTTCTCATGCTGCTGATAAAGACATATGTAAGACTGGGCAATTTACAAAAGAAAGAAGTTTATTGGACTTCCAGTTCCATGTGGCTGGGCAGGCTTCACAATCATGGCAGAAGGCAAAAGGCATGTCTCATGGCAGCAGACAAGAGAAGAGAGCTTGTATGGGGAAACTCCCCATTTTAAAACCATCAGATCTTGTGAGACTTATTCACTACCACAAAAGCAGCACAGGAAATACATGCCCCATGATTCAATTATCTTCCACTGTGTCCCTTCCACAACATGTGGGAATTATGGGAGCTATAAGATGAGGTTTGGGTGGGGACACAGAGCCAAACCGTATCAGGCTCATATCCAATCAACCCTATGATCTCTTCTACTTGTCACCCCTCATTCCCTCCTCTTCAAGTACACACATGTTCACACACACAGAACACTAGAATAAGAATTCTAGATTCAAGTAGAATAAAATCAGTTATAATAAGCATAATTGAGGAAATAAAGTTCAAAGATGGATGGTGACCTTCACAAAGATCCATGCCTATTTTGTTTGATTTGAAGGATTTATTGAGGGATGGGAAATAACAACTGTTGGTAATAATGATGACAAGTTTAAATTTTGTGACATTAGGTTGTAAACTATCATTTTCTCCACACATATGCACATACACAAATAATTTGTTGACAAAGAAACATCTAGGTTTGATCTGGTATAAAACCTTTTATTCAGACTGTTTTTACAAGGTGAAATAAGCCATAGATATTTTTCAACCTGTTAAAATATATGAGTCACTTATTTTTCATAAAATAACTATGGCAGAAATAATTTATAAAATTTTATGGACTTTGATCGCATTCTCTGCATATCTTTTTGATCATTCTTCTGTAAGCTAAAATTAACATGATAGATAGAGGCCCATTATAGCAAGTGATCCTTTTAAAAAGTTGTCATTGGGTGATCCACTCCTTTATTTTTAGTTGCATCCAGAGACCACTTCATATGTTTTAAACTTTATTCCATTCCACACTTTACTTTTCATATTATCAGATATAATTTAATAGCAGATCCCAAGTACTTAATTCCACCATTGAGCACTAATATTTTGTGAATGACGGATGTGCAACACATAATCCTGGTTTCTGTGAGGGAGAATTTAAAATCCATCATTTTCTAATGTCTCTAGGTTGAGAGACAGTCTGTAACAGAAAATCGCAAAAAGAAGTGTCAGCTTTCACACTGAACTCAATAGACAGCCCTGCTGGCAATGGAGGTTAAGTGTCTCTACGGTATCACTTACAGACTTTTTGTTTTGTTCAAGACAAATTTACCACACAATAGATAGCTGAAGAAACAGCAAATTCATAAAGATTTGAAGGTTTAAGAAATGATCGTTGTGAACAGAGACAAAAAAGAAAACTGATGTTTTCTGAGCACTAACTATGAGCCTGTCTTCACCTATTGAAGTTGCTGTAAGAAAATACCACAAAGTGGGTAGGTGATGAACATTTATTTACTACGGTTCTGGAGGCTGGGAAGTCCAGGATCAAGATTCTGATAGATTATGTGTCTAGTGAGAGCCCGCTTTTCCTAGAGAGCACTGTTTCACTGTGTCCTCACATGGCAGAAGGGGCAAAGGAGCTCTAGGGCCTCTTATAAAGGCACATGGTGGAATTAAGTACATGAGATCTACTATTAAATTATCTCTGATAATATGACAAAGTGGGAAATGAAAGAAAGTTTAAAACATATGAAGTGGTTTCCTGGACGCAACTAAAAATAAAGGAGTGGATCTTCCAATGACAACCTTTTAAAAGCATCACTTGGCATAATGGACCTATATCTCTCAAGTCAATTTTAGCTAACAGAAGAATGACAAAAAAGATATACAGAGAATGCCATTGAAGTCCATAAATTTTAACAAATTATTTCTGCAGTAGTTATTTTATGAATACTTATCAGTCCCATTCACGAGGGCTCCATTCTCATGATCTAATCACCCCAAAGTCCCCACTTCCTAATCACATTGGGGGTTCATATTTGAACATATTAATTGTAGGAGAGACAAAGACATTCAGGTCATGGCAGCCTAGCAGGCAGACTGCCACTTCATAGAACTTGTTTTCTTTTTTTATCCTTCAGAACAGATTTGGAAGGTAGTCTCTTTTGCCCTTCTCACAGATAATATACATACTTTATTTACATATACTTCTTTAATCCCCACATAGTACCTCTTTATAACAAGTGGAGCAACACAAAGCTGTGTTAAGAAAAGTTAATCACATCCTTAAGAGCTCCTGCTTCAAAGGCATCTTTGGGAATCACTAGCATGAACGCAATTCTGGAAAAAATCAAAGAATAAATGTAGAGTGCTTATCCTGGGGTACTCTGCTTCGAGCAGAGAGAACCAGATCTGGGTCTTAAATAGTATCTAAGATTGTAACAGGAAGAAGGATAAGAAGAAGTTGAAACTGGATAAAACCTCATTAGTAGAAACCTGGAGAGAATAATGATTGAACAATATCAACAGGAACTAACATTTGTTGGGCACTTACCATGTTTGTCTCATTTAATCTTTACAAGTTAAAAAAAAAAACAGGAATGATTTTCTACACTTTATAAATGAAATGGAGGTATCTGACAAGGTTGTACCGCAACTGATGGCAGGTCCAGAATTTTGACACAGCACTGGCGAGTCTTGTCACAAGTGTTTGGCCTTAACTGAGAATTTGCTAAGGTGATTATAAAAATCTTAATGGCATTAGAAACCAGCATCATATTCTATTTTTGACTCCTTTTTTAATTTTTTTTGGAGATGGAGTCGCACTCTGTCGTCCAGTGCCCAGTGGCGCTATCCCGGCTCACTGCAACCTCTGCCTCCCGGGTTCAAGCAATTCTCCTGCCTCCCCAGTAGTTGGGACTACAGGCGCATGCTGCCATGCCCAGCTAATTTTTTGTATTTTAGTAGAGATGGAGTTTCACCATGTTGCCCAGGCGGGTCTCGAACTCCTGATCTCAGGCATTCGACCTGTCTCGGCCTCCCAAAGTGTTAGGATTACAGGCGTGATTGACTCCATTTTAAGGAGATTAGATGCCATTTTTCCAGCGAGTGAGTTTTTTTATGATGTTTGAAAAATAAATGAGACAGTCAAAAATAAATCTGGTAACCATGTAAAGCCTGCATTTTAGTAGCGTTAGTAGCTAGTTCCTGAACACAATAAATTATGAGTTTATCAAAGTAATTCAGATGATAAGGAATAAATCTGCCCTAAAGTGTGATTAGTAGTCAAAGAAAAGAAAAAATAGCCATGTGGTGGAATGCTTTTCAAGTAGATGGATAGAATGCAGTCATCAAATGGATGGCAAAACTGTGTTTCACCTTTCATGTTCTAAGATATTTTTTCTAATGAATTAATAAATTAGAACGTTAACACTTCAAAAGTGGGAGAAGATCTGGCAAGGCTTTTAGCCTCACAAAGCTGATTGATTTATTTACACAAATGTAGTTTGGAAATATTTGGTAATTATTTCAAATTATGTGAAAGGGATGTAATGTTAACATGATGAAATGCTTCATAAAACCCAAGAAATCTCTGATATTTTATTAAACACAATACACCACCATTCCAAATAAATATATAGTAGTTATTAGGGTTAGTAATAAAATCTGATTATTTTTATAATATATGTTGAGTTCTGCCATATCGATTTTGTCTTATTTTTGTTAGGCTATTGAAGTTATACATTACTCACACTGGTTACTGCTTAAATTGGCATATTTATGCCCTTTCTTGTAGTTATGTAATTGGCTTTATTTTTATTATACCATATTCTTGTTGTGAACTTTTCTTTTTGCTGTTGGCTTTATTTTATCATATATTATCCACGAAGGGGCCTTAAATTAGTTCCTTCAGCCTAGAGGGAAAGGGAAACACAGACATTGGCAAAAGCTAAAAATATACATTCCTTTTGTTTTCCGTGTACTTTCTTGTATATTTCTGCATTAGATCTGACTGCCTACTTTGTGCATTTGAAACAGGGGCACACTCTGACAGAAGTAAGCCTTTCAAAATCAATATTGTGAGAAGAGCTGCCAAAATTTGACCAGTAACAGGAATCTTGAAGTCATCAGTTTTTCAGAAGACTGAGGTGGGGCAGTAAATCCAGGGCAGATGTATGAGGTAATGAAAGAAAATTTAAGAATGCACTCACACATTGATGTGAGAACTATTAAGATCCCCTTCTCTCTCTTCTATACCTCAAGTTCGTTATCATGCACTCCAAGCTACCAAATATTCCAGTGTGGTTCTAAAATGAACTTATAAATCCCCCCACAGACTTGATGGCTGTTGTCAGTCACACTTTGCTAAAATAAGTAAATATTTCTGTCTTCTTGTGGTATGTGGGTCCTGTTGATCTTTAGTATCCCTGGCTTTGCTCTTGTCTTTTGTTAGATTGTGTGTGGATTATTATTGGTGGAAATGTCATAGTCTTCTCATTATTTATTGCTTAAAATCATTTAAAAAATATTTTAAGAATAAATTTACCAAAAATACTTTGAGTGTCCTCAGTACTCCCAAAATCCAGGGACTTCCTCTTTTATGACATGCCAAAAATGACCCCTGTCCCCATAATAGACTCAGAAAATCCTGAGTGTCTCAAAAGCTCGTACTTTTGATTTGTGATCTGGATTATTTTCATCTTTCTCTTTGGCCTGAACAGAAGGATGACACATGAAGGTTGGATCCATTAGGCACTCATCTGGGTAAGGGTAAAGTGATGACGGAGGCTGGGTAGGTGCCAGCTTCAGAATTAACAGCAGACAATAGTATCATACTAGAATGTTCTAAGAATAGATTTGGCAATTATATGCCAGGAACCAGTACTTGATGAACTTTGTAACATGTCACATTTTAGATTTTATAATGAATTTTCCCAAGCGTGTTTTTGTCGTTCTCAGTTTTCCCATTATAACAAAGAAGGGGGAGAGTAGCAGGAAAGTAACACACAGGTTTTCCTTTGAGACCAGCAAGAAAGAGGAAACTGGTGAAACTAAGTTCAATGCACAGCCACTTGGGGCCAGAATGAGATACAGAAAATCTACAATGATGATAGGTGACATAACTGTGCTCAGAAAACTGCTGAGAAGATTCTGGGTCAGAAGGAAGAAAAGAAGAACAAAGACTGCTGGGCTGAACCACAAAAGCCGAAGTGAAATTCCCTCACCCTGGCACGTAATTCCATTCCTGTTGCTCCAACATTAATTTCTTTGTTTAATGTGATGGAAAAGCGAGGTCTGCATTTGTATATAAAATTTGCTTAGAGTTAAAATGTCCAAAATTTAGAGGTTTGCAAAACAACAACAGTTCTGGAAGCTTGAAGTCTGAAATCAAGGTATCAGAAGGGCTGTGTACCCTTTGAAGCCACAAACAGGAAACCTTTCTTGCCTCTTTCAGTTTCTGGTAGCTACAGGCATTGCAGGTTATTCCTTGGTTTGTAAATGCTTTGTTGCAATCTCTGCCTCCACTAACATGTGGTGTTCTTCCTGTGTCTTCATCTCTGTGTCTCTTTGTCTTTACATGGCCGTTTTTACAAAGGCACTGGTCATCCTAGTCCCATACGACCTAATCTTAACTAAGTACAACTGCAATGACCCTATTTCATTCTGAGTCACATTCTCAGCTACTGGTGATTAGGTCTTCTACATATCTTTTTTTCTTTTTTTTTGCAGGGGCATAATTCAATGCATAACATGATTCCTCTCCCTGCTGCTTCAGAACTGTAAGTGCTGACAGCCATTTCCTGCTGCTTGCACATGTGTGCTTGATCATTCTGTTGGTTTTCAGTAACCCTGCCTATGTTTTTACATATACTTTCTTCATTCAACTCTCTTGGTTGTTTCTCTTGATCATGCCTTCTGTTTCCTGCCAGGACCCTTACCATGGTAAACTGCTTCCCCCATCTTCCCAAAACTCAGTGTAGCATATATGAAATTGGCCCAGGTAAGATGTCCAAAATTTAGAGGTTTGGGGTTAAAAGATAAAAAAAAAAATATGGATAAGGAGCTAGTCCAAAGTTTTGAAGTGGCAGTATCATTAAAATGAAAAGACAAGACAGAGCTCTTTGATTTCACCTTTGGAAGTTAAGAGGCACATTGCAGTCATCAGATAAGCTGGTGACATCATCAAAGCTAGTTGTAGCAAAATATTATTTTTACTGATGAACCTAGTCTGTTCTTTAGACATCAACTGTAATGGAAACTGACAGGATCTAGGAGAAAGGGTAAAGTCAAAATTTCAAAGCCATTTGTGAATTATAAATAAAGTATAACACTATATATTGAATTGTCACTCCAAATCCCTTGCTCAATGATAAACAGATCTCTACCTGCTTTAAAGTTTAATACTGTATGACCATCATTCACCAAGAGTCAGGTTAAGGAGCTTTAGAAAATGATTACTCGAATGGATGTGCTGACATACATCCATGTTTGTACCCTTTCCTGAGCCCTTTTCACATAATTTTGCTTCTCTTATCTTCACCTTATGAAAGGACCAGTTTAAGATTTCAGAAATGAATTGTTGAGTATCACTTTTAAGTGATGAAAATTATCCATTTGGGATGTGTATCTCTGTTATGAGCAACACAATTTAGAATTGTGATTTTAGCTACCCTCAAAGTGTGTGTACATGTATGCATATGTACATGCACGTGTGTGTGTGTTTATGCGTGAATTTTGCTACAGATTTATCACTAGTCCTTCATATAGAAATCTTCTGCACTAAGTGAAAAAATACCAAAGTCTGTGTGAGAGTAACCTTGAGAATTTGCACTAACTTTCCTTATGCAGAGACCAAATTAGTTCATTATTTCTGCTTAAGGGCCCACACATTTTCATTTTACTTTAATGCATTTCTTAGAATAAATAATGTGAATGTATTCTGACCGAAGTAATTTCTATCAAAAATATCAGAATAACAATGTTAGCAAATGAAATAGTCAGTTTATTCATAGAATTTTAAGTCACTTATTTGCCTCTCTTTTCATCAGTCTCCACCCATAAAAATGAATACTCTGTAATTTCAGTGTCCATTGTGGTCTTTTAAGCACAAGAAACTCTTGTGCTAAATATGATCAGAAGAGAAGGCCACTGGGACTTAAAGAGACCTGGGTTCTAGTCCTAGTTTTGCCTCAAATAATTATAGGCCATGAGAGAAATTGCTTTTTCTGTGAGAGTACCATGTATTTTTCTCATCTGTAGAATATAAACATTTTTCTGAGTAATCTCTTGCTTCTTGTCCAGTTCTGTCAATACACGATTCTATGAAATCTATGAAATCTATGAAATTAGTTCTACGAAATATAGAACTAATAGGAAAAATCTACTATGTCAATGCCACGGATACTTATTTATATATTTTATATATATATAAATAAGTATATTTTTTATATACTTATTTATATATATACTTATTTCATGTCTTGAAATCTGGATAAAAAATGACAAAGACATTTTCCATTAACCTCTTAGGGTGACTATATAAGTGGCCAACACAAATAAAATTCTAGTTCATGTTGTTAGTCTTAATGGTTTCTGTAATTTCCGAGTCTCTAACTCATTTTAAATTATTTTAAAAGTAAGTGTGACGGACATCTAATACTGGAGGCATCTGAGAAACTTTTAGGTAGATGACTTCTAAAATGACTCTGCATTACCCCACCTTCTGATATTCATGTTCCTATACAATCCCTTCTCTTTGCATGTGGGCACAATCTAGTGACTTGTTTCTGATGAACAGAATATGGCAAAAGTGATAAGATATCACTTCCAAGATTAAGTCATAAAAGAAAGTGACTTCCATCTTGGCTTCTGTATTAGTCTGTTTTCACACTGCTGATAAAGACAAACCCAAGACTGGGTAATTTATAAAGAAAAAGAGATTCAATTGCAGTTCCACATGGCTAGGGAGGCCTCACAATCATGGCAGAAGGTGAAAGGCTCATCTTACGTGGTGGCAGCCAATAGAGAATGAGAGCCCAGCAAAAGGGCAAACCCCTTATAAAACCATCAAATCTCATGAGACTTATTCACTACCACGAGAACAGTATGGGGAAAACTGTCCCCATGATTCAATTATTGCCCACCGGGTGCCTCCCACAACAAGTGGGAATTATGGGAGCTACTACTCAAGATGAGATTTGGGTGGAGACACAGCCAAACCATATCAGCTCCCTTGCTCTGTCTTGCTGACCCTTCTCATTTGCTTGCTCTGATGAAGTATGCTGCCATGTCGTGAGCTGCCCTATGGAGAGGCCCATGTAACAAGAAACTTTAGATAACATTTGGCCAATGGCCAGAAAAGAGACAAAGTCCTCAGGTTAATGGCCCATGAGGAAATGAACACTTCCAACAATCATATGAATGGTCATGGAAGCTGGTTCTTCTTCAGTTAAGCTCTGTGATGACAGCAGGCCCAGTCAACACCTTCATTACAACCTGAGAGGACCCCAAAACATCAAGTCCAGTTATGCCACTCTTGAATTACTGAACTACAGACGCGAGAAAATTAATATTGTTGTTTCAAGACACTACATCTTGGGGTAATTTGTTACATGGCAATAGATAAATAATAGGCTTTCCCTTTAGCATGAAGAGTGACTGTCAATATAGGAGTGGGGCTAAAAGTCTACTTTTAGGGGGCACAGAGAAGCAGTAAAGTAAATATAAGTAATAATTGCAAGAGAGAAAGGTGAGTTCCTCTTCTCCTGGGGAGCTTGGATTCTTGATTCATAATAGGAAATCAGAAGTATTGGAATTAGGAAAAGAAAAGTGAAAACATTTTACATAGGTCCCTATCTGTTTCTCAAGTCATCTTGCTTCACATAGACACTGTGTATTCTGTGCCCACTTATGCATTACATTCTAGCCACGCTTGTCTTCTTCCACTTCCTCAAACAGATCATGTCTTTCCTTACACCGGGGTCAACATCCTTGATGCTGTCACTACCTGGGAAGTTCCCTCCACTTTACTTCATAATGCTGGCCTTTTTTCTTCTTCTATTTTTCTGATTAAGTATCACCTTCTATGAGCACTTTTCAAAATAATTCTCTTTATTTTTTTTCACCATCCAACTTATCTTATTTCCTATTTAGATTTATTACAACTTACAATTATAAGTTATTTATCTGAAATTTTTTCCAGCTGCTAGAATTCAAACTCTATTTATATTCTGGCAAGGTACAGGCCAACTGTACAGATACATGTATAGACTAGCTGACCTGCAGAAACTTGAGGGAGATTAGCAAAGAAAAGATGTCCCTAAGGTATTTCAACTAAATCTCAAAGATGCATAGAAAGTAAATACTTAGTACTATGTCCCCTGAAGGTGTGAGTAGGACTGTTACACAGCATACCGGATTCATATAATAGCAAAGACATATTTCAAGAAGGAATCATATACTATGCTTATAATGCAATGCAAAATCATCATATTAGATGGTAAGCAGTCAGTTTCTGGCTCCATGAAATCATACTGTGACATCAGAATTCTATTATTTGGTGTTTTATAATGTTGAAATAAACTAAAGACAAATTTCCTAAGACCTATATTTTTTAAAGTCCCTGCATTTGAACACCAATTAGAAACAAATGATCTTATTCATCTAATTTCTTAAATAATCTGAGATAGCAGGGAATGGTAAAGTCATCATGGTTAACATAAAAAGAAATTACAAAATTAAAATGATAACATGGGAAGGCATTGATTTTTCGACATTAGGACTTCTTCATTTATAAGTAGTTTTGCTTTATTAATTTTCCATTATTTTTTAATTATATGTTTGTGGTAGCTTCCAAGTCATGAGAAAATGAAATACAAACATATGTGCTAGTGTTTTCTGATTTGACATATTTGACATCAGACAGCACAGATCAGCTCAGATGATTTATATATTTGTGTCTATATTTATCCTTATTATTGGGCTGTAAATTGCTTCAGGTCAAGGACTATGTCTCTTTTATTTGAGTATTTCCCAAAGAATGGGACTTGGGGAAATACTAATATTTCCCAAAGAATTGGGACCATTTTTAAGGTCCCCCTCACAGTTGAGAGCTTTCCTTCTGTCACTCAATAAAATTGTTCTCTGCCTTACTCACTCTCTAGTGTCCACACACCTTACTCCTCTAGGTCGTAGGACAAGAACCTAGAACTTGCTGAGCTGTGGACAGCAAGTGTGGAGAGGGCTGTAACACGCTCCCGTTCAGTGAGCTGTGAGCAGCAGGTATGGAGAGAGCTGTCACACACTCCTGTTCACTGAGCTGTGGGCAGCAGGTGCAGAGAGAGCTGTCACATGCTCCTGTTCACTGAGCTGTTGGCAGCAAGTTCAAGGAGAGCTGTAACATGGCCCCATTCGCCTCACTGCGGGCACGAAGAAGTGAAGCCATTGGGCGCCATTCCCTCTTGGCTGGTTTGCCAAACTACAAAGCCAAAACATTCTTGGGTGCTCAGACCTTGAGACTCCCTGTGTGAGAGCTGTAACACCCCTTGGGGCTCCACAGTTGCTGGCATCTCCAGGTTTTCAAGTACCACTGCATTCCCCATGTCTAGACCCCGGCACCCAACACAGAAATGACTTGTGGCATGCTTGGTCCAGCCACAGACTAAGTGCAGAGTCCCTGGTCAGGTATGGGATCTGGGCCAGGGTGCAAGCCAAGCACAGCCTGCTGGGCTGAGCGGGTGGAGTGAGCTTGGCAGGCCTGAGCAAGGTCCCAAATGGAAGTCATGGTGGCTAGAGAGATTTCCAGCAGGTGAAGCGGCACTGAAGGAATCCTGTAGCAATTAGGCTCATCCAGGATCACTGGAAAGGTGAGAGCAGACCTCTTTCACTTTCATTGCAGAGGCTTCTTGTCCTCAGATTTTTTTTTCTGAAAACAGATGAGACACCAGACCTCTGTCAGCCAGTTAAGAGTGAATAGTGCAGCTACCAGTTCTACAAGACTCAGAGGACAGGCTTGCCAGAGAGGACTTTGTCAATCCTCCATCACCCTCAGGTGTTGGAAATGTTGGCTTTGTTCCAATCTGGTTACCCTTCACAGCAGCCTAGCCATCGCCTAGGATTAGAAGGAAGTTCTGGGGCAGTTGAGGGTATCTGGCTGAGGCTGCACTTCGGCGTTACCCAAAGATACCAGGACTGACTCCAGTCCCTGACAGCCCATTATGGTGTCAGCACTAGAACCTCCAGTCTTTCCTTTCACATTTTCTTTCATTCTTTCTTTTGCAGCTGTCATGGCTCCTATCTCTTCTTTATATACATACAATGTTAAAGGTGTTGCTGCAAACCAGAGATAATATAACTGGGTAGAATTAGCACTTGGCTTAGGCATCAGTAATATAATTCAGAACAATGTGGTTTCTGTCTATGTAATAATTGAGAGTATTTTTCCCAGCCACTTAGTTGTAGTTGGGGAGACCTCTTGTTTGCTGACGCCTTGTTAATCATGTCTGAAAGCCCAACTCCTCTGATAGGCAAGGATATCTTAGCTCATATGGGAACCACCATCCTTATGGCTCCAGGACAGATTCTTTTTCTCCCCCTGATGGAAGCCGATATTAATCTGGAAGTTTGGAAAACTCTAGGGAAAAGTGGTCAAGCCACAACTCACACCGGTGTAGTTCTACTTTAAGGATCCTATGTCCTTCCCTAACCAGAGAAAATATCCCCAAAAAAACAGAAGTTAGGAAAGAGCTAGAAGCCATCATTGATAACTTGAGGAGGCAGGGCCTCCTCAAACCCTGCAACAGCCCTTGTAATACCCCAATATTAGGGTTAGAGAAATCCAGTGGAGAATGGAGACTTGTCTAGGACCTCCACCTCATTAATGAGGCTGTGGTTCCAATTTATCTGATGGTTCCCAATCTCTATACCCTGCTAACTCAAATACCTGAGGGAACTAAATGGTTAATAGGGCTGGACCTAAAGGATTCCTTTTTCTACATACACTTACACCTCAACTTCCAATATTTGTTTGCATTTGACGATCCCTCCAACCAGACCACCAAACTAACCTGGATGGTGTTACCCCAGGGATTCTGAGAGAGCCCCCACCTGCTTGGGCAGGCATTGTCAAAAGATATCTCTGAGTTTCTTTATCTTCAGGTTAAAGTTTTAAAATATGTAGATGACATTCTGCTTTGTGCCCCAACTGAGGAAGTCTCTCAGGAAGGCAGTAAGGCTTTCTTAATTTCCTGACTACCAGAAGACATAAAGTCTAAAAATCGAAGGCTCAGCTCTGTCAGACTTCAGTGAAGTACCTAGGTCTAATCTCGTCAGAGGGTACCATGGCACTAGGTGAAGAAAAGATTAAGCCCATCCTCACCTTTTTTCCCTCCCCAAATCCCTCAAGCAGCTGAGGGGATTCTTGGGCATTACAGGATTCTGCAGATTATGAATACCTGGATATGGTAAGATAGCTCGTCCCTTATATCACCTAATAAAGGAAACCCAGGCAGCTAAGACTTACTCCTTAATTTGACAACCAGAGGCTAAAAGGGCCTTTGACCAATTGAAACGAGCCTTGCTTGAGGCACCAGCCTTTAGTCTTCCTATACGGAGGATGTTCAATCTTTATGTATCAGAAAAAAAGGGAATGGCTCTGGGAGTTCTGATCCAGGCCCAAGATTCAGCCCATCAGCCCATAGGCTACCTAAACAAGGAGCTTGATTTGGTAGCTAAAGAATTGACGGCCTGCCTCTGGGCAGTTTCAGCTGTAGCCTTGATGGTATCAGAGGCTACTAATTTTACAATGAGAATAACTTAACCATTTATACCTCACATAATGTGACAGGACTGCTGCCTTCTAAAGGGAGTCTCTGGCTAACAGACAACTGCCTCCTGAAATATCAAGCTTTGCTACTGGAGGGATCTGCAATCCAGTTAAGAACCTGTCCCTTCCTAAACCCAGCCACTTTCCTCCTAGAGGAAGCTGGGGAGTTTGAACTCGACTGCAAACAGATAGTAGTGTAAACCTGAGGTCAGAGAGGACTTCAACACCTCCCACCCTTTAGAGAACCCAGACTGGACTCTCTTTATGGACAGAAGTTCTTTTGTAGAACGAGGGATCCATAAAGCAGCATATGCAGTAGTCACCCTGAATGACACTGTTGACAGTATGCCTCTCTCCTTGGGCACAAGTGCTCAACTAGCTGAGCGAATTGCCTCACAAGGGCACTTCAATTAAGCAAAGGGAAAGCAGTTAACATTTATACTGATTGTAAGTATACCTTCTAGTCCTCCATACCCATGCCACTATTTGGAAAGAGAGAGACTTTCTTACAGCTAAAAGGTCTCCCATTAAAGAATATCAGGAAGTTAATACACTTTTATCCTCAGTTTTCCTTCCATGGGAAGTGGCAATAATATATTATAAAAAGGAAATAGGTTGGTGGATCAAGCAGCTAAATCAGCAGAGAGAAGGCACCAGCTTTCTGATCCACTTGAGGCTCCTCTAACTTGGGAGGGCTCTGTAGGAGAAATACAACCTCAATATTCTCCTGTAGAAATAGAATTGGCCACCTCTCGGGGATACACCTTTCAGCCCTCAGGATGGCTTCAATCAGAGGATGGCAAACTTCATCTACCAGCTTCCAGCCAATGGAAAGTTCTTAAAATCCTTCACCAAGACTTCCACCTAGGGAAGGATAAAATATGTCAATTGGCCATAAGGTTGTTCTCAGGTAAAAATCTGCTAAAGTCTCCAAAAATGGTCAAACAGGTCATTAATGTTCGTGAGACTTCCCTTAAAAATAATCCCCTCAATTGATGGCTTCTCCCCTACAAAACCCAAAGAATGGGAGGCTACCCAGGGGAAGAATGGCAGATGGATTTTACCCACATGTCAAAGATAAGGGGCATCCAGTACCTCCTGGTATGGGCAAATACCTTCATTAACTGGGTAGAAGCACTTTCATCTGAAGCAGAGAAAGCCTCTAAGGTGATAAAAGTACTAATTTATAAGTTGGACTCCCTAAGTACCTCCAGAGTGATAATGGCCCCCCATTTAAGATGACTGTCACCCAGGGGTCTCAAAGGCACTCATACAATGCCATCTTCATTGTGCTTGGAGACGACAATCCTCAGGAAAGGTAGAGAAGATAAATGATATTATCAAAAGACACCTCAGGAAACTCTCTCAAGATATTAGCCAAGTGTGGTGGACACGGCTGTAATCCCGGCTACTCGGGAGGCTGAGACAGGAGAATCACTTGAACTTGGGAGACAGAGGTTGCAGTGAGCCAAGATCGCACCACTGGATTACATCTCCCCGGATACTCTTTCTCCCAAGGCCTACTATGTGTTAAAAACATCCCTTAGAAGCTGGGTTTAAGTACCTTTGAAGTGATGTATGGACAGCCTTTTCTCATCAATTATTTATTGCTAGACCAAGAAACATCTGATTTGATTAAGCATATAACTTTTTCACTCATTTCCAACAGGAACTGAAACAACTGTCAGAGCCCAAGCCCCATGAACTAGGGCCACCTCTATTCAATCTGGAGGACTTAGTACTGGTAAAGGCACGTCCTTCCCTTTCTCCCTCTCTAGGCCTGAATTGGGAGGGACCTTACACTGTACTTCTTTCTACTCTGTCAGCAGTAACGATCACTGCTGACAGATTATTGGATTCATTATATTCTAGTAAAGGCCTGGGAAACTGATAGAATCACCTCTGTTGACCCAGAAGAGCACCTGAAGCACTAATGTGAAGAAATCGGAGACCTCAAGCTAAAAATCACAAAAGATAAGTGTCAATAATTAACCTTCCATGGATATCTTCTTTATAGTCTTGCCTATGCTTGCTGTTCTCACCTTTGTCCTGTTCCTCACTATAGGCATCTTTGCCAAGAACCCCTTAATCCTGAACATCCATGGAATTATCTACTCCCCTGAACAGCTATCTCTCTTCTAAAATGTAACTGCCCTCCGCCATACAAAATTTAATTTCTGGCCATGCATGGTGGCTCACGCCTGTAATCCCAGCACTTTGGGAGGCCGAGGTGGGCAGATCATGAGGTCAGGAGATCGAGACCATCCTGGCTAACATGGTGAAACCTCGTCTCTACTAAAAATACAAAAAATTAGCCAGGCATGGTGGCGGGCACCTGTAGTCCCAGCTACTCAGGAGGCTGAGGCAGGAAAATGGCGTGAACCCGGGAGGCGGAGCTTGCAGTGAGCCGAGATTGCGCCACTGCACTCCATCCTGGGCGACAGTGTGAGACTTCATCTCAAAAAAAAAAAAAAAAAAAAAAAAAAATTTCTTTCACAAGGGTGAAACAGCTCTGGCCACAACATTGTTTTCAGAATGATTAGTTTATTTTACTTCTTATTTCTGTTATCTTTGGCACTAGATTATTTCCTTTTAGCTCCTCTTTGTATAATACCCATATTTGGTCCATGCATACTTAACCACATTGTAAAATTGATTTATTCTTCCCTAGAGACCATCAAACTCCAAATGATCATGCAAATGGAGCCTTGGATAATTGCTCCCTTTTACCAGGGACCCTTAGATAGACCTCTGAGAGAGACGTGACTGCCGTTTTCCCAAAACAATGCCCCCCTGTCAGAATAAAGCAGTTAGAGCAGTCACTATCCCTGTCCTAATGGCAGCTAGATGTACCTCTTCAGAGAAGAGATTGATAGCAACAAGAGACAGACAAATTCCTAGGCAGACAGGGATGGGTCCCCAGTGAAACCTAACCTTCAAGCCAAAGACAGTTTACAGCCTGAAAACTGAGCTGCCAGATCTGGATAGAGCCCATGACCAGAGTGAGAACTTCTATCCCCATCTTACCCTCTCTCTCCGATTGGTTCCTTCTGGATGACGCCTTTTAACCAGTAGAATGGCGCTTTTTCCAAAGCCCACCCATGGACCAATTAGCATGCACTCCCCCATTCTGAGCCCATAAAAACCCTGGACTCAGTCTCACAGATGGCTACCCACTTTTAGCCCCCTTCTCGCAGCTGAGAGCCTTCCTTCTGTTACTCAATAAAATTCTTCTCTGCATTACTAAAGAAGAAGGAGGAGGAGGAGGAGGAGACTTAACTCACAAGCAGGGCACAATAACTATTTGGCAGACTGTCTTAATCTGTTTTCTGTTGCTTATAACAGAATACCTGGAACTGTATAATTAATTAAAAAGGGAGTTTATTTCTTACAGTTATGGAGGATGAGAAGTCCCAGGTCAAGGGGCTGCATCTTGTGAGAGCCTTCTTGCTGTTGGTGACTCTCTAAAGGGTCCTGAGGCAGTGCAGGATATCTCATGGTGAGGGGGTTGAGCATAGTAAGTGCCTAGCTTTCTTTTTCTTTTCTTATCAAGCCACCTGTCCCACACCTATGACAACCCATTAACACATTAATTCATGAATGAATTAATTCATTCATGAGGACTCTGACCCAATCACCTCTTGAAGGTTCTACTTCTCAATACTGACACACATTGGAGACTAAACTTCAATGTGAGTTTTGGAGGGGGAAAATATTCAAACTATAACACAAACTAAGGTAAATTAGATTAAAGATATATTGAAACAAACAGCTGTATTTAGAAGAGCATAAAATCACGATTTAAGAGAATATGGTTTAGATACAACAAGAACCTCTATATTCAAAATGTGGTCATTTTTATGTCTCCTGAGATAACAGAATAAAAAGTATTTCATTATCTGAGAACAACAATTTGTTGATGAAAAGTTAATTGAAAACCTATTTTATACTAAATTCCATATCGATATTTTACCAAAGAGAAATGCGTCAAATTATCCCAATTTTAAGATTAAAGAATTTACAAAAAAATTAATAGCAAGCAAGCATGGAAAAATTACTTCACTTACCTCTACCATAGTATTTCAATGAAAGTATCTGGGGCATTCTAACATACTGTGACCATTAGATGGGTTAGAATTTTCTCTTATTTTTCTCCTTAGCTCTAAAGCTCATCCTAATGCCAGGCACATTTTCAGGAGATTACTAAAGATTTGGTAGATGGATAGATGCATTGATGAATGAATCAACTACTCTTTGGCAGTGGTAAAAGTGAGACTATCTTTAATTTTTATAATATATATCACATGAAAAAAATGGTTAAAAAATGTATTAGAGAAACTGGTAGCTTCCCTAAGTCAAAGAGCCAAAAAATCTTCCAGGGTCTTTCAAATGTATTTCTCATTGCACTCATTGTTCTCTATTTTCAAATTCCTAATTATTTTGTCCATAGATACTTCTTTATGACTATTTACTTATCTTCATATATCTCAACAATAAATCTACATTGTGTCAACAATGAGAAAAGCACAATGTTAAGCATTGAGGATACAATGAGACTACAATAGACATAGTTAGTGTCCCAGTGGACGTTACAGACAAGTAACTCCACCTGAAACAGAAAAATACAGAGTGCTGCAACACTTCTGCAAGTTTTCAGAGGATGTATCTTAAAAATTGAGTTATTTTTAAGGTGGGGCCTTTGGGAGGTGATTAGGTCATGAGGGCAAAACTGAACAACCTAATCTATCTTCAACTGCATGGGGAGATATTTGGATGAAGGTAACCTAGCGTGAGATGTGGAATCTGTTTACTAATTGTGCTGGGATTCCATCCTGTATCTCTTCCCCATAGGATGGCAGTGACTCAGCCAGGTACATTAAACAGAGTGACTTTGTTATTTTAGATGAGCTACAAGACTTAAATGTTGGATTATTCAGAGTTAGCATGGGTTTCTACCACAACTGAAATATTGTAACCTTTTAAAATCAGTGGTTCTGTCCATTACAGTCTGTAAGAATTACTTGAACTGTTTGTTCAAAATGAAAATTCCTGGGTTTCTGATTCAATATTTCTACTAAGAATGATTCTAACACAAATAGTTTATGGGCTTACATTGAAAAACATTGATTTTATTATATATTTAAAAACTAAATCTTAATATGACATACACAGCTCTTCACAGTATTACCTCAATTTGTCTTCTTAGCATTGTTACCCACAAACTGCTTCTATAAATCAAGACTTTTGTAACACAAAACTTTCTCAAATTACATGATTTTTCTTGTCTCAAGCCTGTATTGAGTTGCTGAAACTAGTCAACTTAGCCAGGATTTCAAATCAGCTTACTAATATCATAACTTGATACTTTGCTAGTTGATTTGATTAGCACAAATCTCTGAAACAAAACAAAAGGGTACTCAGTATTAATAAATGCCAGTTATCTGCCAGATTCATTTTTTTTGCATTTGCATGCATGCCTACTCATTAAATTTTTATAACACTAAAAATATATTATTTTTCTCATTATACAAATGAAAAACTTGATGTTTAATAAGTAAGGAATTTTCTCATGGTTAAACAATTAGTAAAGGTAGAATTAGTAATAGAACACAGGTCAGTTGCATTTCAAAGTCCATTTTCATTCCATTAAGCCAGATTGCTTTGGTTATTTTTATAGCAAAACAAATATTCAGAAATAATTTTAAATTAGTTTGAAACTGATCTTAAAGCTTGCATACACTCACTATTGCCAAAGCATTTCCATCTTTATGTAAAAAAGATGTAATAATGCATATAAATGATCTTGCACTCAATAAGAGCTAGTTCCTCTCCCACTTTTCCTCTAGCATCTGTGATATAGTTGATGATGGATGTTTGGAAGGTCGGATGACAGATGGGGCAACATGTCTAGTTTCAAATAAGAAATTTAAAATTAGAGATTAAACTCAAGTATCTCAAGAGGGGAGACTGGAAATCTTGGAGTCTGGGTGATGCTCTGATTCTCATCAAGATTTAATTTGTATGAGAAAATCCTTCCATTTTAATTAGCACCTCTTTGGGATAGAAATACCAGTACACCATTCATTCATCTAAATGAAGAGTGGAAGATGCTTTCTATGATAATAATGAGACGATTTCTTGGCCATCAATGTGGCCTCCAAGAGCCATCTGTTCCCAGAGTCAGTGAGCAGTAAGGATTTATGAATGACTTCCAACAAACTCTGTGTGTGTGTGGCAGGAAAGGGCAAATCCAGCTGCTGTTTATTTTCACCAAGCATCTTGATATGTTCTTGAAACATTGCAAATTTGATGAAGCCCAAATACAGTTCGTCAAATACTTTTCTTTTCTAATTGGGAAAATGATTTGAATGTTAAGAGAAATTGCAAAATATGGTTCTGATTCATTCATATTTGCATCAAGTCACCAATGTTGTAGATCTCATCAATGCTCCACATCCCCAGGGTCTGCCAAAACAAAGGAGAACAGGCACAAACTCTCACACACTGACACAAATTCACAGACACATCTTTCCTTCTAATCTGGTGAAAATTAAACAGGGGTTTCAACTTTTCGGCTATTGTGGATAGAGCTGATACGAACATTTCTGTATAGATCTTTATGTGGACATATGCTTTCATTTTTCTTGGGACTATCTCAATGGAAGAGGACTCAAAGATGAAAACCCAGGTTACTCAAAGTTCAGTTAAATATTTCCCAATTTAGCAAGTGTCTAGGCATCGCCAAGGGACTTAAAATACCTTGGAGAATCGTTCCCTTGCCTATGACTTTGAGCTAGTCATCCATGAACGTCGGTCTTATGGCTCATTTGGCTTTTTCTAAAGTAACAGATGCTACAGAAGGAAGAGGCTCTGTGAGGGTGAACAACACAAACACAGTCCCTGTGAAATTAAATTAAAAATTAAGCGGCTGGGCGTGGTGGCTCACGCCTGTAATCCCAGCACTTTGGGAGGCCAAGGCGGGCAGATCACGAGGTCAGGAGATCGAGACCATCTTGGCTAACACGGTGAAACCCTGTCTCTATTAAAAATACAAAAAAATTAGCCGGGCGTGGTGGCGGCGCCTGTAATCCCAGCTACTCAGTGAGCCGAGATTACGCCACTGCACTCTAGCCTGGGCGACAGAGTGAGACTCCGTCTCAAAATAAATAAATAAAATAAAAGTAAGCAAAATATGTATGTTTATCTGTATGTATATGTGTGTGTGTGTGTGTGTGTGTGTGTGTCTAACTTCAAAATATGATAAATGCACTGAGGGATTTATACTGAATTCTATAATTCTACTTTTGTCTGAGTAACTAGGAAAGAAGTCTCTGAAGTGGAAAAAATTATTCTGAAGTCTGAAAAATAAGAAAGAGCCAGCAATGTGAAAAGTAGCTGTATAAGCATCAAAAAGAACATAGCATATATGAAAGTCCTGCTCTCAGGACTTAGAGGTTGGAGTACAGTAAATAAAGTGGAAAATGGATGAGATGAGGCTGAGTAAGGGCAAGGTTTCTTTCTTTCATTTTCTATCTTTAAAAAATATATATATACATATATATGTATATATACATACACACACACATAGAGCTGGGTGCAGTGGCTCTTGCCTCAGGCCAAGACGGGCAGATTGCTTGAGCCCAGGAGTTTGAGACCAGCCTGGGCAAGATGGTGAAACATTGTCTCCACTAAAGATACTAAAATTAGCCAGGGGGGGTGGTGTACACCTGTAGTCCCAGCTACTTGGGAGGCTGAGTTGAGAGGATCACCCGAGTCCAGGAGGTCGAGGCCACAGTGAGCCCTGATTATGCCACTTCACTCCAGCCTGGGAAAAAGAGCCAGACCTTGTCTAAAAAAAAAAATAAATAAAATATAAATGCAAATAAATAAACATATTGAACAATAATTTATATATAGTAAAAATACAAAGATCTCAAGCATGCAGTTAAGTTTTGACAAATGTATATACCCATGTAATCAAACCTCAAATTAGGATTAAAGGTATAGAACATTTCTGTAATCCCAGAAAATTCCATCACATTCAATTCTTGTCAATTAACACATATTTTGCTACTGCTACTCGCATCAAGAGGCAACCACTCTTCTGGTTTCTATTGCCATAAATAAGCATGGATTAATTTTTTCCTTTTTAAATATACAGGAATCAAATAATATGCATGCCTTTGTGTTTGGTTTCTTATTCTTAAAGTGATGTTTTTGGGATTCATTCATATATTGTATTTATTTTTATTGATGAGTAGTATTTCATTAAATAAAAATACAATTTTTTTCTACCAACTTATTAAAGAGAATTTGGACTATTTCTAGTTTTCAGCTGAGGCTGCTGCTCCTGACAAAATTGTCAACATCTGGCATTTTTTGCCTTTGCATGTTTTTCTTCTATCTTGACTTTTTAGATTTTCCAGTTCTCACAAAATGTGTTTGTTTTTATTCACTGTTTTTATTGTTCACTGAAGGGATTACAAAATGCACCCTTCAGCTATCACAGTAAAATGTGAGTTATACTATACTATTTCATGTACTAAGTAAGAAACTTAAGTCAGTAATCATCTGTTTACCTTCTCTCATTCTTTATGCTGTCATTACTCACATATATATGTATATATGTAATAGTCATATGTAGAAAATATTATATATTTTTTCCTACTACAAATTAAATTTCAAAATACGTTACATTTATTTTTAGATTAAACAATTATCTTTAAAACAAAATAAGAAAAGAAAAAAGAAATAATCTTCTGTATTAAAGTACATTTAAAAATGTCCAGCATTCTTTTCTACAGAAATTGAGTTTATATGTGGTATAAATTCCAAGTATAAAACACTTGTAGCATTTCTTGTTGTAAAGATCTATGAATGGCTTATCTATTTCTGGAATGTATTTCATTAAGAGTTATTTGAATCTGCTCTTCTTAGATACTTTTGTAGAACAGGTATGGCTTTTAGTTTAGGGTGTTTTTTTTTCCCCCTTGATGAGATCAAGGGAGTGACAGTCTTTTGTAGTTTTCCACAAAGTAATTGAAAGGTGAAGTCTTTCCAAGAGTAAGATTTTTAAGATTTTATATATACTTAACTATGCCATTGGCTATAGTGCAGAAAAGAAAAAATTATGATATAAATAAGTTTTCCAAGTAAATTAAAAAAAATTTTATAAATGGGATAGAAAAAAGGGATGAATAAAAAATAAAGGAAAGGATAGTAATACATAGCCTGAAGGGTTCTACGAGACATGAGAATGAGTGTGGTGTGTTGCACAGGAAGGGCATCTTTTTGATGTGAGTTAAATATGAATTGGCCTTTAATATTTGATGATGGAGAAGACTCTACTTATGAAGCTCAATTATGTTAAAAATTAGCTATTACCAAATAATTAAAAGACACATGCAATTAAACTTTTAGGTACCTAAAATTAAACTTTTAGGTAGATGGGATGAGAAAATGTGTCTAGTTTATTAATGCAGTTTAACAGGGGTAATTATATTCTTATCTGTATCCAAAAGGTGTTGGGATTTGGAGAGATGGCTTCATGAGCTATTTTAGGAAATGGGGCTAGGTTTGTTTAAAAGATCAGAAGCCAGTGTTCAGTTCTAAACTATGTATAGCAACACATACATAGAAAATTAGGCATACCACTTAAAATATGTTTGATGTATAATAGTTGCCCAGCAGATGTTAGATTATTTCACTTCTCTTAACCATTCCTACCCTGCACATGTATGTGAGTGCCTGTGAGTGTGCATTCATTCATACACATACCTACATACACACTCCTCTTTTGACATTTCCCCCAAGTGTTTGCACAAATAAGGTGATAAATGCCAGTATGATAATCATGGATTCAAAAGGGAAGAATCCTCTTCCTTTAGAGAAAGATAAACTAGGGAGATTTCCACAGGGTATTAAAGGAATGATGAGGCCACAAAAAAGGAGTAGTCATACCCTGTACCCATATGCATGCAAAGTTCTATTATCTGGGGATATTATGAATGTTTAAAGTTTGATGCATTCATAGAATTCACGGTGTGTTTTTTGTTTGTTTGTTTTGTCTTGTTTTGTTTTGTTTTTCTCGAGACAGTCTTGCTCTGTTGCCCAGGCTGGAGTGCAATGGTGTGGTCTTGGCTCACTGCAACCTCTGCCTCCAGGGTTCAGGCGATTCTCCTGCCTCTGCCTCCCGAGTAACTGGGATTATGGGTGTGCACCACCATACCTGGCTAATTTTTTGTATTTTTTTTTAGTAGAGACAAGTTTCATCATGTTGGCCAGGCTGGTCTCAAACTCCTGATCTCATGATCTGCCCACCTTGGCCTCCCAAAGTGCTGGGATTACAGGCGTGAGCGACCACGCCCAGCCCACAGTGTGTCTTTACCCCAAGAATCCTTTCTATTGGAGAACTACTACAACCACATTTCATGATGTGTGAGGAACTGTCAGTTGTCCCAGTAAGCTGTTGTGCATATGACTAATATAAGGTTAAAATTTTCTTGTTTCCTGATATGTGACATAAGTACATGGAATTAAGTGTTCCAAGTTCTCTATTATTGCTGGATCATCATTTCTAAAATTTAGTCTTAACACCATAGGAAGCTGTTCTTCCTAACAGTTTCATCACATACAGCCAAAAAATAAGGCCAATACTGAAAAGAAAGTAAAGCCATTAGATAAAGGTAAAGCCCTGGTTACATTGTTTAAGATCCTGGATGCAGCTATTCCTGGAACTAGACACTCCTCTATTTCCCAGGTACCTGAAACAATATATTCCCTTTTAGCAAAGTATGTTCATAATGAGTTTCTGTCACTTGTAATTACAGATTCTGGCTTATACACTTACCATTTCTTTCTTCATTTTACTGAGTGTGTATGAGTAATGCTATTCACCTTTCTTTCCACTCTGTTGCATCTTAAGAGCTCAGAAGCCCCTGTAAACACTTGAAAGAAGATCAGGAATTATACCAGATAGCTTAGTCTAACAGTCCAGTACTACTTTACCATGGTTGCACCTAATTTGAGAAATTTATGGACCTTGATCTCAAAGACTATTTTGGCATTTTTTTTTTTTTTTGCTTTATTTTATCTTTCTCGCTTAATGTGTGAGGACAAGGGATAGTGGTTCTTGATTTGTTTGATTGAATTGTATCCTCTAGAATTGTTTCAATAAAAAAAACCAGGGATCTTTTTTGAGTATTGGAAACATTCTAAAATTGCTTTAGCATGATGGTTGTACAACTCTCTAAATATTTTTAAAAATAATTGTGTATGTAAGTGTTATAGTATGTAAATTATACCTCAATTGTTCTGCTTTTTGAAAAGATAAGTGAGAGGAGGCAAAAGGAAGAGATGTACATGAGGGATGGTTTGGAGGAGGAGGGAGTTGCTACACAGGGATTCAGTAGCCAAGGGAAAAACTCAGGGCAGATGAGATCAAATTCACATTATTTTTAGGAGAATGCAGCATTATTCCTCTAAATATCTTGGAATGTAATAGAAGCATTTCATCACAGAATTTTCTGATATTTTTCTTTCTTCTATACACTCAGCAAATGACATCAATTTTGGCCACACAAAATGAAATGATGTATAAATCTCTTTTCTAATTTACAAAAGTCTACCCAATGATTCTACATTATTTTTAAGTTCTATCTTGTATTGAAATAATTTAATTTGCGTATTTAATGAAGTTGCTATGATAATATGAATAATTTAAATTTTTCCTCTTGTTAATCCTTCAATTATTCACTTTTTAAATTTTGACTTTAAAATCTAAGTCTAAAATCTAAGTCTAAAAAGACTCAGGAGGTAGATGTGCAAGTTTGTTACATGGATTTATTGTGTAACACTGAGGTTTGGGATATGAATGATCCCATCACCCACGTAATTACCATAGTGCCCAGTAGGTTGTTTTCCAGCTCCCCTGGCCTCTCTGTCTATCCTCCCTCTAGTAGTCCCCAGTATCTATCATTCCTATCTTTATGTCCTTGTGCTCCCACTTATAAGAGAAAACATGTAGTATTTGATTTTCTGTTCCTGCATTAATTTGCTTAGGATAATGGCCTCCATCTGATCTGCATTCCTGTTGCTGCAGAGGACATGATTTTATTAATTTCACGGCTGTGTAGTATTTCATGGTGTATATAAACCACACTTTCTTTATCCAAACCACTGTTGATAGGCACCTAGGTTGACTCTATGTCTTTGCTCTTGAAAATAGTGCTGCCTTACTCATTCTTTTATTTTACTTTATGTTTATCTCAGATTTCTGCTTCCGGGAAAATGGGGTAGGTATCCTTATTCTCCCTGTTGTGTATAACTAAAAATCTTAGACATTATATGTAAACAAACATAAGAAGACACTAAGGGGCCAGGCGCGGTGGCTCATGCCTGTAATCCCAGCACTTTGGGAGGCTGAGGCAGGCGGATCACGAGGTCAGGAGATCAAGACCATCCTGGCTAACACAGTGAAATCCCGTCTCTACTAAAAAATACAAAAAATTAGCCAGGTGTGGTGGTGGGCGCCTGTAGTCCCAGCTAACTGGGAGGCTGAGGCAGGAGAATGGCATGAACCTGGGAGGTGGAGCTTGCAGTGAGCCGAGATCCTGCCACTGCGCTCCAGCCTGGGCGACAGGGGGAGACTCCGTCAAAAAAAAAAAAAAAAAAAAGGAGGCACTAAGGTGTTGAAAAGAAAGCAGACTGTTGAGGAAACTCAGAAGCAAAGAAATAACATAGTAATAAATTGTCTGGATTTTTGATTTGCCTCTTATATCCCCAAAAGCCAGCAAAATGGGAATCCAATGAGATGTGAGAAAAACAATCCCCAATTTTTCCAAAGTAACAGCTCTACTACACCAAATACCCCAGAAAAAAAATTGATGCCACTCTTACCCATTTAAAAAGAAAAAAACTGAGTGTGGATCTTAGACTTCCACCCTTGCCAGGCTATAATGAGATTTTCATTCAAGGTAGGCATTCATGAGCACCAACCCTACGTGGTGTCAGTGGAGACCAAGTAGAGAGTTTGTACTTCCAGTAAACTTGACAGTCATTTGGTGCCCTTGCTCTCCCTACTGGGACGGTGGTAGAAGAAACCTTATGGAAAATCAGGATTTTCAATCACTGCCCAGAGATAATGAGGCCACACCTCGCCCTGTGGCATCGATAGAGACTAATTGAAGCACGAATGAGGATACCCTATGCCTTACAAGCCAAGTGTGTGTCTGTGAAGTCCTATATCACCTATGATCAGCATTACTGAGAAACCCTCTCATTGGTGTCAACAGATGCTTTATAGGAAACCTGGACTTCTATTTATACCTGGAAGTAACAAGGAAGCACTCACTTCTTTCTCTGATGGTACCATCAGAGTGATATTGGAGAAAGCCAGCTAAAATGGAAAATTTAAATACAATCCAGAGTCTAATAACACAATAACTCAGCAATGAGTGATTCAATAGAAAATCACTCATCATTCCAAAAACCAGAAAGATCTCAAACTGAATGAAAAACAATCTCTAGAGGCTAACACCAAGATGAACAAAATATTAGAATTATCTGGAAAACATATTAGAACAGCCATCACAAAAATCCTTCAATTAGTAGTTACAAACACACTGAAAAAATTTAAAAAGAAGTCTCAGCAAAGAAATGGAATACCTCAACCCAAAAAAAGAACAAGAAAAAGTAAATAAAAAATAGAACTTGATGGAAATTCTAAAACTGAAAAAAAAATGAAATAAAAAAATGAATGAGATTAGCAGCAGAATAGAGGACATAGAAAAAAATTGTTGAACTAGAAAGAAAACAATCAAAATTACACTATCTGAACTACAAAGAGAACATAAATTAAAGCAAAGGAACAGAAGCTCAGGGACCTGAGGAAACGTAAAAGATGACATCCATGTTATCAGCATTCCAGAAATTGAAGAAAAAATGAGTAGGGCTAAGAAATATTAAAAGGAATAATGCCTAAAAACTTTCCAAATTGTTCAAAAGAAACAAACCCATGGATTCAAGTGGCTAAGTAAACCCCAAATAGGATAAACCTTAAAAAATCCACACCAAGAACATCATAGTCAATCGTCTGAAAACTAAAGACAAAGTAAAAAACTAAAGACAAAGTAAAAAACTAAAGACAAAGTAAAAAGACACAATAATTTACCTTAGGGGACACTTTGAATAACAGTAGATTTATTATCAGAAACCATGGAGACCAGAAGAAAGTGGCACGACATGCTTTAAAGGCTAAAAGACCTACTAACTCAGCAAAATTATCCTCCTCTTGAGTTTTCTAAATTATATTTGATGCTTGAAGCAATAATTATAATACTATTTGATATGGTTCTAAATGTATGTAGAGGAAATATTTAATACAATTATATCACAATCCTTAGAGAGTAAAAAAGTGTAAATAGAGGTAGGATTTATACATTTCACTAGTAATGGCAAAATGATAACACCCATAGACTTGATAATATTATATAAATATGTATGAGTATATATATATATATGTATGCATATGTGTATGTACGCATATATGTGTATACATAATAACTTCATCAACTACTTAAAAAGCTATACAAAGAAATATACTCATAAATAGTATAAATATATATATATATATTTTTAAAATCTTCCAATAATACACAGAAAGGCAGGAAAAAAAATGGCAAGACAAATAAAAAACTAAAGAACAAACAGAAACAAAAAAAACCAAGGTGGACTTAAGCCCTAAAATAATGAATTTGAAATTAAATGCAAATAGTTTAAATATACTAAGGAAGGAGAATTTCAGGGCTTCAGTGGGAGTGAAACTGGCACTGTAACCCATCAGAAGGGAACAACAAGGAAATGCTTTTATTTTTAGAGATAGAGTCTGGCTGTGTCACCCAGGCTGGAGTGCAGTGATGCAATCTAGGCTCACTGCAACCTCCTCCTCACAGGTTCAAGGGATTTTCCTGTCTCAGCCTTCTGAGTAGCTGGGATTACAGGCATACACCAACACACCTGGCTAATTTTTTTTATTTCTTGTAGAGATGGGGTTTCTCCATGTTGGCCAGGTTGGTCACAAACTCTTCACTTTAAGTGATCCACCTGCCTCGACCTCCCAAAGTGCTGGGATTACAGGCATGAGCCACTGCTCCCAGCAAGGAAAGGCATAGACTACTTTCTGTTCTGCCTTCTTAGTGGTCAGTGAGCACTTAGTCTTGTGTGGTAAAGGTCTGAACCCATAGCTCTTTCCAGAATTGTTGGATTTACTGAAAGTGTTACAGATTAGCATTCACATTACAAAGAATCGTCCAAGATTATACATTTCCAAGATTAAGCATCTTTCCAGTGCAGGGCCAGCATACAACCTAAGAACAGTTGCCCCTTTTTAACCCTTTCACCCAGGAGATTTTTTTCCAGTTCAGGAGAGAAACTGGTACAGAGAATTCAAGGAAATTGGGTAACAGTTAAGCCATGTATCAGGAATTACACAAGCATAGTAGCTACGATGTGAACTCTGCCAGGGAATGTAAGGAGAGGTCTGACTTGACTTCTGTTTTGAAAAAGTTTAGGCATATTTCAAGCAACCATGAGGAGGAGCCAGTGTGGAACATACACAAAGGCTCCTATCATTGAATAATAAATAAAAACCACCAGTGACACTAATATAATTAGCTTCATGTTTCAGGAACACTTCTTGCATACAGATACACAAGTGAATATATTTTTAAATTTGGAGGAAAAATATCTTTAGTAGCTACAAATTTGAATATAAGTGAAAATTTAAACTAACTGCCAATTTGACTTTATTCTATATTATTATATCTTAATTTGTGTCCTCATCACATGCTTCTGTGTGAAGAGACCACCAAACAGGCTTTGTGTGAGCCATAAAGCTTTTTAATCACCCATGTGCAGGTGGGCTGAGTCCGCAAAAGGAGTCAGCAAAGGGAGTTTAGGGGTGGGGCAGTTTTATAGGATTTGGGTGGGTAGTGGAAAATTACAGTCAAAGGGGGTTGTTGTCTTGCGGCCAGGGGCAGGGGTCACAAGGTGCTCAGTGGAGGAGCTTCTGATCCAGGAGAAGGAATTTCACAAGATAATGTCATCAGTTAAGGCAGGAACCAGCCATTTTCACATCTTTTGTGATTCTTCTGTTGCTTCAGGCCACCTGGATATATATGTGCAGGCTTGGCCTCAGAGGCCTGCCAGTCCTCATAGATAACCTTTCTTCTAATAAGTATATGATTTAGAAGCTGACAGTTTTATATATCTTTTTCTAATGTTTTATCGATATTTTTCTGAAAAATTGAATTATTTTATGTTTATATTATAATTTAATGAAGAGAGTAATCTAGTTCCTTGCTATTTAAAGTGTGGTTTGTGGATTAGCACTATCTACCTCACTTAGGCACTTGATGGAAAAGCAGAAACTCGGGTTCTTCTGACCCCAGACCTAATAACCCAGAATCTGTTTTAACAAGATTCCTGTGTCATCCTATGCATGCTAAAGTTTGAGAAACACTTTTCTAGTTGATTAAAGTAGAATGACAATTGAGTTCATTCAACTCAGGGTTTTTGCTACTTTATCTTTGATAGAATGTATTTGTCCCTTTTCACAGGAAAATAGTAATTCAAAAATTAATGCCTAAACATTTATATGTAATGAAAAGTGAAAATTTACTCTAAGTACTTATATCAATTGGGATTAAATTTCTTTTTAATTTATTACCTGGCATTTAAATTCAGGTTTTCAGATGTCTAGGATACATCGGTTTCTCATTTAATAAAAATAAATACTCATTATATATTTCTGAATTTGTATTTTGGCAGGTACTTTCTTCATTATTTACTTTTCTTCTTCCTATGTGACTAAATTTTATTCCTGTTTTGTGCCTGTGTTGAGTCTGGCTTCTTCCATCTCAAAAACATCAGTACATATATACCACATGAAATTAAACCCACTGAAGAGCTCACCATTTTATCAAAATAAATGAACCCACTGGTTTTGTATGTAAATGCAAAAAGTTGTAAACCAATATAACAATCTTAAGCCCTGCAACTGACTGAATGGACCCCTCGTGGCCAGGGGGACCCCAAAAAACCTTAAAAACTGAATTCCTGGCCACTGGCCAGGATAAGAAAGGAGGTCAAACACACTCCCTTATATCCCCACCCTTTTGGAGTTTAGGCACAACTGACCAGCATTTTGGTTAAAATAGAGATAATAAAACTGACCAAACAAACTCCTTGTGTCAATAAAATACAAAATTATAAATATAA
Source organism: Homo sapiens (assembly GCF_000001405.40). Classification (NCBI taxonomy): domain Eukaryota; kingdom Metazoa; phylum Chordata; class Mammalia; order Primates; family Hominidae; genus Homo; species Homo sapiens. Next base: position 62,664,025 of record NC_000016.10, read on the forward strand.
ATAATTACCAAGACCTAAAGCTGTGCAAGGAAAGAATTTAGTCACACCCTACAAACCATAAAATATTGTTAAATGGACCTTTTCAATTAACCCAGTAAAATATGACTTACTTTTCAAGCTGACTCTGGTAAAGCATCATATGGAAGATAGCAGATCATGAAGGAAATCAAAATACTTTACCCCAAAATATGTTTATTTATCATAGTTTGAAATGGCCCTGCAAAGCCATCTTTTGTGGGGGAAATTTATGTCTATACAGAATCATCATTAATGCATCCAGGCATTCCCTTTTTAGGCCTTTCTGGGATCAAGAATAGATTAACTGATAGTCTTGACACCTTTAGCTCTGAAAGGAGACCTATTCTCTCTGAGGGCTGAGACCTTTGAGGCTTTATCTACATAACAAGAGCCTTGGTCCTCACAACCCTTTTATTTTTTATTTTTTTACTTTTTATTTTTTTTTTTCTGAGACAAAGTCTTGCTCTGTTGGCCAGTCTGGAGTTCAGTGACATGATGATGGCTGACTGCAGCCTCAACCTCCTAGGCTTAAGATATACTCCCTTGTCAGCCTCCTGAGTAGCTGGGACTACAAGCACATGTCACCATGCCCAGCTAATTTTTTTTTTTTGTATTTTTTGTAGAGATGGGGGTCTCATCATGTTGCCCAGGCTGGCCTCTAATTCCTGGGCAGAAGTGATCTGCACACCTTGGCCTCTGAAAGTGCCAGGATTATAGATGTGAACCATTGCACCTGGCCAACCTAATTTTGTTTACTCAAGCATTCCTTTGTACTGACTTCAGGTCTTTAGACAATAGTTTAACTCTCTCAGTCAACTGTTGACTAAGAAATCCCTAAAACCCACCTATGACTTGTAAGCCCCCACTGAAACGTCCGGCCTTTTCAGGCCCAACGAATGTTTACCTTACATGTATTAGTTTATGTCTTTGACAGGAACTCCTATCTCCCTTAAATGTGTGAAACCAAACTGTAACTCGGCTGCCTTGGAACTACTTACTCAAGACTTCTTGGTTTTGTATTTTTCTCTGGGCCACAATCACTCATATTGGCTTAGAGTAAACCTTTTAAAAATATTTTATAGAGTTTGGTTTTCCATTAACAAAATTATGAAAAACGAAGGCCTTTATTGTTTCATAACAAAAATGACTGCTGCAAATTGCCAACAGTCATTTCTGTTATTTCCTTCGGTTTCCTCTATAATTTACGTGCAAATGAACTATCCCTTAATGCATGTTGACCTCAGTATCTTTTAGTAGATTCTTGTCCATTGTGTCAGGGCTTTGACAAAATGAAGGATGTATTTTTTTGGTCCAGTAGGACATCTTCCTTCTGGCCTTTCTTTTTCCAGGAAGACTCCATTCTACTGAGAGGACCCAGCTGTAGCCTTGATTGAGGCATTCATTTTACAGCTGGGGTAAGCTTTCTCTGAAATGCAGCTGGAATAGGCATTTCAAAGGCCCACAGTGTTATGCAAATGCTTCTATTCTCCATGTGGGCGGCAGAAACCCAGCCAAGTGCCCAGACACACAGGCTGTCAGAATGGAAGAGGAAATGCATTGCTCAAGACTATCATCATTTTTCTGTTCATCTTTTATCTGAAAAAAAAAAAAAAAATCAGTAAAAGCACATAGAACAACCTAATCACTGGATGTTATGGCTAAATTGTCTACTTGAAGGGATTATTCATGTTTCTTTGACTCAAACCATGATTACGTTGAAAGATACACAAGGAATTGCCTAGGGGAGATGGCGATAGAACAAGATAGAACGAACTCAGTGGCTAGTTTGCCCAGTGAAGCTGTAACTGTTTTGAAGAATGGAAACTTCAGTTATCATGACCTGTTCTCTTTAAATGTCACAATTATATAATTGCTTTTCACATACACATTTAGTAAAGACCAAACAATGCTAATAATTTTCCTTCTCATATATTTTTCCTGTGGAGAAAGACTTAGATGACTATCAGATATACCACATAATAAGAGAGTATCTTGTGCTTCATTATAAGGGATAAGTGTGGTGCTCAACACGTATTACTTGAACAAACATTGAATATATACATCCGCATTTCAGTTCAAGCAGGTTAATCTCTGGTGACATTTGTTGGGGTTAAAGGACCTCACCGGATCCCTTCAACTGTAGCTATGAGATTGAAGGCCATTCCTTTGATCTCCAAAATCAGCCTGTCTATCATGGACCCTTGGAAGCTTGTCTTCCATGGTGATATACTAGCCTTTACCTCATCTTTCATCATTTGGAAGTAGGCTCAGTAGGTGAAAGAAAGAAGCGTAAGTCCATTTTAAAATATCGTAAAACAATCTACAAAAGTCCGATTTCACACTAAGCCTAGTATATTGTAAACCTTACCTTTCTTATCCAAGAGGATTTGAATAAATTAAGCATACATGAATTATGTTTCACTATTAGGAAAACAAAGTTATTATCAATTGTTATCCTCAAATGCCACTGACCAGTATATTTGTTACTTCTATATGCAAGATGTATGTATCTTGTCTTATCTGTCATAATTTGAGTTAGTTTAGAAGAATTTTCTGTCTTATCTCCCTAATCAGCATAGCGATGGCAGGACTTTATTGCTTCTCAAATCGCAGTTCTAAACTTTTGATCGCATTTTATTTTGCTTGCTGATTGTTCCCATGGTGATTTTCTGAATAAAAGAATAATGTCCTTGATCAGAGAAGCCTGGTTTTCATTTTAGAAGGTTAGGTTAATAGTGTTGTATGCTACCTTTGAAGCCATTTCATTTCATAGACACAGCTTGACTTTCAGCCACAAGACTTGACAATGAAAAGAGTTTTTTGGTTATATTTGATTATTTCTACCTGGATAGTCTGTCTGTTTTCTTCCTATTTGGGGAGTCTGACATCACAGTTTTGAATAGTTGGACAGTTTTCTGTTGTCTACTCCCACTTGTTTTAATGATAGACCCAAATAGGGCCAGAACATCTTTTAACTTGTCTATATCATTTAAATAAGCAGAAAAATACAGAGGATAATGTCAGGGCTTGGAGTCAGAAGGTCTTTAAAGCCCTGGGATTGGCAGGGTCATTGATGGCATCTCCTCCAAAAGCTCATTGTGTGGGCTATGTCTTCAGCATCATTTCCATCAATAAGTCATCTACATCTTTGATTTTTTAAAGTCATATTGAGAAATTTTTAAATAATATACAAAAAGTCAAAACAAAAAATAAAAGGAAGAACAGAAAGGAGGGAGGGAAGAAATGAGGAAAGGACAGAAGAAAAGAATGGAAGAAAGAAATTGCCTGCTCTTATTTTTCATCACCTTGAAGTAGCCATATTAGCTCTAGCCCTTCTTGAAGCCTCATAGGAATAGAAAACTTGATTTCTAAACAGCTTGTTTTATATTTTGGGCTTTGATTATTTCCTGTAAGGCCTACTTTGGCATTTTGTAGCTTTCACCATTTCAGCATGTCTAATTTTGAGCTCTTCTGATATTTAAAGAAGATATTATACTTCTATTATTTTTCTCCCAAAAGAACTATGGCATCTTTTCTAAAAACTTTCTAGGGTATTCAGGTTTGGATATTTGTTGTCATTCCAAAGGCTAGAATTATTTGCTTCTAACAAAAAGATAAGTAAGAAAAGAAAGAAAAATGGATGAGACATGCTGCTTGTATCTGAAGAAATAAAGACAGTGACAGCAAAAGAGAATTTAGTTTTACCAAGGGTTCAAAATAGTGACTTGGGGCTAACTCATAATAATATAAAGCTGCCAGCATAATACGAAGACCTTGGGTTCCCATAAAAACAATAATAAAACATTACATTATTTTATTACACTTTGCAGATATTGTGTGTTTTACAAGGGAAAGGTTTGTGAAAACCCTTTTTAAAGCAGGTGTATCAGTACCAGTTTTCCAAAAGTGTGTCCTCACTTCATTTCTCTGTGTCACATTTTGGTAATCATTGCAATACCTCAACTTTTTCACTATTTTGGGGTACCACAAACCACACCCATATAAGATGGTGAACTTAATTGATAGATGTGGTGTGCTGACTGCTCCACTGACCTGCCTTTTCCTCAACTCTCTTTCTCTCCTTAGCCCTCCCTGTTTTCCTGAGACATGACAATATTGGAATTCTGCCAGCTAAGAACCCTACAATGGCCTCTAAGAATTCAAATGAAAGCGAGAGTTACATGTTTGTCACTTTAAATTAAAAACTAGAGATGATTAAGCTTAGCGAGGAAGTCATGCCAACAGCGCAGATAGGCAAAAAGCAAGTCCCTTGTACCAAACAGCCAAGTTGTGAGTACAAAAGCAAAGTTCTTAAAGGAAACTAAAAGTGCAACTCTGTGAACGCACAAATTATAAGAAAACAAAACAGCCTTCCCGCTGATTTTGAGGAAGCTTTAGTAGTCTGGATAGAGGATCAAACCAGTCACACCATTTCCTTAAGCCAAAGCCTAATTCAAGAGCAAGCTCACATCTTGTTCAATACTATGAAGGCTGAGAGAGGTGAGGAAGCTGCAGAAGAAAAGTTTGGAGCCAGCAGAGGTTGGTTGATGAGGTTTAAGGAAAGAGGCTGTCTTTGTAACAATAAAGTGCAATGTGAAACAGCAAGGGCTTATACAGAAGCTGCAGCAAGTTATCCAGGAGATCTAGCTAAGATCCTTGATGAAGGTGGCTGCTCCAAAAAACAGATTTTCAATGGAGATAAAACAAAGTTCTATCAGAAGAAGATACCATCTACTACTTACTTCATAGCTAGAGAGCAGAAGTCAATGTCTGTTGTGGGAAGTCAGGGACCCCGAATGGAGGGACCGGCTGGAGCTGCAGCAGAGGAACATAAATTGTGAAGATTTCACGGACATTTCATAGTTCCCAAATAATACTTTCATAATTTCTTAAGCCTGTCTTACTTTAATCTCTTAATCCTGTTATCTTTGTAAGCTGAGGATGTACACCACCTCAGGGCCACTATGATAATTGTGTTAACTGTACAAATTGATTGTAAAACATGTGTTTGAACAATATGAAATCAGTGCACCTTGAAAAAGAACAGAATAACAGTGATTTCTAGGGAATAAGGGAAGACAGCCATAAGGTCTGACTGCCTGCGGGGTTGGGCAAAATAGAGCCATATTTTTCTTCTTGCAGAGAGCCTATAAACGGACTTGCAAGGAGGGAAGGTATTGGTAAATACTTTTCCTAGCAAGGGATATTAATAATTAATACCCTGGGGTAGGAATTGCATTTCTCGGGGGAGGTCTATAAATGGCCATCTATAAATGGCCACTCTGGCAGTGTCTGTCTTATGTGGTTGAGATAAGGACCGAAATAAGCCCTGGTCTCCTGCAGTACCCTCAGGCTTACTAGGGTGGGGAAAAAACCCCACCATGGTAAATTTGAGGTCAGATCAGTTCTCTGCTCTTGAACCCTGTTTTCTGTTGTTTAAGATGTTTATCAAGACAACACCTGCACAGCCGAACATAGACCCTTATTAGTAGTTCTGTTTTGCCTTTTGTCCTGTTTCCTCAGAAGCATGTGATCTTTGTTCTTCTTTTTGCCCTTTGAAGCATATGATCTTTGTGACCTACTGCCTGTTCTTGCACCCCCTCCCCTTTTGAAATCCTTAATAAAACTTGCTGGCTTTAAGGCTCAGGTTGGCATCAGGGTCCTACCAATATGTGATGTCACCCCTGGTAGCCCATCTATAAAATTCTTCTCTTTGTGCTCTTTCTCTTTATTTCTCAGACTGGCCGACACTTATGGAAAATAGAAAGAACCTACATTGAAATATTGTGGGCAGGTTTCCCCGATAAATGTCTGGCTTCAAAGCTTCAAAGGACAGGCTGACACTCGTGTTAGGGGCCATTGAAGCTGATGACTTTAAGGTGAAGCCAGTACTCATTTAACATGTCAAAAACCCTAGGGTTCTTAAGAACTATGCTCACTCTCCTCTGCTTGTGCTCTGTAATGGAAAAAACAAAGCCCGAATGACAGCTCATCTGTTTACATATAGTTTACTGAATATTTTGGGTCCACTGTTGAGCCCTATTGCTTAGAAGAAACTTTTCAAAATATTACTGTTCATTAACAATGTACCTAGTCACACAAGATCTTTGATGGAGATATTCAAAAAGATTTATCTTGTTTTTATGCTTGGTCACATAACATCCATTCTGCAGGTTAGTGAGTAGTTTTGACTTTCACATATTATTTAAAACACATATTTTGTTAAAGCCATAGCTGCCACAGATTCTTCTGAGGCATCTGGGCAAAGAACATTGGCAATTTTTCATAAAGAATTCACCATTCCAGATGCCAGTAAGAACATTTGTGATTCATGGGAGGAGGTAAAAATAGTAAAATTTACAGGAGTTAAATCATAGATGACTTGGAAGGGTTCAAGATTTCAGTGGAGGAAGTAACTGCAGATGTGGTGAAAATAGCAAGAGAAATCGAGTCTGAAGATGTGATTGGCTTGCTGCAATCTCATGATCAAACTTGCATGGATAAGGAGTTGCTTCTCATGGATGAACAATGAAAGTGGTTTATTGAGGTTGAATCTACTCCTGGTGACGATGCTGTGAACATTGTTGAAATGCCAACAGAGGAATAATACAGAGAATATTACATTGACTTAATTAATAAAGTAGTGGCAGGGTTTGAGAGTACTGACGCCAATTTTGAGAGAATTTCTATTGTGGCTTGTAAACTGCTATCAAACAGCATCACATGCTACAGAGAAATCTTTTGTGAAAGGAAGGATCAATCGATGTGGCATACTTCATTGTTGTCTTTGCTACAGCCACCCCAACCTTCCACACCCATTATTCTGATCAGTCAGCAGCCATCGACATTGAGGCAAGAACCTCAATAGACTATAGTATGGTATAGACATATCTTTTATATGTGTGGGAAACACCACCACCAAAAAAGTGTGAATTGCTTTACTGTAATACTCACTTTATTGCATTGGCCTGAAACTGAACCTACAATATCTCTGAGGTATGCTGGTATATACATATATACATATAGACATATGACTCTATTGTAGAGCATCAAGAAGGATTTTCCACCAAACAGAATCTTATCCATATATTTTCAAGCTAAAAATTTGTAATAACATTAAAAATTAAATGGTAAGAAGAGAAGGAGAATCTGGGCACAGTGTCTCATGCCTATAATCCCAGCATTTTGAGAGACCGAGGTGGCAGGATTGCGTTGAGTCTAGGAGTTTGAGACCAGCCTGGGCAATGCGGTGAAACTCTGTCTCTACAAAAAATAAAAATCATTAGCCTGGCATGATGGTGTGTACCTGTTGTCTTAGGTACTGGGGAGGCTGAGGTAGGAGAATCACCTGAACCTGGGAGGTGGAGGTTGCAGTGAGCTGAGATCATGCCACTGCATTCCAGCCTGGGTGACAGAGCAAGACCATGTCTCAAAAAAATGAAAAATAAAATAAATGGGAAGACCATTTAAAAACCAGAAGCTCAAGTTTCTCCAACTAAGCATATTGCATCTGTCAACTCAATTCAACCCAGACTAATAATAATCCCAATAACAATGACCTTAGTAAACATTCACCAGGTGGTCAAAGCCATGCTAAAGCATTTTGCATATACTCCCTCATTTCAACTTCATAAAACCAATATGAAGTTGTACATAACATAAACATAGAGTTACAGATGTTCAGTACACTTCTTGTAGCCATTGGGCTAGTAAATGGGAACCTAAGATTATAAATGCAAAGAATGTCTGCACTGTAAATATTGTATCTAAAAATCCCTCTGGGACTGCTATGCCTATTCAACTCTATTGGGCATCTCTTCCAAGGTTTTGTCCTGATTCAAAGAATAAATACACTAGAGGAATCAACAGTCATAAATGCCCTTGTTGGTATCTGCTTCTTGCTAAAATGCACTCTAAACATGCCAATGAAAGTTTTATATAAATTCCCCATTCTTCTGCTTGAATCCACATATGACTTCATAACACTTTCATAATGACCCACATGTTCAATGGGACTTTTATGTTCATTTTAATATTGTGTGAGCCATAAGAGTACCACATAGTAATTCATCTTTTATTAACAGCATCGACTCAAGGAAAAATTATATTGTCACGGTTCATACTACTAAGAACCATTTATATTCATTCCATCTCCCTGATTTCCTCTAAATCCTATTTCTACACAATCCTCTGATCTTTTCTTGTTTGAAATATGTTATTCCAGATAAAGCATGCATATCTTTAAAATTATAATTTTGTGATTATATAGAAATTTAAATACCATAATTTGTTGAAAACCAGAGTTTGAAAAGAAGACAAGGAATCCAGGGTCCTTGAAACTTAACCATGCCATCAAAAGTGAAAGAAGGCTGGCATAATTATATAGACTTTATATTGCATCATATAAATATTACTATAATAATATGCAGAAGGCAGGTTCTACTGACAACTGGGTGTTCTCTTCTGTGATTCACTTATCTGTAAAACTAGTAACTTTACTTAAATCACAGTGTTTATTAAAACTCTCAGGTCGTTAGAACCAGGGAGGTTTGTTAAAAATTGTCTTCTGATAACACTTTTCAGAATAGCCAAGATAATGATGTATCTTAGGTATGTATGCACGTATGAAAAAAATCTATGTATAAGTTAAATAATGCAGTATTCTTTTTTCAGTATTTGGCTTATTCCATTTAGCATAATGTCCTATTATGTACATAGGTTTGGAGGTAGGTAAGTATTCATCTATTTTACAGTCTCTCCAGGAGATTCTGATAGGGCTGGTCTTTCAGACTAAATTATACGAGATTGCCCCCAGATTCAGGATTCTTTACCTATCAAAATTATTGCCTTTTTATGAATCCGAACATGTTTTATAGTGGTTATAAGATCATTCCAGGGCTCAATTATGTGTATGGCAGCAATAACCTAATAGTCAACTAAACAGAACCATAAGGATTATCTGACAATGAGGGAGAGGTTGTGGATCTCCTGGTGATGTGTACTACACAATATTCAGCATTCTTTTTTTTTTCCAGGTATGTTTCTTGTTCTGCACCAGAAAATTAATGTTCCTATCTCTCAAATTCAAGTTTCTTCCCATGGTGCTTTACCAAGAAGTGCATTTTGAGTACAAGAAAATTATCATATTGTTACAGAATTTGGCTGGGAGAGTTCTTAGGCAGTGGACTGATAGCCCAGCTGGCAGGGAATGGCACCAGCCCTATTGGGACTGACATTGATCATGGGCACCCTGTTAGGGCTCTATTTGGTTAACCGCCTAGAGCAATCTCTTGATTCTGCTCTTGTTACTGAACTGACAGAAGGTGAAGTTTCAATATTTAATAGTATTAATTGTTGGCTTCATTGGCTTTCTCATTTTTGCGTATTGTATCAGAAAGTCACTACACGGGGAATATGCACCAGAGAGAAAAAGATTGTTATTTAACAAATATTTATTTATTACCTATTACATCCCGCTATACTAGACACTGGATATAATGTAGTGAATGGGAAAGTAAGTTTTCTCTCCCCATGAATTATATACTTAAATCAGAAATAATCATGGCAATAATAATAATTATAATAAATGTAAACACTGTTGGGTGCATGTACTAAATGTTTCGGCTCACTATAGACTCATAACATCCTGAAGGGAGATATTCTTCTTTTTCAAAATTTTATTTTACATATTTAATTCATACGGCATTATATTTTGATATACGTATACCTAGTTAAATGGTTACTACTGCTAAGCAAATTAATCTATCCATCACCTCACATAGTTACCTTTGTGTGTGTATATGTGCATGTGTGGTAGGCGGGGCGGGGGTGGGTAAGAACATCTAAACTCGACTCTATTAGCAAATTTCCAGTATACAATACAAGATTATTAGCTATACTCCTCATGCCATGCATTAGATCCCTAAACTTATTGCTCCTATGCAACTGCAACTTTGCATCTATTGGCCTGTATTTCCCTATTTTCATCTCTCTCTCAACTCCTGGTAATCTCTCTTCTACTAATTTTTCCCATGTATTTGACTTAAAAAAAACCCTACATATTATAAGTAAAATAATACAGTATTCTTCTTTCAGTATTTGGCTTATTCCATTTAGAATAATGTCCTTAGGTACAATATATTTCATAACTTCTTTATCCATTTATTTATCAACAAACACTTAGGTTGCTTTCGTACCTCAACTATTGTGAATAATACTACAATGAATATGTGAGTGCATATATCTCTATATGGGGCTGATTTCATTTCATTTGGATATATACCGAGAAGAGAGATAGATGGGTCATATGGTAGTTCTATTTTTAGTTTTTTGAGCAACCTTCCTATTGTGTTCCAAAATGGTTGTACCAGCTTGCATTCTTACCAACAGTGTACAAGCATTCTCTCTTCTGTCCACCCTTACCAATAGTTGCTGCCTCTTATTTTTTTGAAAATAGTCATACTAACAGATGTGAAGTGATATCTTACTGGAGTTTTGATTTGTATTTCCCTGATGATTAGTGATGTTGAACACTTTTTAATATGCCTATTGGTTATTTTTATGGTTTTATTTTTGGAAAAAATGTCTTTTCAGGTTCTTCAATATTTGAACTGGGTTACTTGATTGTTTTTAATTATTTAGTTGTATGAGTTTCCTAAATATTTTAGATACTAACTCCTTATCAAACATACAGTTGGCAAGTATTTTCTCCCTAATCTGTAGGCTGCCCTTTCATTTTGCTATTATTTCCTTTGCTGTGCAGAAACTTCTTAGTTTGACGTGGTCTCTCTTGTTTATTTTTGCTCTTGTTGCCTAAGCTTTTTTGTATGATACACAAAAAAACCATTGCCAAGGTCAACGTCAAGGAGATTTTCTCCTATGTTCTCTTCTAGGAGCTTTATGATTTCAGTTTTTATGCTTACATATTTAATCCCTTTTGAGTTAATTTTTGTGTATGGTGTAAGATCAGGGTACAATTTCATTATTTTGCCTTTGGATAGCCACTTTTCCAACACCATTGATTGAAGTGACTGTCTTTCCCCCGTTGAGAGTCTTCTTGGTGTCCTTGGGGAAAATTAACTGACCATATATGCATGGGCTATTTTTATGGGCTGTCTACTCTATTCCATTCTTCTATGTCTTTGTTTTTATGCCAGATTGGTATTATTTTTATCTTGATTTTACAGTGTGAATCTTGAGACAAGGAGTCACTTAACCAAGGATAAAACTAGATGGCATACTCAGGTCTGTGTTTCTAATCAGGTTCTTATTTATTTATTTTTACTTTTTAGAGACAGGATCTCACTCTGTCACCTAGGCTGGAATGCAGAGTGTGAACTCCTGGGCTCAATCAATCCTTCCACCTCAGCTTCCCAAGTAGCTAGAATTACAGGTGTGTGCAAGTACACCTGGGTAATTTAAAAACAATTTTTTTTTTTAGAGATGGGGTCTCACTGTGCTGCCCAGGCTGGTCTTGAACTGCTGTCCTCAAACAATACTCAAGGGATACTTTTGCTTTAGTCTCCTGAGTTGTTGAGATTATAGGCAAGAGCCACCATAGCAGGCTCTAATCAGGTTCCAATCTGTTTTGAAGTATAATCTGGATTTCAAAGACTTCATCGCTCCCCAGCTGCATGACCTCACACAAGTTGCTAAGTTGTCCAAATATCAAATTCTTCATTCGTAAAACAGGATTAAAACATCTACCTTGCAGTATTGCAGTAAAGTCATAAGAATTAAATTGAATTAAAAAAAATGTTCCTAGCTTAAAATCTGGCTAGCAATTCACAAATGCCTGTTCTTTTTCTGAAGCTCACCCACAGCCTACTTTTTCTGGCTTTCTCTGTAAGACTGGCAAGTGGTAACTTACTGAAGCACACAGTTATCAGATCTGAAATAGGAAAATCATGGGGCTTACACATGATTGAGCCACTGATAGCTTTCTGTCATGTAGAAGATTTCATTCAGTAAGGGAGCTGACCACAGACAGAGAGTAGAAGCCACAGCGTATCAAGAGTTTAGATGAGAGCTGTCCCAAATCAGTGTCCCTTTAGAAGCAAAGCTTATTGAACACTAAATATTCCATTGAATCTAAATATACCAACAGGAAACAAGGAACTTCTTTCAACCACATGAACTCTGATTTCCAGCATTGTTTCTGATATAGGAGTTAAGAAGAAATCACTTAGGCAGATAGTAAGGGTATGGGAGTCCTCAGTAAGGCTGTTCTTTTTAATGAAAAGCAGCCCTAAATCATTTTCCAACAAAGAGCAGACTGTAAAGTCGAGCTGCAGACACAGACAAGCAAGCTGGGAACTTGCATGGGTGAATACTGGCAGGAACTAGGGGCTAGACATGTTCAAGATGGCGGCTCCGTCTTCCCTTCTCTGTCAGCCACATGTGCTATAAGGAACAGACAAGATGGAGCAGATCAACTGGAAAGGCCATTTGCATAATAAGATTAGAGTGGGGCTACCACCCTTCCCTGCATGCTATGTAAATGCCATACAATCTGGGAGCCCTATGTAAATCAGACACCGCCTCCTCAAACTGGACTGTAAAATCTGGCACATTTGCTGCCAGCCATCCCTTTCAGTTTGGAGAGTCCTCTCTCTATAAAGAGAGCTGTTTCTCTTTCTCTTTCTCTTCTCTTCTGCCTATTAAACCTCCACTCCTAAACTCCTCATGTGTGTGTCCGTGTCCTAAATTTTCCCAGCTTGTGACAACAAACCCCAGGGTATATACCCCAGACAACGTGGCCACTTCATTTCCACAGGAAAATAAGATGAATTCTTTCTTGACAGGTTGGGAATTCCTTTTAATCTGGCAGTAATGAGATCCTTAGTAGTGATATCTAGACATAGACATATTTGTATGAACAAATCTCTGTTCTTTAGGCCTAGTTTGATTCAGTAGTTCTCAGGTATTAAAACCACCTTTGCAAAAATTAGAACAGTGAGAAATTTATGCCAGTGAAAGAGATCTTATCTAACCAACCCCCATCTTGCTTTTAACCTCCAAAGTACCCTTAATCATTCCTAGGTTTGAAACTGCCTTTGCAAAATTATAACTAAGGAAATTATGACATTGAAAGATATCAGACTTAACCCAAATCCATCTTGCTTCTAACCTCCAAACTGTCCTTGTCCCTTCCTGGGCATAGGCTGAACTAGCCTTGGGAAGGAATTTAGTTTATACTTTAAATAACAGCCCTTCTCAAAAGCTAAGCTGTTCTTGTAAAATGAATGAAAGGCTACCAGCCACCAAGTTAGGAAGAAAGAGGCTAGAATTCTAAATATTACCAGCCATGACTCCAGATATAATAAGATTTGCAACTTCCCCAATTACTTTTGAGGATAGAATCAAGAGTAACTATTGAGAACCTAAGATTGAGCTGTCTTTCCAGGTTTTTGCATTTCTGACAATTGTATGGCCCCACCTGGACCTGCCAACCAGTTCTGTGGCCCCACACCCAGGAACTGAACTGACTCAGCATAAGAGGACAGTTTCCACTCTCTATGATTTCATCCCTGAGCCAATCAATTAGCACTCCCGACTAACTGGCCCCCTACCCACCAAATTATCCTTAAAAACTCTGATACCCGAGTTTTTGGGGAGACAGATTTGAGTAATAATAAAACTCCAGTCTCCTGCACAGCTGGCTCTGTGTGAGTTACACTTTCTCTACTGCAATTCCCTGTCTTGATAAATAGGCTCTGTCTAGGCAGTGGGCAAGGTGAACCCATTGGGTGGTTACAGGCTTAGGCCAAACTAACTTTGGGAGACATTTAGCTTATAGTTTAAATGATAATAGCCCTTCCCCAAAACTAAGCTGCCTTTGTAGGTCTACTGAAAGACCACCAGGTTAGGAGGATGAGGAGCCTGGATTCTGCTAAGGTGTAGACATGAATTATTACCTGCCTTTATTCTGGAGTTCACAAGATTTGCAAATCCCTAATTACTCCTGCAGATATCATCACTATTGTAGAACTTATGATTGGCCTTTTGAGATGTCTTTTCAGGTTTTTGAATTTCTGATGACAAATGGCTCCACCAAGACCAGCCAACTTGTCCTATGGCCTAAGGCAGAAGTGGACTCCTTGGCTCACCAAACTATCCCTAAACAATCCTAGCCTCCAAAGTTTTGAGGAGATTGATTTGAGTAATAACTTCACCATCTTCCACATGACATGGTTGGCCTCATGTCAATTAAACCCTTTCTTTATTGCAATGTCATCATCTTAGTAAATTTGTTTTGTCTGTGCAGTGGGATGAAATAACCCATCAGGTAGCTATAATATTATTCTCAATTGTTGTTTGCTTCTTTTCTTTCTGTCTTTTTTCTTTTTTTTTTAAGTGTAGGGCCAGAAAGATGTGATACTTTTCTTCATTTATCAGAAGCATCATGGCTGATACTCTTATAACAAAAGACAGGTTACCAAGAGATAAGCGTATCAAATCTATTTAATAAAAGTTTTACAGCAGGGAATGGTGGTTCATGTGTGTAATCTCAACACTTTGGGAAGCTGAGGTGGGAGGATGACTTGAGCTCAGGAGTTCTGCACCAGACTGGGCAACAAAGCGAGACCCCATCTCTATATGAATAAATAAATAAGTAAATAACCAACAAAAAATCCATAGAATTTTAAATGACTCAGGAGCCTTCTGAAATGAAAACTCAAAGTCCCAGAGAAACTATTCATGTTTATGCTTAGATTCAATGAACGGTGGACACCCATGAAGAAATGTGATTGGGACAATATAATGGTAATAGACTGAGGGGGAAATCCAACAAGGCCTGTTCAGATTCTTCTCAGCTTCTCTGTGTAACATGCCCTCCTCTAAGGTATCGGGCAGGGCACTTCTAGAATGAAGGTGTTAGAAACAAATGCTTGGTGTCGTAAAGAAAATGAGCACTTAAACAAAGGATTTCTCAGCAAGGCAAATTTACTTCTGCAGAAGGGTGCTTCTCACAGGTCTGGTCACCACGAGAGCACACCAAACAAAGGAGGAAAGGGGTTTTTAATGCCTAATGTAGCTTGTCCCTGTTACTGTGTCCTGCCTCCACTGGCTGGAGTTGGACCGCACAATCTAAGCTGAACCTGATTGGCTAACTTGAATGGTACAGGAGTGTGGTCATACTGGCAGGAAGGGCAGTTTTGGCAGGAAAAGCCATTGTGATGAGAGGGGTAATTTACAGAGTGGGTAGCAGATGTGGGCTCTGTAGATAAGGACTGGCAGGAAAGTTGTTTACTGAAACTAAAACAGGGAGGCACAAAGGATAAGGAAGTTAGTTTGGCTTTGGAAGTAGGGAACAAAGAACAAGGACACTGAACAAGCTAAATCTTTGAAGAGGAACTTCTTTTGTATCTGACAAAGGTCTTCAAGGAAGAAGGGAGAGAGTGACCTTTCTAGGTTTTATGGTTGATGCTGGTGGAGAGGAGTTCTAGTTTCTAAGATTTACCTTGAGGAAGAAGAACTGTAGTTTCTGTGGCTTGCAGACAAGGTAGGTCAGAGAATTTCTTTATTACTAGTATCTATGACCCACTTCAGGGGAGAAAGAGTGGATGAAGACAGAAGTAGGAGAAGGTCAAAGAGAAGATTTGCCTCTGAAGCTACTTCTGAGGCCTTTTAATTTCCTTTAATTACAGGTACTCAGCACAGCAAAATGCCAAGCTTTGGGTTATCAGTTTCTGAGCCCCAAAAGAAACAAGTTCCCACATAATACTCTTATGATTTGTGTGGAGACATTTTTTGAGAAATACAGAAATAAACATTTAGGAGAAAATACACTATTATTTATTCATAAATAAGATTAAGAGTGTTTGAAATGTAGTCTTGCCTCCTGAGGTAACACTTAAAGTCCTCCTTACGCACCTATAATTTAGAGTATAGGGAGGAATCTGATAGTGAGTTTAGAAAAAGTGAGAAAAAGTTTAAATTTAAGACTCAGGAAAGAAATTCAAGAAAGAAAAGGCTGAGGGTGGATGGTTAGCAGGGGTTAGAGAATTAACACTTATTTAGCAGTAAACCCTTTTTTTCTCACTTAATTTTCACAGCAAAGCAAAGCTGATAAGCATCATTAGCATCCATTTTAAATTTAAGCAAACTGAACTCCAAGAGGTTAAGAAACTTGCTCCAAGTGACACAGCTGGTGAGCATGTAGCAAGTTAAGATTTGACTGAATCTTAGTAAATGTATAATTTTGCACTGGGACTGGTACTGTTTACATATTCTCTACCCTTGGCTTACTACATTGTATCTCAAACTCTTTAAATATTAATTCACTTAGAAAACCAAACATAATGTCTTTTACTCAGTAGACAATCAACAACCATGAGTTATAGTAATGTTTCTGAATGTGGTTGAATAGAATCCTACTTCGTCATTCATCTTTAACCTTAGAAAGACTCAGTACTTCCGTTTTAACAATTTATATACTCGAGCACAAAAGACTTTATATGGAGCAGGAAGAGGGAGGTAAGTTGGAAAGATGGGAGGGAGAGAAAGAGGGGAAAAAAGAAAGGTTGAAAATCGGAAAATTTTAGCCTAATGTTTTCTAGGCCTAGGCAGATAATTATAGAATTTAAGGTCAAATTCAAAATTATCCTACTATTTTGCTGAAATGATCAAATAGAAATGGAGCAGGGTTTGTGATGATGCGATGATGTTTGTATTTATTTGAATACTTGCACTGTGACAATAACAGGCCAAAAAAAAAAAAAAAAAGAGGCAAATAAGTAAGGTACTGAGTTGTTACCAAACAAAATGTATTTGTAAATTATATTTCTAAATATAATGTACTTTCTGCAATTTGACATTAGCTTGTTATCATGGGTTACTTAGTGGCATTTATAATGCTATTTATTTTTATCTTTTTCCTTCTCTCCTGCCTTTCACTCTTCCTTTCTTTTATTTCTTTATCTTCCTTTTTTAAAGTTTTTTTTTCTTTCTTTCTGAAAAACTCCATCCATGTCAGTTTCCCTTTTACCTGTTTACGTTTCACATTTGTATTTGTCCAAAAAGTGCAAAAATTCTTGGCACGAGTGCCAGACCAACTGATTTATTTGAATAACCTGTCCAAACTCAGTGGCCTACTGATTGCGTGAATGTATGCATGTCAGTTAACTACTTGAAATTAAATTAATCTATAACTCTCGTGAGTAGAGACTGTATTCTCATGAGAGACTGGAGATTCAAATACAGAATTATGTTTAAAGATATCCGATCAATTTAGACAATTTTCAAGGACAAAAAATATATAATTATATCAAATGAACACACTAACTTTACAATAAATTTTAAGTGTAAAGATATTTAAACGTAAAGGTTTTTCACTTCAAGATTTGAAAAGGTTAAAATTGAACCGAGAGTTGTTGCGAAATAGCTATTATTTTTAATCATAAATCTTACTAGGTCTTTTATAAACACTATTACTTATTGGATATTTAGTGATAGGCATGTACTAAGATATTAAAGAGTTATGGCATTTAATTCTCAAAAAATATAAAGTATAAATAATACTATATCAAGTTTTACTAAGTGGCAGATCTGGATTTGTAGCAAAATGTGACTAGCGTCAAGATCAATGATTTTTACTATAATGTTAAAAAGAAATCAACACAAAAGGTGACTACTAAATAGCTAGGATCTCTCTCAGGGCCTTGGAAGTGCTCATGCTAAGGAAGGATTCTAAGGCATAATTTCGTGGTTAACCTCATTTTGTTGCTAAAATGGTAAATAGAGTGATGCATTGTGAACTAAATCTAACTCTTGAATGGGATTAAACTCCAAGCTCTAACTTAAGATAAACATTTAGTTCTGCAGGGGAGGTTCGGAGACATGCTGCTATTGACTTTTATGGTGCCAATGGCTGCCATAGAGTTGGGGTCATCAGGGTTGAGTAGAATATAATTTATAATGCAAAACACAGCAAAAACAATCAGAAGCAGACCAGCTCTCACCAGCCTGCTCTGTGTGACATGAGAACATGTGGAGGAATGAAGTGTTTGTAATTATGAATAGCAGCTATATTACCATAACTACATTATTCATGGCTTCAAATGAAAATGCTGTCTTGAAATTTCATGCCACTGAATTTTTTATTTTTAACAATAATAATTTCTCTCACTCATTGTTTAACAGCTCAACAAAGCTTCAGAATATCAGAGGGGGTCAAGTTCCTCATGTTTGATTTCTAAATGTGACTCATGGGTTTGGCCATAAACAACAGGTATAATGAAAAGAGCCTTTGGAGAGGGAATCCAGGCAGAGTGGGAGGGACTATCAGGCAATTAGTATCTCCAGTCCACTGAAGAGTGAGGAAATGGGCCACTGATTGCTGTTCTCAAGTGCTCTCTCACCCTTAGGTGTCAGGGTAACAACAGGTCAGCAGAAATTCTGTCTGTCAACAAGATTTTACCTCATTGTCTAGACGATAGTTTCAACTTCTTGCCTTTAGAAGAACATAGGAAAAGCAGTCCCTGAAAGGCCTTGATTTTTCAACCAGAACAAAAAGAAACACACACATACATGCACACACCTCAAGTAAAAAGAAAAAAAATAGAAAAAAAACCACAAAAAACAGGAAAGCAATACCCCCACCCTTTCTGGAGTTTAATATGTAGAAAACAATTTACATGCACTACTTCATTTTATTTTAAACATTATCATGGAACATATGAGGCAGGTAGTTTTATACCCATGATAAATGAAGGATTCACAGAGTTTGCAGAGTTGCCCAAGGCCAATGATATAAGTGACAGAGCTAATATTCAGTCCCAAGCAAAAAGGCAGGAGCTCTTTACTTAGGCTTTATAAGACCTTCTGAAAAGTCAAGAGTATTACTAATAAATTCTCTGGTGGAGGTGAGTCTTTCTTGTACTAGCTGTGCAACTAGAAGTTACTTTATCTGTGTAAATCTTATCTACCAAACAAATAGACATAAGCTAACATTAACCTTGTAGGAGTGTTGGTTGGATTAAATAAAATAATCATAGTAAAACACTTCTTTTAGGATGCAGCACAGAGAAAATGCTCAATAAGTCATTGTTTATGACCCCAAAGATGATGAAAGATGATATAGATAGGTAGATGTATATGCAGATATAGATATACACAGACACATGTGTATACACGTTTACACACATACATATGTATGTGTATTGATTTACATATGTTTTATTTTGAAGAATCTCAACCACATTCAAGAATGAAAACAACAGTATAATGAACTCCCATTCACTACTATCCAACTTCAATAGCTTCTCAACTCTTTGCCAATTATGTTTATTTACACTACCAACTCCTCTCACCACTGAATTATTTTGAAGCCAATTCCAGATATCATACACTTTCCTTCTTAAATATTTTAGTATTTCTGAACGACGAGTCTTTTTTCTTCTTTTTTTTCTGTTTTTGAGACGGAGTCACCCTCTGTAGCCCAGGCTGGGGTAGAATGGCACAATCACAGCTCTCTGCATCCTTGGCCTTCTGAGCAGAGGTGATTCTCCCATCTCAATCTCCCGACTAGCTGGGACTACAGCCGTGCACCACCACGCCGGGCTAATTTTTGTACTTTTTGTAGAGACATGGTTTCACCATGTGGCCCAGGCTGGTCTCAAACTCCTGACCTCAAGTGATCCACTCGCCTTGGCCTCCCAATGTGCTGGGATCACAGGCATCAGCCACCGTACCTGGCCAACAATGATGATGGTGGTGATGCCAGTCTTGAGCAGCTGCTGCAAAGATGCCAGCTGAAGTAGGGGAGGTGAGGCCAGGGCTGAGCGCTCTGTGGAGCCAGCAGGGGCTGGGAACAGGCAGGAGCTCCACCCCCTACCAAGTAGGTGGGCAGGAGCCCCATGCTCCCAGGCGCAGCTGCAGTCATCCAGCCACAGCTCCAGGCCTGGGTATCCCTGCACTTTCATGGGCCAGGGAAATCCCTCCACCCCTGTTAAGCTCGGAAATGCCTGCTCCTGTTCTCTGGCCTCTGTCTGCTCCCAGCACCTGCTCTGGTTGAGCAGAGTTGTAGTGAGCCTGGGTGCTGTTGCAACCTGGCCAGGTGTGTGTGTGCTCTGGATAGCACTGACACGCCAGACTGCTGCTGCCTCTGCCCCTCCAGATATTGGGTGCCAACAAGCACTGGAGGGAGACTGAGGAGGGTCTGAGGGTGGCTCGGCACAGGCCTGCAGGTACCCCTCCTCATGAACAGGCTGGGTGCCATGGACAGCATGTCAATGGCAGCAGAAGGCAGACAGGCTCCTGGGTGGGAAGGGGTGGGTCTCACAGGTGAAGCCCCATCTTCAAGCCAAAGAGGGCCTGAAACCTGGGGACTGGACTCTCAGTTCTTGGTGGAATCCACCACCCTGAGTGAGAACTTATGGTGCTTTTTCCAGGCCCACCCGCAGAAGGGAGCTACCCACTGTGAGTCTCTTCTCCACTGAGAGCTGGACACTCATTAGGACGACCTGCCTTTGGAAAGAACTACCCACTTTGGGTCTCCCGAGAACTGTTCTGTCACTCAATAAATCTCTCCACCTTGTTCATCCTCTAGTTGTTCATATGCCTCATTCTTCCTGGGTGTGGGACAAGAATTTGGGACCCACCGAATGGCAGGACTGAAAGAGCAGCAACACACAGGGCTGAAATACCATTGTCTTTCCCCTCTGCCTACACCACTTACCACATTGTGAGAGATGAGAAGGAGAGAAAAGCGGCAGCCTTTGGGAAGCTCAGTCCTAGGGGCTCCCTAAGACAGGGCCGTGACACCTTCTTTGGGGCTCTGCAGTTCCAGGCTTCTCCAAGCTTCTGGGTGCCACTGCATTCCCCTCGTCCAGATGTGGGTGCCTGCAGCAGAAGCTGCTTGTGGTACATCTGATCCAGCTACAGCCTTTCATGGAGCCGGTGCCTGTGCTGGCTCCTGGAGCTGTCTGCCCTGTGACAGCAGCTGGCATACCTGGCTATGTGCAGTGACTGGACATGCTCACTGTGCTCCACCCTTGGCTTGCCCTTGGCAGGTGTGGGATCTAGGCCAGTAGTGCAAGCCAAGTGCAGTGGGCTAGGCTGAGTGGGTGGAACAAGCTGAGTGGGCGGAATGAGCCGAGCAGGCCTGAGTAAAAACTTGGGCAAAAGCACCACTGGCCACAGAGGTTTCCAGCTGGAAGAGGGACAGCCAAAGGATCCCATGACAATCAGTCTTTTTAAAAGCATAACTAGAGTACCATTATCATACGTAAAACAAAAAGTGTTTTCTTAATGTCATCAAACATCTAGTCAGTGTCAAATATTTTCTATTTATCTTGCAAAGAGGTACGTGTGTGTTTTCTCTTTCTCTATTGTTTGAATTAAGGACCAAATAAAGGGCATGATTTACTTTTTTAGCCTGTGGTTTCTTAAATGTTAAGTATCATTTTATCTAAGCTCCCCCAACCCCTACCACCACACAAGCACATTTGGTTTTAGCTTTGAAATTTTTGCCAATTTTCTTTCTATGTTGTTAACAAAGGTGGGAATTAAAGCCAGAAGAATGATGACAGATATAGACAGCTAGGTAGGTAAACAGACAAAACTACATTATAAATATAATACTGCTGTGTACTTCCATTAGAAGGAACATAATGTTTGCTTGTTTCCATTTTTTTTTTTGTGATATTAACAACCATTAATCTTTTATTTGTATTTTTTGAGACAGGTTCTCACTCTGTTGCCCAAGCTGGAGTGCAGTGGTGCAATCATAGCTCACTGCAGCCTAGAACTCCTGAGCTCAAGCCATCCTCCTGCCTCAGCCTCTTGAGTAATTAGGGCTACAGGCATGAGCCACCATGCCTGACTAATTTTCTTTACTTTTTGTAAAGAGAAGGTCTCACTATGTTGGTGAGTCTGCTTATCATCTTTTTCTAGGTTTGTTATTATATAACTTATGACCAACAGTAATGGTTAGCTGAGAGAAGTCTTGGAAAGATACAGTCTTGGAAAGACAACTTGATATAACTTTGGGTTGATGAAAAACAGAAGTTAGACCACCCATAAACCACAAAATAACAGTCCCCATTGTTTGAGACACCTAGAACAATTTCTACCCAGCTAATAACTACTGTTTCACATGTATTAAGTTACATGGGCAGTTATAAACCAAGAAGCCATATTTCTTACAACTGAATAATTTCCATTTCAATATTGGGCAAAATTGTCATCATTATAAAATTAGGCCTTTAACTATTCTAAGATTACATAGAAATTTCTTATGTTCATTCCTAAAATTTCTTTTTGAAATTATAACATTTATCTTTCTTATTTATAATGTTAGAAGTTACTTTTTCTATGTACCTATAAGAAGCATGAGTACTATAGAAAAATTAAAATGATGATAAACTGATAGTAATAATAATAATAATAATAATAATAATAATAATAATAGTTCCCAAATCTCACCTACCCAGAGATAGTTGTAGCTATTTCATTTCCTTTCAGACATTTCCCATGCAAATAAATACATATAGAGATAAAACTTAATCTAAATGATAGCAGGTTCTTCTATATGAGTTAAAAAGATAGATTTATAGACACTATTTCTTTGACCTTCTAACCAAAAGGATCCCCAGCCTTTCCCTGAAGAGGTAGACTTAAAAATTCATCCTGGAGCAAATCTTGAGGGTTCCACTTACTCACACTGATTTATGCCAGGCAGGTGACCCCTTAGAGAAAATATATGAAGAAAATCTTCATTTGGCTTATTAAAGTCCAGCACTCCTCCTTTGTTGAAATCTGAGAAGAGAGAACAATTTGCGTAAGAAGTGTAGGTTTTTGTTTTCTGATTTTGTTTTTCTTTACTTTTACGGAGTGGGAGCCGGGAGGGATTGTAGACAGTAAACCTCTATCCCTCTCCCAAGTAAGAACATAGGTCAAGGAAGACCAATAAAGTCTCAAACAAGATAGCAGGTAAAGGCCAAAAGGCTCCTGAAATGGTCACCATAAGTGCAGAGAACAGGTAGGGCTATGTGGGCATGTGACTTGTGCAGTCACACAGGGTTCTGGTCTCATACTTGCTTTCATGTGCTGCTCTTGAAATTCTTAATAATTTCTAAACAAGACGTTCTGCCATTTTATTTTGCACTGGGTCTTGCAAGTTATGTAGCTGGTTCTGGGAGATAAAAATGAGATTAGTGAGCTGGTGTTGGCAATGAAAAAGAGCCATGAAGGGGCTGTGTTAGTCTGAGTGCAGAAGTAGGAGACAGGGAAAGCATGCTTTCTGCTGAAAACTTATCCCCTTAGTGGTGGTTGTGTGAGTCTATATTCTCCTGTTTTTTTGTTTTTGTTTTAGTTTTTTTTTTGGTGGGTGGGGGGGGGGGTCATGGTGCTATATGTGTTCATGATGAAAAAATTAGTCTCTGATAAAAGTCATACTTGTATATAAAGGGGGCACCTGCCAAGACATGGGACTACCTTGACTGAGAGTAACATACTGAGTTATTGTCTTTTCCTGAATAACTATAAATTGATGGAAGAGGTTCTGCCTTTGTTTTGGAACCTGGGATGCCTGGGCCAGTCATTCTACTCCACACTAGTGGAGTAGACAGTTTCTGCTTCTTTCCAGGTTTTTCTCTGCTTTTTTTCTGTTGATTTCAACCCATAAAAGCTGCTCCTAAGTGTAGGGCCTAACTCTCCTTTCCTGGATGTTCATAAGGTTTCAAAGTTTAAAACCTATTGTGATCATAACAGTGGCCTTGAGTCCCATGGAAATGGAAAGTAAAAAAGACAAACACTCTTTGACTCATAAAAACACATGCTAGCATTCAGGATGCTTGTATCACTGCCTGCACATGGAGATAAATGTTAACAATGGGTTGTTTTCCACTGCACAGACAAGAGCACAAGAATTTCACAGGTATTCTTATGAAATCACAAGAGTAGTTTGGAGACAGGCTGGGTGCAGTGGCTCATGCCAGCACTTTGGGAGGCCAAGGCGGGCAGATCACCTGAGGTCAGTAGTTCGAGACCAGCCTGGCCAGCATGGTGAAACCCCATCTCTACTAAAAATACAAAAGTTAGCCAGGCGTGGTGGTGCCCACCTGTAGTCCCAGATAACTAGGGAGGCTGAGGCAGGAGAATCACTTGAACCCAGGAGGCAGAGGTTGCAGTGAGCTGAGATCATGCCACTGTACTCCAGCCTGGGCGACAGAGCAAGACTCTGTCTCAAACAAAAAGAAAAAAGAAAAAAAAAATAGAAAAAAGAAGAGTACTTTGGAGACTTGGCTAGGGCTCTATTAGATTTTTATCACAATTGGAAAGTTGATCCTGTGATCTGTATTCTAGGTTAGCTAAGAACATATAAGTTATATCCCACATTTTCCAAATACTAATGAAGTAATCAAAGAAAAAAATTTTTCCTGAAGAATGAAAGTCCTTTTAATTATCAGACATAGAGAGACATTAAAATGAGACTGCAATCACACCCTACTGCCCACTTAGAGCTATGTATTCATCTCTTGAAACTGCTTGCTATTGCCACAAGTAGCTATAAATTAACATGATAATGCCACACTGGACACTATACCCCATACCCAATAGCTTAACAATGTATAGCCAATTGCTAACCAGTGTTATTTCTGTAAACCAACGAGATTTCCTGGCAAGAAATTTTGTATCAGCACATTCCCTCCCCCTGCCTTTTTTTTTCCTTTAAAAATCCACTCGTAACTGCTGCTAATCTGAGTGTATATTCAGAGCAACTTCAATCTATGATCTCAGGTTGCAATACTCAAACTTTGCTCAAATAAACTCTCTGCTTATATTAATTTGGCCTCAGCTTCTTCCTTTTAGATAGACAGAAGGAATCTGTATTACATAATCTATGTGAATAACAATGATAACATTGCAATATGCACACTGTTCTGTATCTTGGTTAAAAAATAGTTTAAGAATATATTGTGAATTACTTTGAAAGTCACTGCAGGGCTAAATCATATATTTCTTTTATGGCTACATAGTTTCTTGTGGTATGGTGCCATAATTGCAATAATTGTTATCGTTTCTGCCATGTACACTGTGTCTGTTTTTTTCATTTGGTCAATAAGTATTTATTGAGTCCATGACCTTGGCCATGAGAATAGAGATTGAATAAATGAAACACTTTTTCTGACTATAGAGTTTAGATGCTCTTAGGTAGAAAATCAGAGCTACACCACCATAAAATACCTGCATGTGGATATTGTTTTTGAAGCATTTGAAATAACAGTAAAAACACATTCTGAATGGGTTTAAACTGCTTAGGGGTATACTGACAACATATTTTAAGGGAAACAAATTTTCCATACATAAATATGTCATTAGCAACTAGACTTTATTTACTTATGTATATATTAATATATTTTTAAGTTTTATTGTAATGATACATAATTGTGCATATTTATGGGGGTGCAGTGTGATGTTTTGATACATGTGTACACTGTATAATGATCAAATCAAGATAAATAGCGAATTCATCAACTCAAATATATATCATTTATTTGTGATGAGAATATTCAAAATCCTTTCTTCTAGATATTTTGAGGTATACATGTTTATTGTTTGTTGCAGGAAGTCAGGGCCCCCAAATGGAGGGACCGGCTGAAGCCATGGCAGAATAACATAAATTGTGAAGATTTCTTGGACACTTATTAGTTCCCCAAATTAATACTTTTATAATTTCTTAAGCCTGTCTTTACTGCAGTCTCTGAACATAAATTGTGAAGATTTCATGGACATTTGTCAGTTCCCCAATCAACACTCTTATAATTTCCTATGCCTGTCTTTACTTTAATCCCATCATCTTCATAAGCTGAGGATATGTGTTGCCTCAAGACCCTGTGATGATTGCGTTATCTGCAGAAATTGTTTGTAAAGCATGTGTGTTTGAACAATATGAAATCTGGGCACCTTGAAAAGGAACAGAATAACAGCGATTTTCAGGGAACAAGGGAGATAACCATAAGGTCTGACTGCCTGCGGGGCCAGGCAGAACAAAGTCATATTTCTCTTCTTGCAGAAAGCAAACAGGAGAAATATCACTGAATTCTTTTCTCAGCAAGGAATAGCCCTGGGAAAGGAAAGCATTCCCAGGGGGAGGTCTCTAAAATGGCCGCTCTGGGAGTGTCTGTCTTATGCGGTTGAAGATAAGGGATGAAGTATGCCCTGGTCTCCTGCAACACGCTCAGGCTTGCTAGGATTAGGAAATTCCAGCCTGGCAAATTCTAGTCAAACCCTTTGTCTGCTCTGGAACCCAGTTTCCTGTTAAGATGTTTATCGATGACAATGCGTGCCCAGCGGGACATGGAACCTCATCAGTAGTTCTAATTTTGCCCTGGCCTTGTGATCTTGTTCTGCCATTTGCCTGGTGATCTTTTATTGCCCTAGGAAGCATGTGATCTCTGTGACCCACTCCCTATTCATACCCCTCTCGCCTTTTGAAATCCCTAATAAAAACTTGCTGGTTTTGCAGCTCAGGTGGGCATCACGGAACCTACCAATAGGTGATGTCACCCCTGGAGTCCCAGCCATAAAATTTCTCTCTTTTGTACTCTTTCTCTTTATTTCTCAGACCGGCCGACACTTAGGGAAAATAGAAAAGAACCTAAGTTGAAATATTGGGGGCTGGTTCCCCCAATAATTGTTATAGTTATTCAATTATGCAACAGAATAATGATAACTTTATGTCTGTTGACCAACCTTTTCCCATCATTCCTACCCTCTACTTTTCCCAACCTCTGGTAATTACCATTCAACTCTCTACTTTTATGAAGTCAACTATTTGAGATTCCACATATGAGTGAGGTTATATAGTATTTGTCTCTTTGTGTCTGACTTATTTTACATAACATAATGTTCTCCAGAATCATCCACATTGTTCTGACAAGATTTCATCTTTTTTAATGGCTGAATAGTATTGATTGTGAATATATGCCACATTTTTTGAGTCACCTATTGGGTGATGGAGACTTCTGTTGATTCCATATCTTGACTATTATAAATACAGCTGAAATAAACATGGGGGTGAAGATATCTCCTTGACAAGCTGATTTTATTTTCTTTAAATATATACCATTAATAAGGTTTTGACATTACTCTAGACATTTACATTGCTTCTTTTTTTTTGTCATTGTAAATAACTCTGACTAACTAAAGAGCAAAGGTTAGAGCTCACTTTATTATCATCTTCCTGGAAGTCAGTGAAAGGAGAGAAACCGAATTATGTTAGTCTTGTTTGTTAAGGAAAAAAAAAAATAAAAGTGACAAATCCATTAAGAAGAAAATAATTTCCCCAGACTTGAATATTGAAAGAAACTTACGGGATGAATCTGCATAGAAAAGAAAAGTACCACATACAAGTGATGTCTTCAGAAGAAGTTTCATTAATTTTACTGAAAAGGTGAAGAAAATTTAAGTGCTTAACTTTTTTTCCTCTTGCCGAGATCATAGTGCTGTAAGGACTACAAAAAATTGACCAATAATTATTTCTAAAAGCAAGTCATCAAAAATCTTACAGTATTTGAATGTAGTCTGTTATTCTGTACCACACAACTCTGTACAGATAAGCTTAAAGCTTTTAAAAGGAAGATGATAACAAATGAGTGATTACGGCCTTGGAATAAGCCTTGGCTAGAAATTGGATTTTGTATCCTCTGCCAACAGCCTCATAAACATCAAATATGTGTTCATATTCCTTATGCGTTTTCATAGTACCAACAGCGGGGAAAACAGCCCAAAGAAATGGAATGAACCAGCAGAAAGCAAACAAACAATAAGAATTTTTTTCACCTTTGCTATAATAACAAACTTTGTTATAATTTTGAAGACACCATGCAGTTGGGATTTGTTGCAAGCACAAGTTTCTTGAACAGTATTTTCACCACAGAGGACAAATGAGCTGTTTATGAAGTAGAAAAATTAGGGAGACATTTTTATATTGCAAAAATCTACTTTTCTTGTCAGGGTTTTTCTTGGTAATGGTTGTTTCTGATTAACTCAAGAGTAAGGGAAATGTATTAGGCAGATATGGGATAGACCACACAATCTAGATGGCCAGAGAGTCAGTCTTGGGAAGTGGATAATAGTCAGAGAAGGCTTGATGATCAGATAACAGCCAAAGCCATGCTTTGGGAAAGGACTAATTGCCACCCCCTCTAGTGCCACCATGGTAGCACAGACCCTGCTACCCTAGACAGTGAGGTTGCTTCTGTCCTTTCCAGAACAATTCAGCTCCCTGCTCTTTTGGGTCACCCCTTTCAGACTCAAAGTCTTGGGCAGAAACGCTTAATCTCTTAAACGTAGGTTTCATGCTTATTTTCTGGCTACTAAGAATCACGGTAAAAAGCAAATGTTTGGGCATTTTTGGCTTCTATACTAGAAGTTAGTTGTGTTTGCCAGGAAGGAAGGAAGGAAGGACGGGAGGGAAGGAGGGAGGGAGGGACAGAGGCAGGGAGGGAGGAAGAGAAAGAGAGAACACAAATTTTAAAAAAGTTAAAAAAATGTTTAAATACCACGTACCAAAAGATGAGTTGGTGAGGATAAATGCCCACTGTAGTTAAGAGACTGAGTTTCCGAGAAGCTTTCCTAGTTGGCCCAAATTCCTGCTCTAAGCTACCTCCCTACCCTGCACTCTCTCCAATAGAGTCTCTAGAGTCTCTCCACATGGTCTCTAGAGTGACACTTCATGGGTCTGTTTCTTGGGCCAAGACAGCAAACTTCAAAGGTGGGGAGGAAGGACTTCATTTGTAGGCAATATAGTATAGGGTAAAGAACATGCATACTGATTAAGACAGCACAGAAATTTGAGGAAGTCTCTCTATCTCACTGAATCACAGTTTGCTCATCATCAGTTTCAGTGGTGACACTAACACTTCCTTTACTGTTCTAAAGTACTCACTGTCTGAAGAGGAACAGTACAATACTGAAGCTTTTTAATTGAATAAGCCAGGCATTATTGTGGCTCTCAAGTTTTATTGTCAGTTCTGTGGTTTATGTAATCTCTTTACAATACCTTTTTTTTTTCACTTAAATAAAACTGGCGTTTCTGTTATTTTTATTGTCATTGTTTTTGTTGTTTTTATTTGCAATCAAGCTACTCAGGGCAGATATGCCCCCTCCCTTTCATTTATTATTGAAAATCAAATCATCTTTGAAGATGGCTTCATCATATCTTTTCCATGAAACCCCTTCTCTTTCAGATATAATTACTGAGATCTTACATTTGTTAGCTTTATATCTTATTCAAACCTCTGTCACAATAACTTTAACACTTCTTTGCATTCTATTTATTTTCACGTCTGAGTTCCTTAAGAGCAAAACTCTGACCCACTTTTATATTCTCAACATCTAGCTTAGGCTCTGGCAAATAGGCTGTGCATAAATGCTTACTGAACCAATGGGAAGTTATGAATTTATATGTCACCCGTGCCTAGCATAGTGCTTGGCACTTAGATGGTGTCAAGGACTGTTCCCTGAATAAAGGGAGAAAGCTCTGCTTAATTGAGCTAACAGTCATCCTCACCTTTCTGTGAAACATGCATAGATGTTTGCAATCCATTGCTTTAACTAGTTGACTGAAATAACTGTTTATCCTTGGTGTCTTTAGGTAATCATACATTTCTTGGATACAGTGAATACATTTTAAGTCCTGGGTCCACCCTGAAAAGCATAATACATCCTGTGGTGTTGCTATACATGGTAATTGAATCTAATTTAATAAGTGTCAGAATTCGAACATCATGTATTTTCTATCCTAGAGAATTAAACATATACCACAGAAGAAACAAAAATCTCTCCTTGCGAGCCCATAATTCCTGCTTTATGCTATAAAGGCAAGATTTGCCAATTACAAAGCATCACATTGCAGCAGCATTGTCTTTTTTTCAAACTAATACAAATGTCTTTATCACTATTGAAATGCTAAAAAGTACTTTTAAAATGAATATTTGTAAGAAAACATCAAGCTTTGAGATAAAAAAGAGGAATGGAAATCTATAGCATTTCACAAATAGACTCGACATAATTTTAACCACAGACTAAAATAATTGAGTTAGGAAGTTTTGCTATTTTTCTTATCAAGGCCATATTCTAGAAAACAAAGTTATTAAATATAAAAATCATCATTCAATAATATAGAGAAAATATAACACATGCTTTTATATATTCTAAGAAAATTTTAACAATAAAAAACTGAAAAGAAATTATTTTCACAAGAATAATTTTCAAAGATTGCTTTAGTTTCACACTGTTAGACATATACAGAGAAGAATGAAGCCATCTAATACATTCAGACCTCAAAGGTGGATACTTGTGTTTCACAAATAAGCAGTTCATTTAGAATTGATCCAAAACCATCGAATATATGTCATATTTGATGTTTCAATTGCTCACTTAAAATAAAAATTGGAAAATATAATAATTCTTTGACTTTAGTTCACACCTGCCATTATTGGGTGACATTTTAAATTATATATTTGTCATTCTTTTCCTTGCCTTTTGTTGCATAAATATAAATAGATTAAGCTATGTAAAGAGAATACATTTTAAATCTTAGGTATTTTCTTTGAGGAGATTTCCATATTTGTCATTTCATTTTAATTTTTAGTAATAGCAGTTATGAATAAAACATTTAAAAATACATAGGACATACAATTTCAATTCTGTCTCAATCTCTCTCTCTTCCTCCTCCCTACCTCATCCCAATACAGTCATTTCCCAGGTTGTCAAAAGATGGATGGCTTCCAGGGTTAGTTTGTCATAAACGGTAAGATCAAACCAATAGGAAAAAAAAATACAATAAACTTGTGCACCGAGCCAGGTGATGCAAAAGTCAGCCGCAGTTTCTCCAATGTAATCTGACAGAACTCATTTATCTCCTTGCTGAGCTGGCCATGCTATCACATGGCATGACTTTCCACCATGTTCCTACCTCTGGCCCAGACGCCCACCTGCTGAGGGAGCCAAGGAGGCTAGAGAACATCCAGATGTATTCCAAAATGAACTTGACTTTTAGGAGCTTCTAAAAAAGAAGGCTTCTCTGCTCCTATCTCTGCCAAAGAGCTGTCATTTTATTGGAAAGTTAAATCTGTCACAAGGAAAGAAAATTTCACCATAGCCTGTTTAAATAAGTTAGGGAGTAGAATCTTCTCCCCATTGCTTTTTCCACAGCAAGCAAATGTATCAATCATTTTATTCTCTAAAATAACAATTTATTATCCATGCAGGAGGCCTTAGATTCAATCTGCACAGTGTTCTGAGTGTCGCATCAGATACGAAGTTCTGTCATCAGTCTTTATTAGGGCAATCACTCTGCACTTGTCATCAGTTTTTAATAATAAAACTATTACCTCAATAATTATTTATGACAAGAAGTCTGCCATTGGCATTATGAATAAATATTGATAAATTGCTTGGTTAATAAACTAGTACTTTTTAAGTGGCTTGGAGAATATGAAAATGAGAGTGGTATTATTACAATGAATTATTACAAGAAATTGTGAAATGTTTATCTTTTATTGAAAAGATTACATTTGCCCAACAGGAATTCCAGGAAAAGAACATGGGAAATCTAATTGATAAAAGAACAAAGATTCAATATGAAACATTGATATAATACACACATATAATATAAACATACTATATATGTGTGTGTGTGTATATATATATCTATATAAAATAAATTAAAGATTTGGAAACTATATAAAAAACTTTTTTTTTTTTTGAGACAGAGTCTCACTCTGTTGCCCAGGCTGGAGTGCAGTGGCATGATCTTAGCTCACTGCACCCCTGCCTCCTGGGTTCAAGCAATTCTCCTTCCTCAGCCTCTCGAGTAGCTGGGATTACAGAGCCTGCCACAACGCCTGGCTGATTTTTGTATTTTTAGTTAGAGATAGAGTTTCGCCATTTTGGCCAGGCTGGTTTTGAACTCCTGACGTCAGGTGATCCGCCTCCTAAAGTGCTGGGATTACAGGCATGAGCCACTGCACCCGGCCAAAACTTTTTTTTTTTTAGTTGAGATCAGCTCCTAAGAGCCACATTCTTTTTAAGTGCCTTTTATGACAGGCTAGACACACGAATTTGAAATGGGAGTCTGAAATAGCATTAAATCTCATCCTCTGATGAGTTGCTGGGAAAACATGGATATAATCTTTACTTACAGAGATTATATCCCTTGGGCCAATTTTCTGGAAATCACAAAGGACTCAAAGCATGACTAACAGTTACCTGGTCCCTGATGCTGGATAATAGGATATTTAACTTAAAAGTCAGAGTAGCAACAAAGCCACTTCTATGGAAGGGAGCTGGTACAGGCCTCCTGGCCATTTTGATGGCATGGCATAGTGGGTGCAAATGAAAAATAGAAGCTAGAGGAGAAGAAATTAGGCAAGGTTAGAAAATATTGTGTTAGAAAAGTACAGGTAAAGCTAGGACCCTCTATGGGAACTTACTGAACAGAAATCATAAATTCCATCCAGGCCATGTTCAACTTAGGCTCCTGAAGATGGAGGAAAACAGAAGAATGAAGCTCTAGGAATGCAAGCTCAAAAAGCACTGAGAAACAAGGATTTACATGCAAATAGATGATTTGGAAGGTGATCCCAGTAAGCTCAGTAAGGGGATAGGGAAGTGAGACAGGGAGAGAAAGGAGGTCAATGGAGGGTAGTGACCAGTTATTGAGGGGGAGAATTGAGATTCACTCTTAATGGAGAACTCCAGGGGACAGTCTAGACAGAAAATGCCTCAAAGTTGATCCAACTGAGAGATAAGGAAGCTGGGCTGTTTGTCCTCAAAATCCCAGCCATTTGTTGGGCTGCTATGGAGGAAGACACTGCTGGTCTGCCATAGAAGAAACCCAGTGGTGTAGAATTACAGAGACTTACAGTTGGATACTGTAGACATGTACCGAAATGGTGAGTGACAGGAAACGGGGAGTGAACCAACAGCTTATTTTACAATGGAACAACTGAAAATAACAAAAATTGCGTTTTTCCAAAAGGTTGATGGGATCAAAAAATAACCCTATGTACATAAGAGGCATGAAGGAAACAATGAAGAGGCATAGTCATACGTAGCTTAAAGATGGAGATAGATTCTAAGAAACATATCCTTGGGTGATTTTGTCATTGTGTGCACAGCATAGAGTGTACTTACAGAAACCTAGTGACATAGCCTACTACACACGTAGGCTATGTAGTATATCCTATTGTTCCTAAAGTGCATGTTACCGTGCTGAAAACTGTAGGTAATTGTAATACAGTGGTATTTGTATATCTAAGCATATCTAAACATAGAAGGGTACAGTAAAAATATGGTATTATAATCTTATGGGACCACCATTACATATGTGGTCTGTCATTGACTGAAACGTTACTCTGCAAATGATTCTATCATGAATGGGGCTTTCTCTTCAATGTCTTGGAAGGAGATGGTGTAATTCAAGTAATTCAATTAAAGGTATGCATAAAGAATGGTTGTAGAAGAGCAGCAAATGGAAACTTGATCATGGGCAGAGAATTTAGAAAATGGTTAGGCACTCAGGCTAAGGCATTAATCTGCCTGGGTTGAATCCCAGCTTTAAAAGTTATTTTCTATAACCTTGGGCAAATGATCACTTCTCAGCTAGATTATGCAGAGGATTAAATAAAATATGTAACAGAAAGTAAGTTCAGTACCTGATCCTTCACTGATACTCAGTAATGTTAGCTAAATTATTATAACTAAATATGTCCTGGCAGATCCATGATTAATTATGAACATTGAGCTCTGAGGTTGTCTGGATATCCACCCTCACACTAGATGGTTTGGAGGAATATTTTGCAGGAAAGAACTCGTGTATTCTGCAGACCCCCACTGATATTTGGGACAGTTAGTGGGAGGGTTAAGTGGGGAAATTCTTTAAAAGTCTAGGGTGGGTGAGTTAATAACTGGAGAAAGTAAATGGATTGTCTAAAGCTGTATTGACTCAATGATTTACATAATGATCTTTATATTAATGATAACTTTATATCTAGTTTTTGAAACTCATTTAATTTTTTAATTATATCTCATGTACTAGGCATTATATAGGGTGCTGGGAATATAGCAGACATGTCCTCTGCCCTCAGATAAGCTACAATGTAGTGGTTCAAGACAGACAGTGAGCCAGTGATTAAAAGAATGAAAGTGGAAGGAAGAGTAATGTGCTCTTGTAGTCCCGGGTATTTGGGAAGCTGAGGCAGGAGGATCACCTAAGCTCAGGAATTTGAGACTAACCTGGGCAACATAGCAAGACTGCCTACCTAAAGGAAAAATAAAGAAAAGGAGAATCGCAGGACAAAGTGTTGAGAGGCACAGAATAAAGACATTCAGTCAAACCTAGAATAGACTACCATCCTAGTAAATTTTCCCTAAATTCAGAACCTAATATGTGCCAGACACTGAGCTCAACAATGGAATATATTGGTGAGAAAATGAAATAATTAAATTTCAGCTGTGATAAATGACACTATGAGAAGGTCTAGACACTAGTCTAGAAAAAGAAGACACTTTTTCTAGACACTAGTCTAGAAAAAGAAGCATCACTACAGAAATCACAATGGAGCAGAGATCCAAAGGGGAAGAGAACTTCAGCAGGTAACATCAGAGAGAAGAATGGTTCAGGCAGAGGGAAGAGTGTGTGTATATACATCATCACGTGGGAGGAAGAAGTAGGGCTTGTTGGAAATGCCGAATGAAACCTCATGTCACAGTAACATGAAAAGTCATGAGTATGACCTGAAGAAGACTGGCAGAAGGCAGACCACCAAGGACCATGACTAGCAAGCTCAGCTTGTAGTTTTATCCTGAGACTAACAGGAGATTGCTGGAAGTTTTGAGACCCCAGGCACATAACAGCATCTTCTTCTGGCTATCATCAAGAGTCAACGTCATCAGGAGAAGACCTATCGTTAAGCTCTGGCAATTGTCCATATGGAGGTTGATGAAACTAACATGTGAATAGAGGCTTGAAAGAAGAGTGAGGGAGTTGGTAGAAGAGCAGTGGATGCCATCTTAACAGAGGTACTCAGCCTAGACAGGAGAGTGTGATCATTTTGAGAAATGCGGATATAATCCGTTATTGCTGGAGAATTGAGTGCAGAGAGTGTTGTAGAAGAGGATGTCTCAGCCAGACTTTGGAGGGCCTAATGAAAATAGGTTGAAGATTCAGATCTTTATTCTAAGCAGTATTACAAGAAGTTTTCAAGAAAGATTGTTAAAAGATCACTGGGAGAAGGGATAAGGATTAAAAACCAAAACTAATTCCATGCGTAGATGAGGAGACTGCTGCTTCGTGAAAAACTGTCTTAGTCATTTTCATATGTCAAAAGTCCTTTTAGAAGATGTCAGCCAAGCAGTTAGGACAAAAGTCAATCTGATGTTATAGTGCCTGCCTCAGAGGGAGTTCTGATGAAAAAAATATTTGTTTGGTTAACATTGACTGATGCAGATCTTACGATGCACAAACTGGCCCTGCCAACTCCTGTGGTTCAAAGAACTCACCCCTCTTGAGATACATGCCATGATTATGTGATTGATTAAATAGCTCATCAAGTGAAAGGACAAGGCTGGAGCTTTGTTCTATCACAGCTGGAGCTGCCATTTTGAGTAAGGAATTCCAGTTACACAATACAATGATATGCAACTTGGAAAATTCACAGAATTATCCAGTTATATAGAAATTATACATTGTGTGTTGTGTCTTGAACTTCTCTCGTGGTTTACGTGTGTGTGTGTGTGTGTGTGTGTGTGTGTGTGTGTGTGTGTTCGGTTAGTTTAGTTAGTTATTTCTTTTTAGTGAG
Organism: Homo sapiens; assembly: GCF_000001405.40. Taxonomy (NCBI): domain Eukaryota; kingdom Metazoa; phylum Chordata; class Mammalia; order Primates; family Hominidae; genus Homo; species Homo sapiens. Next base: position 62,699,859 of record NC_000016.10, read on the forward strand.
GATTTCCTGTTTTCTGTCCCAATTGTCCTCCAGATTCTGATTTCTGAGGTGTAGGAATGGCTTAGGTATCTGCATTCAAATAAAACTCTGCAGATAACTGTCAGACATATAGTGGTGTTAACCTCATCCACTATACATAAGTATTTAATTGAATTGAAACAACTTGGGAGAGGGTATCTTAGCAGTTTGTTTACTCAACCAGCACCTATTAAGCATCTTGCTATCTATAGCCATGGTGGTGGGTGAGATGAACCAGAAAGAATTTGTAAATATATAAAAAAGGAGAAAGCTGAGTAGAGAACCCAGAAGATTATATGCCTTTTGAGAGTGAACAAGGAAGAGAGATGGAGGAGGAAAATTTTGAAAGATAGGAGGAAAACCAGGCAAGAGTAAATCTGTCAAATACTTCATAATAATTACAGTGTTTTAATATTTCTTCATTTTTGCTTTTATCACTCTTCAGGCAAAATGTTCATAAACATTGTGAGATGGGACCTAATTTACATATTCTGCCAATTATCTGTATTTATATATAACCGCTCAGAGGTTTTCCCCCATTACCCCGAATAATTGAGAATTGGCTATAGAAGCGGTTTTCCTTCCCCACTGAATAAATGTGCTGTATTTATATTATCCATTACCAGGTGGCAGACGTGATGTTCAGTGATGTGTGTTACTTATCTGAAACTTGAAGCTCCTTTCAAGGTTCAAGCTCACCAGTTAATAGAAGATAATCTGTATGGAGCATAAATTTCAAGGAGATGTCTACAATAAATCTTTCGTGAGCCTTCCATTTGCCAAGATAGCTCTTGCTGGAGTTGACTATATTAGTAGTAACCATTTGCACTATCCTGTGGCAATGATAAAGCTTTTACATTATGTGAATTATATTGGACATACTCTATTTTTTCCCTTTCATTTGTTTACTAACAGAACATAAGATAGAAAGCTTTCAAATCATTTGGCAAAATATAATTAAGAATCACTCAGACATGTAATTTAATCAGGAGAATAGGAAACACATAAAGGTTATAAATGACTTCACAAATGACTTTAGAATTCGTATTCATACTAATTCTTTTATGATGCAGATTAGGGAATTGAGTTAGATAGATTTAAAATGTTTGGTTTTCATAGTATTTTAATTAATTAAAATAAAATCCATGTGGTTAACCTCAGTATACAAAGAAAACAATTATACTTCCATCTCTTTAATGTCCAGGCTTCTAAATCATGTCTTAGTATTTTAAATGTGAGGGGGTTTCACACAGAGATGCTAATAACATTAGTAAATATGGAATGCCACTTGTGGGAGCGTGTTTTAATGTTGCCTTACTCCCTCAAATTTCATTTTGAATGACTCTTCTATTATGTAGATTTTTAGATTCTGGACATTCTTAGTTATTTCTTTGTCTTTTTTTAGGCATATAAAACCACAGAATATTTTATTTTAATTCCAATTATGCTTTTTCAGAGAAAGGCAAACTATATCCCTGTTTCCTCTTGCTATGATAGAAAATTGCTTTTGGGATCCAATTCTTCTCTGCTAAATCAATCAAATTTGATCTTTGAAGCAGAAAAAGAAAACAGACATACAGTTCAAATTTGTATTGGAAACATTATCTCTTCTAATTTTAAATATGTAATCAGAAGAGGAACAATATCTTTAGAAACCAAACCTCAAGAGATGGGCTGTGACTCTAGCTGTGATGGTGAAACATTCAGCAAACATTTCAGAATCCATCAGCTCAGACTCAGTCGAACATACCCATACCATCTGTCTAAATGGTTTGTGGATGCAATCCAATATGACACAGGGAATCGTGTACATACCCTGATGCTCAATATGACCCACGTGTTTGGTTGAAGATATTTTGTAATTATTCTATTATAATTTACTGTGATTTAGAGATTTGAACCTCTTTCATGACTTATATACTCCTCTTTCCTTGGTTTATTGTTACTAAAGTATTCACCTATTTCATTTCTTTCTTTCCTTTTTTTTTTTTTTTTTTTTTGAGAAGGAGTCTCGCTGTGTTGCCCAGGCTGGAGTGCAATGGTGCCATCTCGGCTCACTGCAACCTCCACCTTCCAGGTTCAAGCAATTCTCCTGCCTCAGCCTCCCAAGTACCTGGGATTACAGGCACCCACCACCACGCCTGACTGATTCTTGTATTTTTAGTAGAGACAGGATTTCACCATGTTGGTCAGGCTGGTCTCAAACTCCTGAACTAGGTGATCCACCCACCTCAGCCTCCCAAAGTGCTGGGATTACAGGTGTGAGCCACCACACCCAGCTGTATTCACCTATTTCTACTTACAGGATTTATGACGACTTAATGAAAAGAACATTTTCGTTGAAGACAAAGCGCCAAAGAAAGAGAGTTTTATTTCAGGCTCTGACATCTACCACTCATGAAATCCTTATCAACTTTTTCTTACCATCACTGGGCCATTATTTCCTCACTTGTAAAATCTAGAAAACAACTGAAACCTAGAGGTTAAAATATTAAAAGAACTTGGTGCATAAGGGTTAAGAGAACGCTGGATTTATACTGTATTGCTGAAATTTTCAGTCTGCCATTTAAAGGTGGTGTGACTTGATGAGTTTCTGAAACCAACGTTGGTTTATTTCCCATATGGAAATTGAAGTTATAATAGAATCCATTTCATTGAGTTGTTGAGAGCATTCAGTAATTAAAAAATATAGGATGCTTAAAAATATGTTTGGAACATAAGAGTTCAGTAAAAACTAATTTAAAAATGTCAAGATTTTAGTGAAATATAAATGTCTGGTGAATAGAAGTTTATTCATTCTTCTCCCTTGACAATACCAACCATGTCTTTCTCAACTTTGTGGCTACAGAAATTAGAAAAGTGTTTTGCAATAAGGTTTGCATAATAAATACAGAAATGAATGAAGACAAATTATTCTGAAAACATTTAAAAATCATATCTTCACATTAGGATATCACCTAACCTAAAAACTTGCCAAGAAACTACCTAATTTAAGACTATATATTGAGTTATTTGAGATACTTGTTTACATAATAGTCTATGTTTCTTTACTGAAGCTTCCTTTGCCTAAATTGATTAGTTTATGACTACTCTAAAAAATCTATATTATCTCTAGATTTATTTCACTTTGTTTATGGGATCTTCAGGTCACTACAATATATGATGAATACAAGTAAAAGAGAAAACTCAATAATTTAGTTAATAGCATAGAATTCAAGTAAATACTCAAGACATGTAACCATTAAGCTAACTAGTTGATACAAAGCCCATGTACATTATTTTACAGCAAAAATTATAATCACTTTCAAGACCACAGTTAAAGCTTATTAACAATAGTAACTGAAAATAAATGAGAATTTTGCAAAGATTATCCACTTTTTAAAAGGAAAACTGAGGAGTGTTAGAAAAAATAGTTAACATACAATTTTCCTTTATGATATTTGGTTGTTTAGGAAATTATAGTAATTCCAAATGTATTCTATTTCAGGAGATAATGAAGGCATGCAATAATATTTTATTTTAGTAAATAGTATGATTGATACATAAGTGACAAACTCTAGATATTCATAAAGTTGTATCACTCTGAAAGTTTTGAAAATAAGGTAAGACAGCCTTTTGTAAAAAAAAATAGAAGGTAGAATAATAATGTTCCAAAGATTTTCATGTCCTAATTTCTAGAACCTGTGAATATATTACTTTATGTGGCAAAGGGAATTCAGGTTTCAGTTGGAATTAAGGTTGCTAATAAGCTCAATTTAAGAGATGGAGATTACTCTGGAATATCTGAATGGACCCAATTTAATCACATAAACTCTTAAAAGAGGAAGAAAGAGGTAGAAGATTGGATCAGAAAGATGCAACTTGAGAAGGATTTGACCTACCAGAACTACCATTGCTGGCTTTGAGGGTAAAGTGGAAGGACCACTAGCTATAAAAATGTGGCAACCTCAGGCCGGGAGCGGTGGCTCACACCTGTAATCCCAACACTTTGGGAGGCCGAGGCAGGCGGATCACAAGGTCAGGAGATCGAGACCATCCTGGCTAACACGGTGAAACCCCGTCTCTACTAAAAATACAAAAAAAAATTAGCCAGGCGTAGTGGCGGGCGCCTGTAGTTCCAGCTACTCGGGAGGCTGAGGCAGGAGAATGGCGTGAACTGGAGAGGCGGAGCTTGCAGTGAGCAGAGATCGTGCCACTGCACTCCAGCCTGGGCAACAGAGCGAGACTCCATCTCAAAAAAAAAAAAAAAATTTGGCAACCTCTAGCAGCTGGGAGCACCCCTGAAGTCACACCCAGTAAGAAAGTGGAGACCTCAGCTCTACAACCAGAAGAAACAGTTCTGCCAATGACATGAAGGAACAGAAAAATGTATTCTTCCTTGGAGCTTCCAGAAAAGAATGTAGGCTTGCTGATACCCTGATTTTAGTCCAGAGAGATTCATACTAGACATACTAGATTCTACACAATCTTAAGATACTATATTGATGTTATTTAAGGCACTAAATTTGTGGTAATTTGTTAGAGCAACAATAGAAAATAGATACAGTATTTAAAAAGTCTAAAAATTTATGAGATTGTGTTACTCTGAAGAAAAATCTTTTGAAATTTCTAAAAATGAGTCAAAATAAGACTCTTACTCCATTTTAAGTGTTCTTTTATATAGGTAAAAAGAATGCCTTTTGGTTTGTAGAGTTAATTTATTTGTTGATTTAGTAAATGTTTGCTGAGCATGTGTTAGGTTTAAAGACCTCACAAGTGTAAAAACAATACTGGCAATCAGAATATAGAGTTTCATAGCAGATCTGTGATCAAACAACACCTCTAATGCAAGGTAGGTGTAAGAATTCCTCCCAGAGAAGTTGTAGTACTGAAATAAAAAAGTCATTTCTGGATTGAAAAAAAAGTCATTTGGATTATCAGGAAGTTCTTTATTAATCAGGTGGCTTTTAGATAGATTTTCATATACCAGGGTTTCACCAGATGAAGTTAAATGGGAAGGATATTTTAAGGGATAAGAATCAAATGAGCTTCCATTGGGAATATTTGGATATAGTTCAATTTGATTTTGCTGCATTTTTTATTCTATGTTTAAATTACACCTGTAACATCAATGAGGAATGTCTGCTTAAACATTTTTAGTGAAAGGACACTCAATACCTCAGAAAAGAAGTTGATTTTATTGTCTATCAGCTCATATAACTATTACCTTCTTCCTTAGTTTGAACTAAAATATGTCCTCTCTAATATCCAGCCCCTGGCTTTTCTCTAATTAGAACATCTGAATATGCATATTATCCAGCTTTTTAAAAATTGTCATTTGAATCCTTGAGAATATCTTTCAGGCTTTTTTGTGTCTTCCTCTCAAATTAAATGCCTCAGTTCTATCCATCAATACTTAATTGACATAACATTTTTGTGGACATTCCACCATCTTTTTTTTCAGAAACAGAGTCTTGCTCTGTCACCCAGGTTGAAGTGCCCTGGTGGGATCACAACTTACTGCAGCCTTGAACTCTTGAACTGAAGTGATCTTCCTACCTTAGCCTCTCTAGTGGCTGGGACTACTACAGGAGCATGCCACCACACTTGGCTAATAAAAGTATTTTTTTTTTTTAGAGATGGGGTCTCACTATGTTGCCCAGGCTAGGCTTAAAATCCTGGGCTCAAGCAATCCTCCTGCATCAGCCTCTCAAAATGTTGAGATTATAAGTGTAAGCCAGTGCGCCTGGCCATCCCACTATCTTGTCATTCTTACCTGGATATTCTCTAATTTAAAATATTCCCTGTTATTCTTGTAGAATCAAGTTATGTTGGAAAATATTAAGAAAGAAAATGAATTTCTCTAGGCTAACTATAGGCATTTCCAGGTAATTAAAATGTAGAGCCATTGATAGCTTGACAGAACAACATGGAATGTAAACATCTCAACTTTCATCTTTCTTTAATAGCCTGATTCTTTGGGGGATTTAGAGATATAATAAAACTTTTACCCCAATAATTGAGATTGATTTCCTCCAAATAGAGTAATGTTATTTTAACCATGATACACTTATATATGTCTAGAATAAATTAGAGATGTTTGTGTCTTCTTAAGCAACAGCTAAGTCAGTAAGAAAGGCATGGGTATAACATTGCCTACCCTAATGCTGGCTAACCATATCACATCACATAAATATATCACATATATATGTGCTTTTTTTCCTCTTTATTTTACATAGTCAATATAACACAGCATCTCCTGTCACCAAAATGTGTGTGTGTTGGTCGGGGTGGAAGGTGAGGTGTTCTTTCTACCAGCAGCTAGTCAATTCTCTGAGAGATTCTCCAGCAGACAGACTGGCTATAAGACCTCTAATTCGATTCAGTTCTCACATTACCTACCTGAAGATAATGTCAGATCTCAAAGGTTGAGGACCTCAGCCCCACAAGGCTGCTCCCCACTTGAGATATGAGTTATCAAATATATCGAATCACAGCCTGTGCTTCTGACTGATCAAGCTATACGCTGGGGTCTCCACAATCCCCCCTCAGATTCGATCAATTTTCTAGGGCATCTCAAAGAGTTCAGGACAACACTTTACTCACATTTTTTGGCTAACACATTTTAAGGATAATACAGAGGATACAGATGAGCAGCTAGAAGAAGTAATAAACAGGGTGAGGTATGGGGAAAGTGGGATGGAGCTCCCGTGCCCTCTCGAAGTATCCCATCTTCCAGGAACCTCATGTGTTCAGCTACCTGGAAGCATATTTGAACCCCATGCTTTGGGGTTTTATGGAGGTTTCATTATGTAGGCATGACTGATGGAATCACTGGACATTGGTGATGAATTCATCCTGCAGGCCATTTTCCTTCCCTGGAGGTTGGGGCATGGGACTGAAAGTCCAAATCTGTAATCATGCCTTGATCTTTCTGGTGACCAGCCCCCATCCTGGTACTATCTGAGACCCCCAGCCACCAGTCTTCTTTTTCACAAACAGAAGACATTTATCACTCCCATCACTCTGGAGATTCCAAAGATTTTAGGAGCCGTATGCTAAGAAATGGAAATAAAAAATCAAATATATATTCCATAATATCAGCATATATAATATAATATAATATAATAGAAATGTGACCGTATATTAAAGGCAAGTGGAAACTGTAGCTATTTATTTATTTATTTATTAGCAAACAGAATTTTATTCTCAACAGAGGTACCCATAAAATGCTATCAGAAAATGATTCAACTCAGTATTCTCTCTCATTTCTCAGTTGTTTATGCAAGGAAATGGTCCTTCTGTGGCACTCTGGTAACCTTGCACGTATCCACAAGGGCCATACACACAAAAGTTTCGACCACAACTACTGGAAGTCTTGGTAGAAAGCTTTATGATTCTCTGGAAACACTGGAGGCTGGGAAACCTGTGAGAAGCTCTTCTGAGGCCATCATTTATTCCCAACCCCCCATTCCCTGCTTTCCTCTTGATGGTTGTCATAGGCAATTTTCCACTGCAACTTGGACTCTGATGAGCTATGGGGCTTTCTGTCTTGTTCCCCTCACAACAGAGCTGCCAAATATAAAACTGCTTAGATGCAGAGTAGAAACAGCTTCTCAACAGCTGGGTGTCTTTCCAATCCTGTTGCCGTCACCTAGCCATTTCTCATTCAGTGTTCTTTTGGGTATATGGAACATGGACCACAAGGATCTGTCATCTCTGCCTATACTTTCTTCTACTGTTTATGCAAAGAAAATATGGAATTTGAAGTGACTCATAACTTCACTGGTTAAGTTAGTCAAGCCTTGGTCTTACCTTGTCTTATGTGTGCTTGACAGTTTTCAGATAGAAAGATCAAAATTTGAAAATGTGAAACAATTACACTCTCTGCCAAAAATATCTTCAGAGACATTACTGTCTAGATTAACTACAGGGATCTTTTTTGTTTTTCAGACAGGGTCTCACTCTGTCACCTAGGCTGAGTGCAGTGGTGCGATCACGGCTCACTGCAGCCTCGACCTCCCAGGCTCAAGGAATCCTCTCACCACGGCCTCCTGAGAAGCTGGGACTACAGGCATACACCACCACACCTGGCTAACTTTTTATTTTTTTGTAAAGATGAAGTCTCACTTTGTTGCCCAGGCTGGTCTGGAACTCCTGGACACAAGTGACCATCCTGCCTTGGCCTCCCAAAGTGCTGGGATTATAGGCATGAGCCATCCTGCATGGCAGCTAAATGGATTTAATGGTATCATGTAAAATTTTACTCAAGAAGAATGTAATCTTGAAAGCACAACTATTGCTGGAACATAAGCATCATTTTTATTTTGTGTTAATATGAATAGAAAGTTATTTATTAGTTTTTACTGCATCTGCTTTTATTTCTTACTGTTAACTGACACTTCTTGCTTCTGTAAGTCCCTTCATCTTTCCTCCAATTTGTTGAAATTCAATTGGGTGGGAAAATCAAGTAAGCAAGCTTGATAAGATGTATAGGTTTAGATAATGTCAAAATCAGAATATTAGTGCCCAAAAGGAACTGTATGTATTTTCTCTGTTGTCAGAGGCAGGATAAAGATAAAAGGACTAGTGGTCTTTCCACTAGTATAGGCCCTGGGCTAAAAATGTAATGTGGGAACACTACATCTTTACTTACTTTTGACATTTGAATTGTTCCCTCAAAAATATTTTAGAAACCCCCCTCTCTTTCCCCACCTTCTCAGATATTTTGTTTAAGCAAATATTTTTCAGGGAGGAAAAAAAAAACCTAAATAGAAGCAATTTAGGCAGTACAAAAGCACTGACTTTGGGTTCAGACTAATTTGAGTTCAAATTGTATCTCTGCCCACAGCCAGGTTATAACCTTATTGAAGCTATTTATCCTGTCTGAGCCCCAGTTCTCCTATTAAGGGAGAATAAGCAATACCTAATTCAGGAAGTTTTTATAAGCATTAAATGAAATTTTAAAAAATTGATTTACAGAATAATAGATGTTATAAAGTTAATAAATGTAAGTAATTATTAAAATATTCCTTTAAGAAGTATTATTTATGCCTATATTAGGTAATATACTGTTTAAGATATATGAAGTTTAAACATATATTTGTTGTAGAGATCAGAAATGTGAATATTTGAAACTTGGAGTTTCTAGAGAGGACTGGTAAGTAGGCAAAGTTGAAATTTCTTCTTAGCATCTGTCTCTTTCTCCAAGCAATTTGGACATAGTTTTCTCTGCTTCACTAAGCTACTATTCTCCCTTCTGATTTCCATTTTCCCAAACAATGTCATCTTTTGTCTCGCGTTGTTTCTTCTCCTATTCCTTGTCTTTGTGGGTTCACATCTGTTTGGGGGATGAGGGTGTCATTATAAATGTGGTATTCAATCAATCATGCCTAAGTGCAAGACTAATAAGTACTTTTTAAGAAAACTCAAAAGTGCCATTGGAAAACAGAAAAAGAGTAACAATCTCTACTTGGTTCAGTCTGGAAATAGTTTAGTAAATCAGAAACATTTGCAAGGGCAGGGTGGTTTGGGGCTAGAGAGACTGAAAATAGGGTAAGAAGTTGATGAATTGCCTAACTGTTTAGGGAATGAGGCTTCAGCGAAACAAGTACTCCATGCATGGAGTATTCAAGAACATTTCTGGAGGATTGGAAGAGTTCAGACTTTATGGCCATGGAAACCAGAAAACCTGGGGTAATATAGTCAGATTTCCATTTTATAATAACAATTCTTAAAACATCTTGAAGGAGAAATCAATGAGAGAGAAAATTGCAGGTGCAAAGAATAGGTAAGAGGCTGCTGAAAGAGACCAGACCAGGAATGAAGAGGGCTTGAGTACATAGTCTATCTGATGAGCATCGCAAATTTGATTTTTAGTGAACTCATTCTGTAATCTTAGGAGAGGCTCGCAGTAATGTGTTTCTCTGTCAGACTTAACTCATTTCTCTTTGTTTTTCATCTCTCCTCCTTCTACCACTCCCATTCCTAAACCATCTTCTCTATAAGTCCTTGCCGGGGACACCGATGCTAATTTATCTTCGCCTTGGGCTCCCCCATGTTATGCCATAGTGTTAAACAAATTTTCAGCTCTTACTACCATGAGCATGAGGTGGTATGCATAAATCTTACAGATTTGCTTTTCCTCTTTTCCCCCGCAAAACACTTATCTCTGAAACTGGCGCTGCATTGCTGATGCAATCACTAAAACGCTGTCCCCGTCCAGAATTCCAGATGGTATAAACAGCTTTTTATCTCCTATTGGAAAATGGCATATTCAGGGCAAGTTTACGCCTACATAAAATTTCATTGGCAAATTATTTGACACTCAGATAACTGATTAAATTAATTGAGCTTTTAATCTACATTGTTTTATGCAAAACAGTCTGTTTAATCCATTTCCAAATCTGGATATTTAAAAATAAAGTATTTTTGCTTTTCCTCATAAAAACAATTAATTTCTCAAATGTAACTAATTAGCCAACAAGGTATCATAAGAAATGAATGCCAGTTTTATAAAAGTTTACACTCTTGTATGCTGAAATCACTTTTGGCATTTATTATTCCCAATAAGCTACACATTTTGAATCTTAGGACAAACTGTAATGTTTATGCTGTACATATTTTTAAGATTTCATGAAATAATGTGGAGCTTACTCAGGGTAATTATTTATAAATCAAAATTCAATCATATTTGAGTTCATATACATTCAAAGAATAGAGATTAGATTAGTTTCTGAGGCTCTTGAGGTAAATCTACATTCCCAGAACAATTTAAAAAATTGCTAATAATTCACAATGGGTGATTTAGACATCTGGTAAACCTGAGCCCAGGTTTTAAAAATATTATCCTCAGCATCTGTGATACTTTGCTCTAATTATGTCAAAGCAATACAGAAATGGATGAAAATGAAAGCCTCCCAGGATTTGAGGTCATAAGGGAAAACATTTTGAGGTATTTGGGATTTTTTTTTAATTAAAAGTACTTGATTGCTTTACAACAGTTGCTCTCCTGGCAGGCAGTCTTTCCTAAGAAGATACCTTATCAGAAAGAAGGTTTTGTGAAATCATGCTCTAAGGGACATTGGCAGCTGTGTATGAACCTGAGATTTCCCTTATCCATCAAATATTATGTTTTTAATGCTGTTCTGGATAGAAGAGGGTCAAAAGTAGGATTTATAAATAAAAGGTGTTACATGGTCCGATCTCCCAATTCACAGAGGAAGTGTTTAAAAATAATATGACTTTTATAAACTGAAAGATGTAAATGCACTATAAACCTAGGAGATTGGTGTTCTCCATTGATCATTATCATACATTTGAGCAGTGGCAGTCTGAATAATGAACCAATGGGTTAAATGAGAAAGCCTGAATTAAATAGATCTAGGGCAAGTATGATTGCTACAGTGTTTTAAGTAACAAATTAAATATAAGGTTGGTTAAGAAGAGCTTACACATTAGAGATTGTCCAGTTGATAAGGAGAGGGGCAGGGAAGTGCTGGGTAGAGAAGGGCTGGGTCCCTGGCGAGGGCCCCTCCCTCAGGGCTTGTGCCCACGGACCTAAGTGAGGACAGGCACTCTTGTTTTTGCATCCAAATATTGCATTTTCCAGACCACTCTGGCCTGCCACAGCCCCCATCCTGTGCCTATAAAAACCCGAGAGCCTAGTGGGCACACACACAAGCAGCTGGACGTCGAGAGGAACACACCAACAGAAGAACACACCGACAGACTGACAGACCATCGACGGCACAACAACACGGATTCGGCCAGGGGCAAATGGAGGAAAGTCTGGCAGCCTGACTCCAGGGGAAGACCACCTGCCCACTCTATCCGCCTTCTGGCTCCCCATCCATTTGCTGAGAGCTACTTCCACCACTCAATAAAACCTTGCACTCATTCTCCAAGCCCACCTGTGACCCGATTTTACCTGTATACTAGGGCGAGAACCTCAGGATAGAGAAAGCCCTCTGTCCTTGCAATAAGGCGGAGGGTCTAATCGAGCTGATGAACCCAAGCCGCCTATGGACAGCTAAGCTGAAAGAGCATACTGTAACACACGGGGGCTTCAGGAGCTGTAAACACTCAACCCTAGATGCTGCCCTGGGGTTGGAGCCTATGTTTCCCATGACCTGCTCATCTGCATGCTCCCCCTAGGGGTTTGAGCTGTAGGACACTGAAGAATCGAACCACACCCCCATTGCACGCCTTGAGATGGGGATAAGGGAAATTTTCCCCGTTTCACAGTCAGGTAAGTTTTAGGGCTGGTAGTCAGTTTTAAAATAGCTGATATAATCAAATCATAAGGTACTAATCATTTTGGTTTGGTATAAATCTTTTACAATTATATTACTGAATTGGATGTTTCTGCATGTATGTTTCTTTTTCTTATGGAATACCAGTTTCAGCCATGAGATGTTTATGGCCCTCAGCATGTGGGAACCACTGTATTTTTAAATGATCATTTAAAATAATATTTACTACAAGGAAAATATTTATTTTATTTATAAAATATCTTTTTATGTACCTAAATAATTGAATGTTTTTGTTCAACATCTTCAACTAGATTTATAGCTCTGACAATGTACTGCTTGCAGAATTATGACTTTATTTCTTAAAATATAAATAATATTTTCTTTTAAAAAGTTTTAATACAGAAATGAAATGAGTGTCTAAAAAGTATACACTTCACACTAGACCTCATTAAGAACTCCACATTTTTAATAGTAAAAATGAAATCTACTAGCCACTAGGAATATTTCAATAATCAGATTATGAGTTCAAATAATGCCTGTTTCGGGCATCTGCTTCTTGAAATAAAAGGAAATTAAATGACTATGCTTCTTGGTTAATGTTCTGATAAAAGTCACTCTCATATGGCAATAGTTTTCTCAGTTTGTCATAGTTGTGGAATCATGAGTCAAAAATGTAATACCACAAGCTCTTAGCCACAAAATCCAAAACAGCTAATGAAGACTCCAGTATATTTCCTTAGAAAATTAAAACTCTGAAGTAAAATTTCCAATAGTTTTCTGTAGGAGCCACTGCTAACTATGTGTCCAAAATAGATATATCCTATTCCATGAAACAGGGATCCAATTGTAGTATAATCATTAAGGTAACAAGACCCTGTCAAGTGGCTATTTTCTTTCCCAAATCCAACCCCTACTTGCACAGTATTTGTTATTCAGTATTTGTGTTTTATTTAAAATGTATACTAGTGCTGCTTGAGAAAATTGAAGTGGTTTAAAATAAAACACAGGAATGATATAACGTTATAGTCTAAGTAAAAAATCACATAAAAAGAGAAATAAAACAATTAAACAGATCAATCATTCTAATACAGTTATTATGCTTCAGCATTAGGTTAATCTCAGAAATTGGTAGAAGTCAAGACAAACTAAACTCAATGGGTATAAAGAAGGAACAAGATTGAAATTAAAAAAAAAAAAAAGTAAACTTAAAGGGTAGCAACATATCCGTTAAGAGAAACACCTCACTCCCCTTTCTGTGGTTTGCTTTGTCTTCATGGGGTTTGTGACATAGGTTGCCCAACTAATATGTGGCAGTTTTTAAATCATAAATTGAGGATAAGAATAGTATCAATCATGATGGGTTGTTGTAGGAATTGAATTATTAACACATACATAATTTTGAGTTTTCCTTTGCACATAGCAAGATCTCAATAAGTACTACCTGTTAATATTAATCACTACCTGCCTATCATCACCAAATCTATCACCTGACTTATTTCCAGTTGGGGTAAAAGTAACCGAGACTGCATAAGTAACATATTCAAAATATATCTCATTCATTGGTAGGGCATAGAACCCAGGTCAGTTTCAAAGCCAATGCACAATCTAAGGTCCCAACAGGAGAGAGCTAACGTGCAATCCTCAATTGCATGCATTTCCTTTACTCTATCCGTGCTCTTTGCTGCAGCCAGGCCAGTATATTTTTCACATTTCCTGTCCAGCTTGACCCACATTTTCCTCTCTAAGAAATCAACAATATGTTTCTGTCTAAGCTTTAGAAAATCTCTTTTCTAATAAATCTGTCCAGGCTTGCTCGGCATTAGCTGTAGCATGATATTCATGCTGCTTCTCTCGTTCTGGGACTTTTCCTATTTGCCAAATCTTTAAGGAAGAAGACTTTGCTAGCAAAATTTAAATTGCTAAAAATAAAATTCTACTGTTTGTGATAACATTGATGAACCTGGAATAGATTATGGTTAGTGAAATAAACCGGTCATAGAAAGATACTAGATTGCACTTTAAATTAGGTACCTGGAATAGTCAAAAATCATGGAAGTGGAGAATAAAATGACTGTTGCCAAGGGATGGGGGAAGAAAGGAGAGGAAAATCGTTGCTTAATGGGAGTAGGGTTTTGATTATGCATGATGAATACATCCTAGAGATTTGCTGTGCAACATAGTGTCTACAGTTAACAATGCAGCATTGTACACTTAAACATTTGTTAAGAGGGTGAGCCTCATATCTGTTGTTATCACACACAAACACACAGTTCAAAGCACACACACACACAGAGGTACACAAGGAAAATTTTGGAAGTGATAAATAGGTGTATTACCTTGACTATGGTTGTGATATTAAATATACATATGGGTGTATGCATGTTTCCAAACTCATAAAATTGTATATATTAAACATGGGCAGTTTTTTTTTTCTTTTGGTATATCAACTGTACTTCAATAAAGCTGAAAAAAAGGCAAAATGTGATGAGACACACCAAGAGCCTGGACACATGGCTTGGATACTTCCACCAAAAAATCATCTATTCCTTCAACAAGCATTAATCAAACAACTTCTTCTCCTTCCTCCTCCTTTTCTTCTTCTAATTCTTCTTCTCCTTCTTCTCCTTCTCCTGCTTCCCCTTCCCCTTCCTCCTATTCCTCCTCTTCCTCCTCCTGCTTCTCCTTCTCCTTCTCCTCCTCCTCCTCCTTTTCCTCCCCCTTCTCCACCTCCTCCTCCCCCTTCTCCTTCTTTTTCTCCTTCTACTCCTTCCTACATTTTAGAGACAGGGCACTGCTCTGTTGCCCAGGCTGGGCTGGAATGCAGTGGTTCAATCTCAGCTCACTGCAACCTCTGCCTCCTGAGCTCAAGCTATCCTCCCCACTCAGTCTCCTGAGTAGCTGGGACTACAGGCATGCACCACCACCTTGGGCTAATTATTTGTATTATTTTTTCTTTGTAGAGATAGGGTTTCACCATTTTCTCTAGGCTGGTCTCCAACTCTTGGGCTCAAGTCATCCTCACACCTTGGCTTCCCAAAGTGCCTGGATTACTGTCATGCACCACTACACTCAACCAATCAAACTTCTAATACCTGGCAAGTATTGTGCTAGCAATTGTCACTTTTAGACATGGTACTTACATTTTACTATTGAAAGGAACTGCTTAGGCTTCAACTTTATTAATTCAATTCTATGTCATGCAACATGTTCGAATATAATTTATGGCTTTAGTCTTCAACTAGATTATTTTAATGTCAATCCTCTGAAAAAATGGGTAGCAAAATTGATGCTCTGTAAATACAAACTTAAGTCAGTGCTCTTTGCTGCCAAATTAATGCAACCTAACTGAAATAAAATGAAAAATTGCATGGTTTATATTACAAAGATTAATGTCAGTGATGACAATCTATTAATATGATATGTAAGATGTTAATTAAAAAACTAAGTAATTCTTCGGTTTGTTTGTTTAAGTGAATGCCGCCTTTTGTGACCTGGAGACATTTAATTTTTCCTGGTGATTGGAGATGCTGTCATCTGCAACCCTTTGAGTAGCAGGATCTTTATTGGTATGTGGGCCTTATTGGAATGGCATTGGTAGATGCTAAATTACATGGGTGAAATTGTAAACAGAACTCAACTGATTGAAATGCCATAACTCTGGAATATTGTCAGGATTGGAACAGAGCATTAAACATACCCAGGCAGGATTATTCCTAAGTGTCAGTCATGAATGTTATTTTCTTTGGCTTTTAATGGGTGTTACCATACATGAACAAAGGAAGGGTATGTGGCCAAATAAATTTGGTATAGCTAGTAAAGTTAAATCTGTTCCTTTGCTGTAGAATTTCTCAGTTCTTAACAATGGTTAAGGGCTTTGTGAAGATTTGAGTGAATACACAGTCTTCAGTGACATGTAAATTCACCTCCACTGTCTGTCTCTCCCTTTTTATATGCATGTTTACTTTCATGAAATATCTCACGGGACCTTTGTTTTCTGGAATATATCTACTTATAGCCTGATTATATCCAAAACACTTTTACAGATAATAACACTGAGCCCTGTAGCTGTTAAAGGATTAATTTGTGGAAAAATGAAAAGAACTAGGTGGTGTGGAAAGAATTTGAAGGCACAGGGCTTGTGTTTCTCATATAAAAAATATGAAACCTTGGACACAGGTGTCACATTGCAATGAATCATTCAATAGAAGGCTTTAATAGTTGTGGTGAGGAGCAAAGTGAAAACATGTCATACTGGGTCATGATATGAATGCCAAATTCAGGAGATTAAGATAATAAATACAATTAATATGGGAGAGCCAAAAGTTTGAAGCTAGAGTGAGACGCAGAATGGGGAGAGAACATAGGACATCATCAAAGGTGACAGAAAGGGCAAAATATGATCTTTAACCCTGCTAGTTCAGCAATAACACAACAATTAAAGATTTAATATAGAAACTGTCTTTTCATATTCCATTTACTTTAAAAAAAATAGCTTTCTTCACTATCTGATAAAATGTTCTTGAGTTGGAGGGAGGGGCACTAAAGATTTTGGAGGGGCACATGTTAGAGAATAAAGGAGCTTCATACCCCTCAAAGAGAAGACTTCAATTTTAGACTTGTATCTCTTTGTAAGGACCCTTGGAAATTAACAGGGATTGTCCATACTCTGAGAGGAAGTGGCTTCTCTGTCTAGTTTCTACCACTTATAATTATGTTGGTCTTTTTAAAATTTCATTTTTCTTTTTCTTATTTTCTACTTTCACCCTTTTCTTCTTTTTCCTTCCATCTTTTCTTTTCTCTTTTCTATCACTTTCTTCCTTTCTTCCATTCTTTCTTCTTCGTTTCCTTCCTTAATTCAGTCCTACTTGCCTCCATGCCTTTCTTTCTCATTGATATATATTGAAAATGCTCCCCTATTCTCTCATATATGCATGCATTTTTGCCTATTTGTTTTATATTTGTTTGCCCTTGTGCTTATTTGTATAGAAACAAATGATTCAGCAGTAATTTTTAAATTTTCATTGAAATATTTTTAGATGCATACAGCAAATGAGAAAGTCCAAACGACTGCAAATTTGGAAAGCTTCCTGAATTTTGCTTAGGAAACTTTGGAAGTCAGATAGACTTTCCAGATGTAAGTGAATGTATCACATTCTTACAGCCAAGAGCACTTGTGATGTGTGTTGTTTTCTATTTTGTTTTTAGCACTCTGGGCAAATACAACCGTAAAGCAATACAAGCCAAATAAATAACATTAAAAGACCTTCCAGGGCCTTTGTTTTATCAAGTGAGGAAGGTGGAAATAATATTATATCTTCCTTCTTCTTCTTAACCTTTTTACAAAATCTCATTCTTTTCAACACAGATATTGTTTTTACCATCAGTAGGCATGTGTATGACAGGTAGCACAGTCTGGAGAAACAAGCCTACTTAAGTCATCATTCTAAAGGACACACTGTTTTCCATTCTTCCCATTCTGGGCATCCAGTTCTGTGGTCGGCAAGTCATTGCCTCACATTAAAAACACAAAAAGTTAATTAATTCATTTAGCCAACATTAGTTTATGAAGCAGTTTTATGTGCTAGGCGTATGTGTGACTCACAGTCTAATGAATATTGTTTTTAAGAGTGGGGGAGACAATAAGTGAAGGGAGAAATGAAGAAGATAATTTTGTATGGTGAGGAGTATTGTGAGGGTAATAACGATAGGGGGCATTGGTCCACTGAGAGTGATCAGGGTGGGGTGAGGGTGGCAGGAGCTTAATAAGAATGGCTAAAGAATGTCTTAGTAAGAAGGTACTTGTTGTGGCTTTGTGTGGTGGCTCACGCCTGTAATCCCAGCACTTTGGGAGGCCAAGGCAGGCGAATTGCCTGAGCTCAGGAGTTTGAGACCAGCTTGGGCAACACGGTGAAACCCTGTCTCTACTAAAATACACACACACACACACACACACACACACACACACACACAAAAGAAAAGAAAAGAAAAAAATTAGCCGGGCATGGCGGCATGCACCTGTAGTCCCAGCTACTCAGGAGGCTGAGGCAGAAGAATTGCTTCAACCCGGGAGGCAGATGTTGCAGTGAGCCGAGATCACGTCACTGCACTCCAGCCTGGGGAACAGAGTGAGGCTCAAAAAAAAAAAAAAAAAAAAAAAAGAAAGAAAGAAGGTACTTGTCACCTGAAAGACAGGAAGAAACTAGCTGTAAGTGTCTCAGAGAAAACACAAGTGCAAAAGCCCTGAGAAAGAAAGGATGTCTATGCTAGAGAGAAAAAGAAGATAGAGAAGACTTATGCTAGAGAGAAAAAGGAGATAGAGCAGAAGCTTGGCCCATGCAGGTATAGTTTTACTAGCACCTGCGTGGGCCAAACGATGCAGGTGCTAGTGAACTGTTTTGGGGAGTAGATGTAATTCTGTATGCAGTAGAAACGTCTGAGAGATTTTAACAAGCTGAGAAACATAATATCATTTGTGTTTTTAAAAGATTGTATTTTTTTTGGTAGAATGATTTATTTTCCTTTGGGTATATATACAGTAATGGGATTGGTGGGTCTAATGGTAACTCTGTTTTAAGTTTTTTGAGAAATCTCTGACTGCTTTCTGCAGTGGCTGCACTAACTTACATTTCCACCAACTGTGTACAAGTATTCCCTTTTCTCAGAACTCACACACATCTGTTGTTTGTTAACTTTTTAGTAATAGCCATTAAATTATTGTACCAAAAGGACACGTGCAATCATATGTTCATTGCTGTGCTATTCACAATAGCAAAGACATGTGATCAACCCAGATGTCAATCAGTGGGAGAATGGATAAAGAAAATGTGGTACATATACACCATGGAGTACTACACGGTCATAAAAAAGAATGAAATCATGTCCTTTGCAGCAATATGGATGCAGTTGAAGACCATAATCCTAAACAAATTAACACAGGAATAGAAAACCAAATACTGCATCTTCTCACTTACAAGTGGGAACAAAAGATTAAGTACACACAAACATAAACATGAGAACAAAGACACTGTGGACCACTAGAGGAGGTAGGAAGAGAGGAGGATGTGTCTAATAGAATGATAGTGGCCAGATGATATTATTTGTGTTTCTGGATGAAGGCAGGTGTGCAATTTTTATGCTTGGTTTATTAGACAATAATTTTTTTCTTTATTTATACTGTTTAAGTTTCTATTTCTCCCAACAATAATTGTGCACACATATATACCATTTTGCCCAATAACTTTATCTCTCTACTTCCTGCAAATTAATATAGGAAAACTTAAGTGGGAAGACAGACTGTCAAATGAAAAATGAATATAGAGAGATATTGATATGATGTGTAGGAAGAAAAGATATGTGTAGAATTTAAACATTTAAAAAGTGGGTCTGTTTTAACTATTGCAAAGTTGACAATGTTTTAAGTACAGCATTTTAAGGTTGTTTTTTCTTTGTTTCAATATAATGAAATAACTAAGCTAAGGGCTTTATCTTTGAGGAAGATAGCTTTTAGAAAAAACTGTGGGGGATGAGTACAAGTTGGTGCCTTGAACATTGCTGTCTACTTTATCAGCTCTCAAGATGAATGTAAAGGAACTAGCAAATGGGATAGGCTAGTATTTTCATCTGTGTCCTCAATTAAAAATGTAGTGAAACTGGCTGTGCACGGTGGCTCACGCCTGTAATCCTAGCACTTTGGGAGGCTGAGGCAGGCAGATTGCTTGAGCTCAGGAGTTCAAGACCAGCCTGGGCAACGCAGTGAAACCCCCTCTCTACTAATACACAAAAGAAATTAGCTGGGCATGGCGGTGTGCACCTGTAATCCTAGTTACCCTGGAGGCTGAGACAAGAGAATTGCTTGAACCTGGGAGGCAGAGGTTGCAGTAAGCTGAGATGGAGTCACTGCACTCCAGCCTGGGTGACAGAGAGATACTCTGTCGCTACAAAAAAAAAAAAAAATAGTGAAACTTCAATAATTTTGTATGGTAGAATAAGTCTCATAAGAGTCAATAACATGTCAGTTTTTTTGTTTGTTTGTTTTTTTGACCGAGTCTCGCTCTGTCACCCAGGCTGGAGTGCAGTGGCACGATCTCAGCTCACTGCAAGCTCCGCCTTTCGGGTTCATGCCATTCTCCTGCCTCAGCCTCCCAAGTAACTGGGACTACAGGCGCCTGCCACCACGCCCGGCTAATTTTTTGTATTTTCAGTAGACACGGGCTTTCACTATGTTAGCCAGGATGGTCTCAATCTCCTGACCTCGTGATCCACCCGCTTCGGCCTCCCAAAGTGCTGGGATTACAGGTGTGAGACATCGTGCCTGGCCAAGAACATGTCAGTTTTAGAAGAACAGTGAGTAGGCTGAGCCCAGCATGCGTGAAAGAGATGTCAGGAAAGAGGAGCACTGGGTCCACAGTCAAATATCAGACCCACCATGGAAGGCAAAGTGTGATCAATGGCCAGAGACCTAGAGTCAAAGAGGAGAACTGCAGGAGACACACAAATGGATATGAGTCCATGCCAAAAACTTGCATAACCAGTGGATTAGTTCAAAATGAAAATGGAACGTTGAGTCAGGAGAAGACAGGGGCATGAAATTCAATTTTTAAGTTTTTTATGAACTTCCTTTAAAAAAAATCTTTTAAATTTAAGAACAGTCTGAGATTTATAGAGAGTTGTGAAGACAGCACAAAGATCTCATATACCCTTGCACCAGTTTCTCTAGTATTGATATTAAGTTGGTGCAAAAGTAATCGCGGTTTTGGCCATTACTTTCAATGGCAATTACTTTTGCACCAACCTAAGATTACGTATTAGTATCGACATTTGTTACAAATAATGAGCCAATATTGATACCTTATTATTAATTAAATTTGCTACTTGATTCAGATTTCTCTAGTCTTTACCTAATGTCCCTTTTCTGTTCTTGGATTTTCTCTAAGGATTGTATCTCTTTAGGCTCCTGTTGGCTGTGGAGAGTTCCTTAGATTTTCTTGTTATTGATGATCTTAAAAGTGTTAAGAAGTACTGCAGGCATTTTGTAGAATGCTCTTCTATTGATATTTGTCTGATCTTTGTCTCAGAGTCAGACTGAGAGGCCTGTGTTTTGGAGGTAAACTGTCCATTTTCATCAGATCACATCAAGGGTATATACTATCAACATGACTTATCACTGTTGATGTGAATCTTTATCATTTGATTGAAGTAACATTTACCATGTTTCTCCAGTGCAAAGTCACACACACACTCACTCTCTTTCTATAGTATAGTTTGCCACAGGAAGTCACTATGCATAGTCCATGCTTAAAAATTGAGGGATTAAGTTTCACTTCATTTGAGAGTGGAGTATCTATGTAAATTATTTTAATTCTTCTGCATGGGGCAGTTGCCAAACTTTACTTAATTATTTATTTATTTATTTATGTATATCAGTATAGATTCATAAATTTATTTTATTGTTCAAATTCTTCCAGCTTTGACCACTGGGAACTCTTTCAGTTGGTTTGCGTGTCTATCTTTAATTGTGTGTGTGTGTGTGTGTGTGTGCGTGTGCGTGTGTGTGTTTAGCATTTCCTTATTTCTTGTCCCATAATATGTTCCTAGCTCATCTTGTCTATTTCCTGCCCTAGTCATAGATTCAGCTTTTTCTCCAAAGAGCTATGGGCCTATTTTTAAAAGGTCTTTTCATTTTCATATATTTTTGAAGCAATGCTCTGAACCTTGAGATACAGATCAATCTATATGACTATTGGATTGAACAAAATAATTCAGAGATAAAATGGAAAAGATGCACTCTCATGGGAGTTTTCTAGTTTGCATCAATTCATATTATGAAGTAATTTGAGCCTTAGAATAAACCCTGGTGCTGCACAGGAGTCAGCCTAGTAAATCATGCAACCCTGAAGGAATCTCAACATGACTGATACAAATACATAGAACCTAAATTGTATTGTTTTTCCCCTCCTAAATTTTGTTAAACACCTGTATATATGAGCATGCTAAATCCTCACTCACTACCAAACCTTCCCTTAACCAGATCAATAAAATAAATAAACAGCCATATTAGTTAATCAAGATTAATTTTTTATCTGTTTGACATATACCCAGAGCCTAGCTCCAGTGAAGTACTGGATGTAGCACTTCATAATTATTTTTTGTATAGTTCATGAAGTCCCATTCTGAGTCAAGCAATCAGTTAGAAACCAGATATCCAGCAATAATGACAGATAAGTAAGCCGACTCTCTCTCTTTCTCTCTGTTTTCACAAAGGCATAATTTAAGTCTTTTGGGAATGTATATACAAAATGGCTAACTCATTCTAGGGAGGTGGACTTCTGTTTTTTCCAACCTAGAAAAATATATATTCTAAGAAGCACAGCTTTATAACTTTGAGGGTGGTACTCAGCTTTCAAGCTTCTCATTCAAATGCTAGCTCATTAATCAATCACTCTTGTCTTGATCTCCAAAGTCAAAGTAACTTCATCTTCCTGATTCCACATTGCTGTGCCTACACTTATCTTCTAGCAATGAAAGTATTTTTTCCACCATAGATTCTGAGTAATTTTTTCTTTCCTGAGCAGTAACCAAAGATTTGTGCTTTGGATTTATTCAACTCCACCTTAAAAAGTGCATTATGAATTACAAATAGCAGGTCTTCAACAAATATTTGTTGAATGTGTGGATAAACAACATCAGGTATTGCTATGGTGTCAGTTTTGGATGATATGTTTTTAAGTTATAAGGATCACAGAATCAGTTCCAGTTGGGGCTACAAATGGTTTTTATTAAAATTTAATTAAATCATTTTCAGTTGATAACCAAGTCCTAAAAAGGATACATGACTGGACTAAGGTCAAACAGCTAATATATTTGTTGTGCAAGGACCTAAATTTAGCTCACCTGTCAGTGTTTGGATATCTTATTGTACCATATAATTACACACTGCAGTATAGCAACTGTCTTAGTCCATTTTACACTGCCACAACACAATACTGCAGGCTGTGTAATTTATAATGAGCAGTAATTTATTTGCTTGCAGTTCTGGAGGCTGGGAAGTCCAAGACCCGAGGGACCTACACCTGGCAAGAGCCTTCTTGTTGCATCATTTCATAGTGGAAGATGGAAGGGCAAGAAAGAGAAGGTAAAAGGGGGCTTAACTCACCCTTTTAGGGCAGCACCAATCTCACCCATGAGGGTGAAGCCTTCATGACCTAGTTACCTTTTAAGGTTCCTACCCCTTAATACTATTGCAATGGGAATTAAATTTCAACATGAGTGTTAGAAGGGATAAACATTCAAACCACAGCAGCTACCTCCTCATTTTCTGATCCAAGACATACTATGCCTTCATCATAATAAAGGTAATTCTCAAAATAATTTTCCAGGAGTTTGTGACAACCATCAAAGCAAGAAACAGACTTCCAGATAAACATTTCTGAAAGAAATTTCACTTTTTTTTGGTGGTGGTTGGGGGGACTCCATATGCTATTCTGTTGGCTGTGCATGATTTCACCCATTTTAGGAGGCTGCTCACCGTGTTAAGTAGCGAATATGTGGGAGACTGGAAACATTGTTACAATTATAATGTTTACAGCAGCCCTCTGCTGACTACATAAACATGGGCTGCCCATTAGTCCAGCAAAATTTTCAACATTAAACATGCAAAGACTGCAGGAAGCCCTCAATCATAGTTGGAAAGATCATTTATCACTCAATTGTAATAGCTTTAGTTCTTAGTATTGTAGGCAGGACAATGAATTGGCTGTAGAATCAAAGAGCTAAGTTGGAAACTCTCCTCTGTAGTAGCTCACTAACTAGCTATGTAAACTTGAAAAAGTTACTTCTTAAGTCTTTGTTACTTTATAGATGTCCTTATTTTCACTGGGTTCTTGCAAATGTATTGCTGTATTTTATTTTTCTACCATCCTTATACCATCTCTGAACCTCTGTGAACTTCTTTGATGTTTATTATCCATATGGATTTTCCATTATGTACAATCTTGTTTTCCCTTTACTAGATTACAGATTTTTTTACATAAGCACACATACACTTATGCAACCACCTTCATCCATTATCTAGTACAGGCATCAAATATAAACAAAGCCAGACACTAAAGGACAGATTTTAATCAGTAATATACTATTGCAATAGGGAAGAGTCCAGTGTGAACTGAACTCAGCTTCAAATTGTACGGAGGTGACTGTGTTTGAAAGAGAATGGGCCAGGCGTGATTGCTCATGCCTGTAATCCCAGCACTTTGAGAGCCAAGGGCAGGAGGATCGCTTGAGCCCAGGAGTTCAAGACCAGCTTGGGCAACATGGTGAGACCTAGTTTCTACAGAAACAAAAATAAAAAATTGGCCAGCTGTGGTGGCTTGTGCCTATAGTCCCAGCTACACAGGAGGCTGAGGTAGGAGGGTTGCTTGAGGCCAGGACATAGAGGCTACAGTCAGCTGTGGTTGCGCCACTGCAGTCCAGCCTGGGTAACAGAGTGAGACTATGTCTCAAAAAAAATAAAAATAAAGAAACAATGAGGAAATAGGGAGGAAGTGAGCAGGGGCTCAGTAGACTCAGGGAAGTGAAAAGCTATAAAAAGCAGTGAGAGGTGACACCTGCTGGCAGCCCTCGCACGCTCTGGGCGCCTCCTCGGCCTTGGCGCCCACTCTGGTCGCGCTTGAGGAGCCCTTCAGCCCGCCGCTGCACTGTGGTAGCCCCTTTCTGGGCTGGCCAAGGCCGGAGCCGGCTCCCTCAGCTTGCGGGGAGGTGTGGAGGGAGAGACGCGGGAACCGGGGCTGCGCGCGGCGCTTGCTGGCCAGCGCGAGTTCCGGGTGGGCGTGGGCTTGGCGGGTCCCGCACTCGGAGCCGCCAGCCCGCCCCGCCAGCCCCGGGCATTGAGGGGCTTAGCACCTGGGCCAGCAGCTGCTGTGCTTGATTTCTCGCCGGGCCTTAGCTGCCTCCCCGCGGGGCAGGGCTCGGGACCTGCAGCCCACCATGCCTGAGTCTCCCCCCCCACACCCCCGCCCTCCGCTGAGGGCTCCTGCGCGGCCTGAGCCTCCCTGACGAGCGCAGCCCCTGCTCCACGGTGCCGGGTCCCATCGACCGCCCAAGGGCTGAGGAGTGCCAGAGCACCGCGTGGGACTGGCAGGCAGCTCCACCTGTGGCCCCGGTGGAGTGAAACCACTGAGTGAAACCACCTGGGCTCCTGAATCTGGTGGGGACTTGGAGAATCTTTATGTCTAGCTAACAGATTGTAAATACACCAATCAGCATTCTGTATCTAGCTCAGGGTTTGTAAACACACCAATCAGCACCCTGTGTCTAGCTCAGGGTTTGTGAAGGCACCAATTAACACTCTGTATCTAGCTAATCTAGTGGGGAGGTGGAGAACTTTTGTGTCTAGCTCAGGGATTGTAAACGCACCAATCAGCACCCTGTCAAAACGGACCAATCAGCTCTCTGTAAAACAGACCAATTGGCTCTCCGTAAAATGGACCAATCAGCAGGATGTGGGTGGGGCCAGATAAGAGAATAAAAGCAGGCTGCCTTGAGCCAGTAGTAACAACTGGCTCTGGTTTCTTCCTGCTTTGTAGCAGGTATGTTCTTTTGCTCTTTACAATATATTTTTCTGCTGTTCACTCTTTGGGTCTGTGGTGCATTTATGAGCTGTAACACTCACCGCGAAGGTCTGTAGCTTCACTTATGAAACCAGGGAGACCATGAGCCCACTGGGAGGAAAGAACAACTCCAGACACTCTGCCTTAAGAGCTGTAACACTCACTGTGAAGGGTTGTAGCTTTACTCCTCAGCCAGTGACACCACGAACCCACCAGAAGGAAGAAATGCCGAACACATCCGAACATCAGAAGGAACAAACTCCAGACACGTCGCCTTTAAAGAACTGTGACACTCACCGTGAGGGTCCGCGGCTTCATTCTTGAAGTCAGTGAGACCAAGAACTTACCAGTTCCGGACGCAGCAGGACGGGGACATAGTCCACGTGAAACCCATCTGGTTTTACTAATTGGCTCTTATTGATGGTAGGCCCTTCCCACACCTACAGAGACTGGGAATCAGAGACTCCATTGTTAGGTGCCGGGTTGTGCGAACAGTAAATTATTTTGGCAGAGTTGAGTTTTCCCAGGCAGGCACTTTGAAAGAAATTAAGTTAATCTTAAGGAAGTGGCCTCATTGAGCTACTATGAACTATATTAGTGTGTTTTTGAAGTCTTTATAAGTCAAAGTTGAAGCTTAGATGAGAAAAAGCTCAGATAAACCTGGTTAGAGTTTGGTCAATAAGAGGGTCTTTATCTCATGGCTTTTCAACCTCAACACTATTGATATTCTGGGCTGGATACTTCTTTGTTGTGGAATGGGGCTCTGTCCTGTACACTGCAGAATGCTTAGCAGTATCCCAGACTCTTAACTAAATGCTAGTAGCAGCCCCTTTTATTTCCCCAGTTTAACAACCAAAAATGACTCCAGACTTTGTAGAATGTCCCCTGGGGTCAAAATTGCTTCCAGTTGAGAAGCAGGGATCTAGTACACTGCTGTTCATAGTGTAAAACACACCAGTTCCGAGTTGGGAAAGTGTCTATTGGATGCTCTGCCCAGAACTTTGTGTAGCTCCAATTGGCTTCATCCTCTTTACTCCCTAAAAATGCTCCCATCCATTCATTTCTGATTCCTACTAGTAGGACAATTATCTATCAATCTAGGCAGAAACTTCAGATACGTCCATGACTATATTTTTACTACTTTCTTATGTACGCTAATGACAACTCTCAAATCAGTCTCCTACTTCCTTCCTACCCTTGCTCCTTCTTTTTTCAACGAATATTTAGAAAAGGAAGGTAATATTTAACATATATTTCCTTTGTCCTTGCATAACTACCCATTAAGCAAAATTATGTCTTAAAACATAAAACTAAGAACTAAGAATTAAAATTTAGATATTTAAAATGTGTAATAAGATTAAACCAAAGATTCCTTCTTGTCTCAGCTGTAATCTATCACTAGAATTCAATACCGTGCCTCATCATACTGAGTCATTGCACTAATATCGCTTTAAGACATCCAAAAGCAGTGTCATTGATACACCTGGGTCAGCTCCATTAACTTTATGACACAGATTTGGCTACTTTGGTGATTTGACAAAGATGGTGACATTTGCTCGGAATGACATCAATATATAGCAACTTTGTGATTGAGATTGGTCAATCTGCTTAAATGTGGTATAGTTAAAATTCATTAATCAGCATAGGTGATTTCTGTGAGTCAGTATGAAAGATTCTGTGTGTATGAGAGAGAACAGAGATCATTATTTAAACAATATTGTCACATTTTCATGTTATTTTTTCTGAATGAAAGGCCTCCATTGCTTTTGAACTCAACCATTTTACTTTTTCTGTATCAAAATAAAACTGCCTTTCAGGAAAGAAATTAAAGCTCATCACAGATGGTGGCCGTCTCATTCAGTCATCTTGTTCATTTCAAGTAAATCCCTATTCCTTTCTTCTGGAAAATTTCTAATCCTTGGAAAATCAACTCTATCAGACATTCCTTCCCCCTCCCATGCCAGAGGTATTGAAAGATAAAAGTAGAATTGATGACCTTGAAATATGAGAAGAACATTATCCAGTCACCATTGTAGGGTACAGAACCTTCACTTCCTTAGAACAGGTGGTAAAACAATTACAGATGTGCAGCTGTTCTATGCCATCAAATTCTCCCTGGAAAAGCTGGAGGTGATTGTTATGTAAAAAATGTGTTTTATCTTCACAGAATATATTTAATAAAACTGTGAGGTATGTAAATTTGCCAGCCAGAGGTAGAGGCATTTTAAAATTGGACTAGAGTTTTGTTTATATTAAGAAATTACACTTATTGTGTAAATCATAAATTAGCATAATAGAAACATCTCTGTAATAAAAAGCTGCCATTCTATTACCACATAGCTTTATTTCTATGAGACTTTATTAGCATTGAATATCAAGCAGGCCAGGAGATGTAATATATTGCCTGATGTGGTATTGTGGAATGGAAAACATACTCCATGAATATGCAAACTCTATTTCCATACATAAAAATAGTTCTATAAATATGTTATTGTGTTATTGGACATATTTATAGAACAATAACACAAACATGGTGGCTGTCATATTTTTCTTAGCATACCTCATACTGCATATATCTGTAATTATAATGCATTCAAAATATATCTTTGCTATTTAGGACATGAAATGATAAATGTATGCAGGGTCCTACCATAGGCATAGCAATAAAAAAGATGTCATGGAAAAGGGTGGTGGGAAGAATGGGAGGAAAAACAATCTGGGAAAGGGAAAGCAGGAAACAAAAGGAGAAAGTAAAACGTTATTGGTTGTTCACTTCTTTGAAGCCTAAATATTACTCCTGAGGTTGGTGTATGATGGTCGTTGCAAAAATAAAAAGAGACCTTAATAAATGAATGGAAACTCTCCCGATGTCACTCAGTAAGCTTGAGTTTGAATTCAGTCCCTCTGATTATGATCCCCTTGTCCATTTCTTATTTTAGCTTCTTGGAGAAGAAATGGGAGGGAGAGGGCAGGGAAACTGGATGAACACACTTGGTAGCCAGCACTCTCAGCTTCCACCAGAGGCTCCCACTGGCGTCTAGTTTATGCATGAGAATTCTGCATACTTTTATGTTTGTAGAGGAATTTGGAAACAATTGCACTAATTTGTCCAAGCATCCTGTTTTCTATGAGTTTGTATTCTCATCCGTATGGCAAAACCCTCTATTCAAAAACACTAAAAAATGGCAAATATTTCAGTATGAGTGAAATAAGATCCTTGTGTAGCTGGAAGATGTTGGTGAGGTTGCTTGATAAAGACGGAAGGAAGTGAGACTTGACTTAGGTCCTGAAACATGGGCAATGGTTGGTGATAGGAGGGGAGAGAGAAGGGATTATAGATGAGGGAGAGTCTCTCTAGTTCTAGGAACCCAGATTTTATCACTCAATAGCACTTCCTGTAAGTTTCACTGGGAAAGGTTTCTCTCTTGAACAGAGAGAATAGAGATGGGAATTAGCAGTGTTTATGTAGCAATTGAGAGAAAAGCTTGATTAAGGAGGGAATGTTAAGAAATAGTGAACAACCAAATTGCCTCTATATAAAATATTTGGAGCAGACCATCCAGGGTCATCCACTATTGAGAACGCATCTGGAAAAAAAAAAGGGCCCAGTGCTTTACAAGAAAGCCACTTTGAATTGTTAAAATAAGTATATTAACACAATTTGATTTGATGAGCACTTTGTGTTATGAAAGGCTTTCTTACATGTAGACAAAGTAAGTCGAGGGCCCATCATCTCCATAGAGGCTCTTGGATAACGCTCTCTATAAGTCCAGCCCCAGTTTCCAAAGTTTTCACCATACCAATGCTGTCCTTCTCTGATTTCACCCTCATTTGGGTCACACTTTTCTGTTGGTGTAATACAGGGGTGAACAGCACAGACACTGGGGTTAAACTTTCTGAGCATAAATTTCAGCTTGGATACTAATAGAGTGACTTTGGGCACTTATTGAATCATGTGTGTCTCCCTTTCCTCATATGGATGTAAAGATAATCACAGGTCAACAGACAGCGTTGAGGGCTAAGTGAGACAGCACAGGTAAGTGTTGACCCCAGGCCGTCCACAGCACAAATACTTGTTGAATATGAGTTGTTTCCTTTAAAACTGGCACAAGCATTTTTACATTATATAGTATTTAAACTCAGTTTTTGTTTCCTGTTATATCATAAACTTTTTACAGAGCTTATTGACACAGTATTTTTCTTTCCCTTCAATTTTCCACGGACTAAAAGGGAGGAAGAAGAGCTTTCTCTGGAAATGAAATCAAGCAGCTTTCCTTGTATTGAAAGGTAAATTGCCTTTTCAGCCTCATCATGTTATACCGCTCAATATAGGAAATTAGAGAGTTAATGAGATGCCACAAGCTTCCATATTCTCTCCCACTGCACAGAAAGCTGTGTCTTCTCTGCCAATCAGGTAATTTTAATTTATTGGCATTTGGGATTCAGCAAGATACAAAAAGTAACTCTGCATGCCAACTCTACCAAAATTTCTAAAAGAAGTTAGTAGGAGTACTCATATATATGGCTTTCTTTTTTTTTTTTTGTCTAGGGCCATGTATGACTGCTAGTTTTATTAGGACTCTCTGGAACTTCAATCGTTGAAGATTAATTACACCCACCCAGTTTAAAAGGCAGGGTAGTGATATGATTAAGAGATGGGTACTGGAATTGTACTTTAAAGGTTCACGTTTTGGTGACTACCCTCACTAATGTGTGACATGAACATTATGAGCCCACAATTTTCTTATCTGGGAATTTTGAAAGTATCTAAAATTTGAGGGCTGACAAAAGATTAACACAGCACAAAAATGGGTCTACTCTGATGTCTGGCACATATACACACACATTCATACATATACATAAGTCATTTAGTAGATGTAATTGTTACTGCTAAAGCCATATTCTAGGCACTGTGAGCTAGGCAGAGAGCTTGGGTTCCAGGAAGACAAAAGTTGTATAAAAAGTCACAATGAGATGGGTGAGAGGCAGGTTATATACATTTTGCTAAGAGCGTAGAAGAGAAGAACAGGCAAAAAACATCTATTAACAGAAGCCCTCACATGTACTAGGCACTGCACAACCCCTTATAAAGTTGGTATTGTTATTGCTTTTGTGCAGGTGAGCAAACTGAAGCTCTAAGAGATAAAAGTTACTTTTCTGAACTCCACACCTCAAAAATAAGCCAAAATTCATTTAGCCACGGAATCCATGCTTTTCATACTTCACCATACTTTATTTATTTATTCTTGGTAGAGGGGTTAGTCAAAGCTTCACAGCCCTACAGAAAGTATCTTTTGAATGTAGCTTGCGTGGTCATTACATTGCCAAAAGAGAGGAAACAGGGCTGAATTTCCAAATTGTATATTTGTACGTTTATATACGCCACTTTAAAAGGAAATCCATTTGTCTATCAAGAGATACTTCGATTGCTTCCATATCTTGACCTCCTTTTTTTTCTGATAATGTTATGTTATTGTTTGGAATCTCAAATTATCTCTTTCCTTGTAGGGCTTATAAATTGTTTATTGAGAGAATGCATGAGAGGAGGTCATGGCTCCAGTAGAAAGACAGAAATCCTGGTGAAATTAGTTTTGAGAGTGAGCTTTCAAAGCAATGGTGATTTTTAGAATGTTCAAGAGACAATGAATGCAGAGAACAAGAAAATAAACCGGTGACATTTATTCCTTTATGTTTGATTCAGCAAGTATGTCTGAAATATCTGCTCTGAATCAAGCACTCTTAAAATTTTAAGTTGTATAAACTAATGATCAATGGAGGAAATGTAATGAAATGAAAGAAAAGATTGGAGCAGAAATGAGGAGGGAAGACAGAGAAGAATGCATACACAGGAAAGATATAAAGATGGGTGAACGTTGAGAATGTTGAATGTTGAGAGAAAGTAGAGTGTTAAATATTGGATGTGTCATAACATGAAGACGCAAAAGGCCAGAATTCCAGCATTAATCTTGTAAGAGCTAGCTCTGTGATTTCAAGTGGTACAGAGAGTGTCAATCAATTTTGTGTTTTGTTCATTGTCACCTCCAAACAGATATATTTTATCTGGAATAGAAGTGTAGCCCAGTGGGTCAAGGGATTTGGGTTTTATTTTCTTAAGCTTTTACTTGTATAGGTGAGTTTTGCAAACTTGTGCACTTTAATCACATATAATGCGAGTAGAAATGTGCCTGAATTTTCAAGGCTGAACAGCTGGGACATTTGGACTTCTCATACCAAGGGTGACATTCCTCATTTCCCAGGGTGCGTGATGCTGTCCCGAATCTCACGGGACAGTGACATTCCTGAGTGTGCCCAGAAACATGAAAAATACACCTTCCTAAGGGACAAAATGCTTTTAGTACTGTCGCTCTGAGGAGGAGGCTGCCCTCTCACTGAGTGAATGAACATGGTATGCTGCCTGATTCACTTATGACAAAAACAGCCATTTAATTCATATTCAGTTAACCATTAGCTTCAATAATAGTGATGGCACTGACTTTGCAGCATGACTAGCACTGACAATACCTAAAATGGAGCTCTGTAAATATCACTGCTGGGAGATTCCTCCCACAGCTGTTGGGTCCTACTGGAGATGTCTGTTTCCTCAAGGGAGAGCTTCCTGTCTGACAGTTGTACAATGCTTCTATGTTTGGAGAACAGAGACAGGATTTCCTTAGGAAATTGCAATAGAAATCATTGTAGTTCTCTGGCAGTGGTATAAAATGTATAGACACTTATAATTTCACATTCAAATTTGAAAGTGAAAGGCACTCTCTCTCTCTCTCTCTTTGAAATCCATTATTTCAGTGGGAGCTCTCCCAAGTAAATAACAAATGTTATTTTTCTATAAATAGATAGCATTCAAACACTTGGCTTAAATACCACAAGGTTCTGTACTCTATCCTTTGGGACAACCAAAGTCAGGTTATGTATCTTCCATCTTTATGCAGCATCTTCTCTGAATTGTACTTTATTAATTTCTACAGGCTTGTGGTTACTTTAGTAAACTTTGTAATCATCTCTCCTTGATATAATTTAATAAAAAGCACTATTGTATTTATGGAAACAAACTCATTTATTTTCCAGTGATCTCGATACTGAGATCTACTAAAGTGACCTCAGTGTGGCCATTCAAAATAGGAAGATATATCTGTAAGATTGTTAATGTTACTTTTATTTTAGATGGAACACTGCCTGATAAGGCAAGCCATTACATGCATGTTGCATACATACATACATATTACCTACATGTTAAGCAGAGCTGTTGTAGGTAGAGATTCTGAGTGACGATCAGAAAGTAGGATTATACACTACAAAATACAGAAAACCTCTTTTTTTCTTAATGGCACAAGCAGAATTTGGTGCAAAATGCATCATTTTTCTCAGTTGTCCTTGTATATTTCTAGATGGCTTTGTGAACATACTTTCAGTAGTGTCTGACCAATCCAAAATCTAGGGCTATTTTTGTTCTCTAGGACCTGCTCACTTTAACTTGTTTGACTGAGTAGTGAGTGTCCTGACATGGAAGATTTGTATTGGGTCTGTGCCTGACCCCTGACCACAGCACCCTGGAGTGTACTGGACATTGACTCATCATGTTTTGGACTTTGGAATTAAGACATGGGGACAGTTGAACTAGTCTTTGGAGTGTGTAGATTGTCATGACCGTAAAATATCAAAATCCCTGCTTCTTTAATAAAATGGGTCTTTCAGGTATGACTTGAGAAACTTTATATGCAGTTGGTCTTTCTGAAAAGTTGTATGAGACATCGCCTTAGAACTTTCTAAGGTCTTAACAATTCTAGGTATATTTTCGTCCTGGAATTGATCTTGGTCCAGAGTATGTTTCTTATTTTGAGAATCCGTTAAAATTTGAAAAGGCCATTCTAGGAACTTCAAATATCCTTCAAAATATACTTGAACATTAAATAGTTTATTCTTTAGTCCATCTCTGCCTTGGCTTATTTTATTACAGACAAAGGCAGATGGCACGTGCCTATATTCCATCTGGAGCTATTCTTCAGTAACTCCTCAAGTTCATTACATACATTTTATACTTCCCATATCACTTGAGGTAACATTTTTGTCTGAATTTTCTGTAACTTTACAAATTCTCTTTATTTTCTAGATCTTTTTATAGTATTTTCTTCTCAGTCTTGTAAGCCTTGATCTAACAAAGTTCTTCTGGCTTTTACCAAAGATCTCTTCAAGGCTTCGCATGTATCTGCTTGATACCAAAGCCAATGCCACATGTCCTAAGTTTTGATTATATACAGCATGGTATAGCATATTATAATATAGTACTCCAGATATATGCAATACACTATAGTATAGCACTGTATTTATGAATTCTAAATTTCCATTTGCTTGTTATTACTGGTGAACAAACTATCCCAGTAGTGAGTGGCATGAAGCAACCACTTTACTATGCTCATGGAGTCTGTGAATCTGAAAAATTGACTAGGTACAACATGGGTGGCTTGTTTCTGCTTCATGATGTCAGGGGCCCTAGTTGGTCAGACTTAATGGTTGAGGGCTAGCAATATTCAAGGCATCTTGATTCACATGTTTGGATGTTGACTAGGCTCTCAGCTGAGTTTTTAATAAGAGCATGCACAAACGGTCTCTCCATGTAACATGGAGACCTCAGGAAAGTTGGACTCCTTAGTTTTAAAAGCAAGGTTTTTTGTTTAGAATTCCATTGACTTGTATAACATAGACATTGAAGTTACATAATGTCATTTCCATTGTACTCTATTGGCCACAGCTGTTACAAACCCAATCAGATCTAAGAAAAAGTGTTATATTCCCAATCATTAAATTGGAAGAGTATCAAGGCAACATGGTAAAACAAGTGAGATGGGAAATGTTGTTTTATCTATCTTTGGAAGATAAAACATTAACTAACACAACACTACATTGTATGGTAACATTCTAATATTAAAAAGGCAGGTAATACATTATAAAGTAACATACATTTTTTCACACTATCCTACATAAATCAATTTTAATGTTGAATGAAAAAATAACATTACCTCTAAACATGACTTTTTTCATTAATTACTACCCATTTTTCTACCACTGTTCTAGATCAACGCACTCATTTTTCGTAAGAGTAAGGTGAGTTGCAGAGAAGCAAAAGGACTGGATCCTGGTTACGTAGTACATTTTTTATAGCTCAGAGATTAAAATCCACATTTTAATTAGCATCAGTGCTCCTTCCATTAAGGTAAATTGCTTCTTACCTGAGCTACTTATTAGAATGTTTGCATGATACAAAGTATTTTTCAGCCACTTTGTAAATAAAGATTCCAAAATAATTTCATATTAGTAAGCATAAAGAACTGTAACTAAAAAGTGAAGAGCAACTTCATTTGAATGAACAATTTAAGTTAATCTTCTTTTCAAAGAAAATCATGACTGACTAGTTTTTAAGATACATGTTGATTTATTCTAAGGGCAATAAAGAATTAGAACTCTTCGTTTTAGAAGACAGATTGAATTTAAAAAAATAAATTGCCATAAAATATTCAGATGTCAAGAAAAACTTTAACTAATAATAAAACTATTCTTAGGTATCTATGATGAGAAAAGGCATATATGTCAAGATGTCATTTAGTTTTACTGAATCTTTAAAAATTAATACAGAAAAAAGTACCAATTGGCTGTTAAGTTTTATGGTTAGAAAGCGAAGTTAGTGGTTCTAAAATTAAGAAAAAGGAATTAAACTGACAGGATCAGATTATTTCTATCATCACCTTTGACATTCAACATTAGTCAGACATCTCATAGAGCATAGATTTTTGAATGAAAAGACTTGGTTAAGGGCAAAGAAAATTACTTAAGATAAAATATAAATAGTATATGAACAAACAAAAAATCTAGTCTCAACAAATATTTACTGAGCCCTTATGATGTCAACCATTACTATTAATAAAACACAATTTAAAGCTTTATTGAATTGTCGCTTGGCTAGCAAAATGACAAAATAAGTATGAAACACACACGTAGTTATTTTTTCTAAAGGTATTGCAATAAAATTGATATAAAATAATACTGGAATGAAACTAATAAAAGAGGAAACCTCTTGTATTAACCACTTATCATCTATCAGTTCTATCAATCAATTTATTAATTAATCTATCAATAGATCTGTCTATATACAGATGGTCCCTAACTTAGGAATTCTTCATTTTACTATGGTGAAAAAGTGATAGGCATTCAGTATACTCTTTGACTTATTATGGGGTTATTTTTTGATAAACCTCTATTGTAAATTGAAAATATCATTATTGTTTATCTGGACATAACTCTAAGGTGGAGAGGCATCTGTATACTTATCCATAAACATTAAATGTGCCAATGGAACTTTACATACTTATCTTCCTTTAGGGAATTTATTATCAGGAAAAGGTCAAAAGGAAATAAAAAGTTATAATTGTGAATATTATTAAGATGGCATTAAAAAGATAAGTTATGTGTGTATGTGCATACAAATCAAACTAAATGAAAATGCTAAGATACTAATTAATAAATTTTAGAGCATAATCATGAAGTGAAAAAGGTAATTTTTATATAGAACAAAACTAGAAGGCAGTTCACAAAATTGAAAATGCTTGAGTAGGCCGGGCGCGGTGGCTCACGCCTGTAATCCCAGCACTTTGGGAGGCAGAGGCGGGCGGATCATGAGGTCAGGAGATCGAGACCATCCTGGCTAACACAGTGAAACCCCGCCTCTACTAAAAATACAAAAAATTAGCCGGGCGTGGTGGCGGGCGCCTGTAGTCCCAGCTACTCGGGAGGCTGAGGCAGGAGAATGGCGTGAACCCGGGAGGCGGAGCTTGCAGTGAGCTGAGATCGCGCCACTGCACTCCAGCCTGGGCGACAGAGTGAGACTCCGTCTCAAAAAAAAAAAAAAAAAAAAAAAAAAAAAAAAATGCTTGAGTGTGTGTTTGGAGTGACAGGTATTTTTAAATTCTCTTTAATTCCATTGTTATTCCAATATAAAGTTAACATTAAATCGTGAAAAAAATTTGAGACATTTGTGGGGAAGAATGTTGCTTGCTTTTTGGGAGAACAACTAGAAACTAGCTCTCTGTTTGAAGATCAAATGAAGCTCATGTAGAGGCATAGAACTGCAGCCATTTAGTCACCATGAGTGACTTTAACCTGTCAGATGAAGATGATACTATGGAAAGATGAGTGTGGGAATAAACATTAACTAGTTATTTTTATGCCACTTTATTAAAATAAGATTGAAAAGTGGCAAATATCTATATGTGGAACACCGAGAAAAATTTTAGTTTACTTTTAATGCAGTGGTTTACATTTATCTATTCCATGCTCAGAAGCAGATGCAGATTTATAGAATTAAAATAAGCAGGTAACCACCTACTATCACCTCTAGTACTTGTGCTTAATTCAATCAGCTTTTGACATTTCCCTGACAATGGGAGTTAGCTTAAGAATATGCTGGTCAACAAATTAAGCCAATAAGACATGAGGAAGGTTTCCTGGAAGATATCTGACCTCTGATGTCTTCTCATGCTTTGCTTCTTAATTTGCTGCAACACCACCAAGTATTCCTCACCCAAGAAATGAGCCTTGGCTGTGTCAATTCAGGTCAAACCAATTTGAGGGGTGTTCTTAATTCTTTTTCCTGCAGTACTGTTCTTCAAAGGCAAGTTCTTCTTTCCTGATTGTCCATTATTATTCGGCTGAGTGTGATTCTACTCCTCTCTTTTGGACTGGCCCTTGGTATTTTTGTCTCCTAGCTGTCTCTTTCCAATTTGTGTCAGATATAACCTTATTTAGTAATTCTAAAACTAGACTCCATTTTCCTTAGCTGATTAAATTTAATGCTGTTACTTAGGTCCTATGCCTGCAAATTTCATTTCATTGGTCTGAGGCATAAACTGGACATAAGGATGTTTAAGCACTCAACATTGAGAACTACTAGCCCACTGGAACCATCTGCTTTAATTTTCTACAGATAGAGTTTTCTTCTCCAGTTGGGGAATCCTCCACAATCTGGGAGATTTGTACTTCAGGAGTAGTAGTCAAATGGGATGGAGTTTGATTTTGTTCTTAATGCCACAACAGAAATCATGATTGGCATGCACACTGGTGGAGATGTTCAAGAAAGTTTTACATATACAAATAGACAAATAAATATATAGGCCCATAAATGCTACAGGAGTACATCAATATTTAGTTTCAATAGTTGCACAGCAATTTTAATATATTTTTAAAATTCCATCTTTATAAATAACTCCAAAACTTGTGATTTCTTTCCCATTATTGTAAAGGAGCAAACTAATTTTCTTACTCTTAATTTTCAGCCCTTATGATTGACAACACCGTTCATTCAGATAACCAAGCCTGAAAACTGTGTGCCATCTTCATGCTCGCTTTTTTCACTCTTTCCCATAAAGTCAATCACTAAGTCTTGTTGATTATATCTTCTTTGTAAATCTAGAATATATATTATTTTTTCCCACTGCCAAGGCTTTTCTCATTCTACCTACAGTTAAAATAGTATCTCTATTGTCTTCAATCTCTGGTAGATACATCTCAAATCTCTCTCTCTCACATAGCCTGCAAGTTTCATTTTTCTCATGCAATTTTTTAAAAAATTAATTTGTTACTCTTCTGCTTAGACAGCTTTGTTGCTTCCCCCGTAACATTTCCATAGAAAATTGAAACCATTTCTTTTATTCATAGAAAGTTTAGAGTCTGACTCATTTTTGAAACTTTAGCCTCACTGCCTAATACTCTCCCACATAAACTTTTGTGTCTAGACACATCAGCAAGCAACAGTGCCCTTCATAAGGATGACTTTTTAAAGCAAAGTTTTCTTCTTGGGTCTTTACCAAGCTAAATGTAGAAAGCGGCATCTTTGCAATTTATGAAGAATAAAAAAGTTGCTATCTTTCAGGAAAGGTGACAACAGCTGAGGGTCCCTGGGTTGGATTTGAAGCTATCTATGTCAGGGAAAAGAAGTGCTCCTTCCTTGGGCCTTTGACAGTTGTGGCAACTTTCAGCATTGCATGTACAGAGCCAGACGCTGCTTTCATCTGCTTGGCAGAGGGGAAAGAGACTCTGGAAGGGCTGCCAAGTTTTCAACAGAGGGGCTTTCAGTTCCAGAGCAGGGACCCTTAAGGACCAGTAGGCCCAGCTCCCCAACTTCACGCCCAAGGACTTGGCAGGCACTGAGCTGTCCTCATTAAAATCCAGTTTGGATCATGGCACTCTTTCATTCCTACCCAGCTGTAGCCAAGTGGAAAAAAAAAAAATAGAAGAAAAACCAGATAATAGAGGATCACACACACACACTGCAAACCAAAAATGTAAACTGGAATTAGGCAAAACATCAAATTTGATTTTAATAGTTGTCAGAATGCTATACAGGTAGCTCCATGCCTCTGGAGCCTTCCTTTAATCATCTGGTTTCATTCTTTTTTTTCTTGCTGCCCTAATTATTCCTGCTTTTAATATCCCCCCACTGGCTCTAATTTAACTTTTCTGTAGTTTCAGCTTGTTTGCCAGGCAGGTTCCCTTTCACTTTCAAAGCCCAGCTCAATTCTTGTGTCCAGGCAGTAAAGGTTATCAGGGAAGTTTGTCAGATCCCTGCTTCCTCTGGAGTTTCTGTCACCCTTGCGCTGTGATTTCTGTGATTAGTCAATATGAGCTCAGTCCCAAAGAGGGGCTCTGGTTTTCAAGATTAGAGGGGCTGATGCTCTGCACACATTTTCTTCCTTGTCCCTTTCTCTCCTCATTCTCCCCTAACTGAAATGCACTTTCATCACGTTTGATTTCAAAAAATCTGTTTAATGTTCTACTGAGTCTTCTGTGGTCCTTACACTACGGTAGGAAATATCTGTAGCAAGCTCTGGGGTGCTGGATCAGCTGCTTAGGTCTTTCAAAAAGTGAAAGTTACTTTTATTATTGGCACAGTGCTAGTTTTCTACTTGTTTACATCCATTATAATGACCCAATCACAATGTGATTGCTAAGGTCATGAAAGGTGTTCTGTTATAAAAACTACGTTTTTTAGGTTGCATGTTCTTCAAGTGAAATCTTCCAAGGTGAAATTTTAATGGGAAGCATCTCACAAATGAGCCTATCATTCTTTAGGAGAGTTGAAAACAACATCTTTGGGGAAATGTTGAGTTTCAAATGAGAAATAAACAATATATTGCAGGTTTTTTTTGAAGGAAATATTCATTCATTTATTAATTCAAAGGATATGTATTAAGTGCTCCAGTGGCAGGTACAGCAGTAGGTGTTAAAATTAGAGACTGTGAAATCATTCCTTTCAAGATACTCACAAGAAATTTGGAAAGAGACATGTAAAGACATCATTACAATGTGGTGAGACTAAAATAGCACCAAGTAGATGAAAATTTCACAGTATAGGCAGGTAGGAGAGATCATCAGTTGACTGGAAATTTGGTGGGAATCCTGAAAAGATAAGAAACAGATGGAAACAGATGGGAGCAAAGAAATCATAGTCTCAAATAGATTTTAGAGAAGCTTGGTACAGTATGAGGATTTGTGTGGGTGAACGCTAGACTTGTAGTTAAGAGATTGAAAAGTTAGAGGCAATAACACATATTCTGTTATTAAAAGAGGAGTTACATATAGAGTAGCAAATATGCAAGAGCCATTGAGTTTTCCTGTGACCAGTATATTGAATGTGAGCCTTGGAACTAGAGCAGCAAGATAGTGTCCCTGAGGGCAAATGATTCCAAGGTACGGTGAATCTTTTCACATAAAAGGAAAAATGGCTGGTAGAACTACTCCCACCTACAATAAATCTACAGTCACGTTATTACCACATATTGGAATACAGTGAATACCCTATGAATGTTAAAAAAAAGGGGGAGGGATTAAAACAGGAATTTCAACAGTATCTGCCAAAACAAAACATTAAGAGCAATAGTAGCACCAGATATAAAAAAGTAATTTAAAGGATATTAAATGAGAAGATAGGGTATTTTAATTTGATAAAAATTCAACCCACAATGAAGACATAATATTATAGACTTCAACAACTTCAACAAATCAGAAACAATTCTAAGAAAAAGTATATTTCTTTCTAACATACCACCTTAAAAATTCAATAGGTTAGGCAGAACAAAAATAAGATGTAGAAAATGTAAATGACTCAACAGAATTTACTCATATACACATATAAATATTTATACATAAATATGTATAAATATATCTATATATTTGTACTTATAAACAAATTATGAACCATATGGAATCATATATCATTAGTTTCTAAACCAAAAAATACAATGTGCTTTTCAATACATATGAAATATTACCTGAAATATCTATCAAGTATACTCCACTAACAATAAATAAATTCTAAAGAGCAGGAAAACATAGCAAAAGAACATGCTACGGAAGCATGGAGGAGAGATAAATATGGCCAAAAAAGGTTGCGAAGGGCCACATAGAGAAGGAGATTTGAAGGCTGAAAGACTAAGGCCAATGAATTATAGGGCAAGGGGCATTCTAGCACACAGAATGGTTTGGAAAGAATTGTCTTATTCAGAGATTTTTTTTGGCACTAAAGCAACTCAAATTCATTCAAATAAGCTATGACAACAAGTGATAATTATTGGAAATAGAAAGGAATCATTCTGTGGAAATTTTGCCAGTGCACAAAGGCAAACCTCCTATAGTCTGGAAACAGACTGTCAGATTGGCCAGGGATTAAGACTATCCCTCTCTTTATCTCTGATTTTGTCCTTGTGTTCTTCTCTTGCCCACTTCATCTTTTTATCTCACTACATTTTTTTTTCTATTTTCTGGTCTGTGTTGATCTGTTTCATTTTTCTCTTTTTTCTGAGTGCTTTCTCTGGTTCTCTTTGCAGAAAAATAGCCCATAAGTCTTAGGAGGTCCCTCGAGATAAACATATCCCCAGAAAAAAATAGCATTCCTCAGTTTCAATTTCACATTTCTGAAAGAGAATCAGATTTGTTTAATTTGGGTCAAGGGCTTATTCTAGTTCAAGAGAGTGCAGAGGCTCAGATGGAAAACTATAGCCTCCTACTTATTTAGCAGATTCTATGAAGACAATTTGAGAAGATACTCAGAAGTGTAAGTGAGAGGATGACAGTAAATGTGGTTGAAAACGGAAGCAAAAATAAAATCACTGAAGATCTTGGTTTCCGAACATCCCCCTACTCTCAGATGGCAGGTGAAAGAGAATACCTCAACAATTTTAAGCAAACTATAGCATGCCCAGGAGCTTGGAAATGGAGTGATGGCGCTAGAAACTGAGAAATTGAAAGCATGCAAAACAGTAGGGAATGGAAAGAAAGAATCATTAAAGAGAACATTTTTCAGTCCCCTAGTTTAGAGTTGTGCAAATGCCCGGCACTCATTGGCCTGAATTGTCTAATAATAGCACTTTGACCTTTCTCCTTGAGCCCTTGTAAGTCTCTAAATGTCTACAAGATGAAAGTAAAATTATGGTCTTTCAATCTGAAAGTTTAGATTAAAAAATGTGAATAGGCTGATATTTGAATAGCTGGATCAACTATTCATATTTCTGGTAATAAACTTTGATTATTCCCCCTTGAATTTGAACTAGTTTATTTTTCTGGAATAATAAAATTAATAGAAAAGTCAGTTTCAGGCCGGGTGCGGTGGCTCACGCCTGTAATCCCAGCACTTTGGGAGGCCGAGGCGGGCGGATCACGAGGTCAGGAGATTGAGACCATCCTGGCTAACATGGTGAAACCCCGTCTCTACTAAAAATACAAAAAAATTAGCCGGGCGTGGTGATGGGCGTCTGTAGTCTCAGCTACTCAGGAGGCTGAGGCAGGAGAATGGCATGAATCCAGGAAGCGGAGCTTGCAGTGAGCCGAGATTGCGCCACTGCCCTCCAGCCTGGGCAACAGAGCGAAACTCTGTCTCAAAAAAAAAAAAGTCAGTTTCAAAACAAACTAAAACATAATTTTAAAAATGGCTCTTAAAAGCCTACATTTGCCTCTGGTATGCCCATTTTAAACTTTCTAAATCACAATTTTATAATTAAAGATAAATAATGAGCTTTCCAACTATATTTATCTAAATCAACTCTTCCTATCCCCCGAGTTATGAATATCATTGATACACATCCAATCTGATGGTAAGCCCCATTTGAAATACTAATTTTGTTGCATGTTTGACCAGGGACATGCAAGTTACTACATCCCCATGAAACACACTCCTTTTCTGGGCAGTTCTGACCTAACGGCATTCTTCTTTTTTTTTTTTTTTTTTTTTTTGAGATGGAGTCTTGCCCTCTCGCCCAGGCTGGAGTGCAGTGGTGCAATCTCGGCTCACTGCAACCTCTGCCTCCAGGGTTTGAGCAATTCTCCTGCTTCAGCCTACTGAGTAGCTGGGATTGCAGGTGCCCGCCACCATGTCCGGCTAATTTTTGTACCTTTAGTAGAGACGGGATTTCACCATGTTGACTAGGCTGGTCTCAGACTTCTGATCTCGGGTGATCCACCCTCATTGGCCTCCCACAGTGCTGGGATTACAGGTGTGAGCCACCGTGCCCAGCTGTCATTCTTCTTTCTATTGAACCAAAGTCAGTATTTCTATAAAATATTGAAAAAAAATCCTGAATAATATATAAATATTGATATGTATGAATTATATTGTTATATATTTACAATAACAATAACGGTAGTTTTTGATTTTTTTTTTTTAGCTATAAGAGCTGAGTCTACTTACCATGTAGTCTGTACTCAGATTTCCACTCCTCTACTACTCATTGACTTAGACTGTTCCATTGTAGTTTTTTCCCCAACATTTCCTCCCATGATGCAAATAGTCCTGTTAAGGACATCACTGTGATATTTTAGTTTACCCCTTCAAGTCAGATGCTCTGAAACCAATAAAATTGCAACTGCACATTTAAGTTTGATTCCATGATCTATTGAGTTCTTTTGCTTAATAGCCCAATAACTTTTCCAGTTCCAAGATTCTGTGATTCCATAAGACCAGTAGTGTCACTTTAGTGCCCCCTTGACATGGCTTCATTCTCAACATGGAACACTCATTACTCCATGTTATGTAAACATAACACCATGTCAGAAAACATCAGTTGTTGCCTTTCCACAGATATGGATAACAGCTGTTTGTCTGACAACATAGATGAGTTAGTGCCCTGTGTGACTTCAGAGCCTTAAAACAGCTTTTTGTCTTCAGCATAAAGATAACCCTTCACTCTTTGAAGACTCAGATTACAAAATTTCATAAGGTGAAGATAGTCAGACTTCAGAATGATGATAATTTTGAAACATTGTATTTTCCTTTCCTGGCCTGTTGGGTCAAAACCATCTGGTAATTTGCTTCTCTATGCTGTTACTTCTTGAGTTAGCTTCAGAGAGTTTCTGTGTGGTCAAT
This sequence comes from Homo sapiens, assembly GCF_000001405.40. NCBI lineage: Eukaryota > Metazoa > Chordata > Mammalia > Primates > Hominidae > Homo > Homo sapiens. The sequence goes on from NC_000016.10 coordinate 62,744,132, forward strand.
TATTTTTATTTTCTATTTAACTCTCAGGCTATACATGTTTCTTATCTTTTTATGGCTGCATAATGCTTCTGATTCATCTACCAGAACTTTAGCATATGATATGAACATGTTCTCTCATAACATGTTCATAGGGTCAGATAAATGTTGGCTGAATAATTTTCTTTTGTATGATGATTACAGAAAAAAT